>NC_000004.12:56920357-57246763 GCF_000001405.40 Homo sapiens
TGATAGACAATCTAGGATGCCAATTTATTAAGCTGTATTAAGAGTATAGGACTGTAACATGAGAGATTCGTCCACTCCAGTGACTGAAACAATCACCATCACCACTCATAATTAGTCCCTGTTGGCCAGCATGGTGGCTCACGCCCTTAATCCCAGCACTTTGGGAGGCCAAGGTGGGCGGATCACCTGAGGCGGGGTAGTTTGAGACTAGCCTGACCAACATGGAGAAATCCTGTCTCTACTAAAAATACAAAATTAGCCAGGCGTGGTGGCGCATGCCTGTAATCCCAGCTGCTCAGTAGGCTGAGGCAAGAGAATTGCTTGAACTTTAGGAGGCAGAGGTTGTAAGCCGAGATCACGCCATCAAGAGCGAAACTCTATCTTGAAAAAAAAGTCCCTATTGTCAAAGTATTCAAGTGGCCAAGTTAAAAAGTAATGTTAGCATTGGTGGTCTTGCTTGAATGGGTAGCCCTGATTGACTCTTGGTGAACTACCACTTTTACTTTTTATTTTTATATTTTTTTTGGAGACGGAGTCTTGCTCTGTCGTCTAGGCTGGAGTGCAGTAGTGCGATCTCAGCTCACCGCAACCTCCGCTTCCCAGGTTCAAGCGATTCTCCTGCCTCAGCCTCCTGAATAGCTGGGATTACAGGCGCGCACCACCATGCCCGGCTGATTCTTGTATTTTTAGTAGAGATGGGGTTTCACCATGTTGGTCAGGCTGGTCTCGAACTCCTGACCTCATGATCCACCCACTTTGGCCTCCCAAAGTACTGGGATTACAGTCATGAGCCACCATGCCTGGCCGAACTACCACTTCTAATTAGAATACAGATTTAGAATGTATATCCCTGTGGGAAAAGTATCTTAAATCTTGCTGTTACAAAAGCCTATGTAGAACCATCTCCCTTAAGTTAATAATTAGCTTAGATCTGTGCTATTCGCTTGAGTAGCCACTAGCCACATGTGGCTATTAAGCTTTCGAAACATTAGTAGTTTGAATTGATACTTATAAAATATGTACTTACCAGATTTTTTAAATTTTATTTTATTATTATTTTTTTTCTGTTGAGACAGAGTCTTGCTGTATCCCCCAGGCTGGAGTGCAGTGGCGCGCATCTCAGCTCACTGCAACCTCTGCCTCCGGGGTTCAAGCAATTCTCATGCCTCAGCCTCCCCAGTAGCTGGGATTACAGGCATGTGCCACCATACCCAGCTAATTTTTGTAATTTTAGTAGAGATGGGGTTTCGCCATGTTGGTCAGCTTGGTCTCGAACTCCTGGCCTAAAGTGGTCTGCGCATCTTGGCCTCCCAAAGTGCTGGGATTACAGGTGTGAGCCACCGCGCCCGGCCACAGATTTCAAACAATGTGAAGAAAAGACTATCTTTCTCTGAAGCAGGTTAGAGAAAAAATAAAAGAATGTTAAATATTTATTTTTCAAGTTGATCATATGGCAAAATTATTGTATACATTGGCTTTAAAAAGTAATAAAATTAATTTTAACTGTTTCCTTTTTACCTTTGTGGTATGACTACTAGAAAATTTAAGATTACATGTGTGATATGCATTATATTTCTACTGGACATTGCTGCCATGAGTTAGTAACAAGACTTGATAATAAGACTTGATTATGTCACAGATTCTGATTTATTTGAACAGCTATGAAGGTGTCCTGTAGTATAGTTGCTAGCCTTTCTTGACCCTACGTGCTTGTCACGCTAATGTACTTTGAGTGTTTTTTTCCTAAATCTAAGCCATTGAGTGGTGCCACTTAACCAGAAACCTGGTTTTATTATTTTTGGGTGTTTTTTGGTTTCATTCTCTGATGGTAATGTGGATGCAATTTCAGACTTTGGAGGTAAGCATCATGTCCTGTTGATAGTTGTACTAGCTTTTTAGTAAAATATTTGAGAGCTTTGTATTATTATTATTATTATTATTATTATTATTATTATTACTTTTTTTTTTTTTCTGAGATGGAGTTTCGCTCTTGTTGCCCAGGCTGGAATAAAATGGTGTGATCGCAGCTCACTGCAACCTCCGTCTCCCAGGTTCAAGCGATTCTCCTGCCTCAACCTCCCAAGTAGCTGGGATTACAGGCATGTGCCACCACACCCAGCTAATTTTGTATTTTTAGTAGAGATGAGGTTTCACCATGTTGACCAGCCTGGTCTCGAACTCCTGATGTCAGGTGATCCGCCTGCCTCAGCCTCCCAACGTGCTGGGATTACAGGCGTGAGCCACTGCTCCCGGCCAAGAGCTTTATATTAGTTAACTAGTTTTTGTCTTCATAAATATTTTATGTTGCATGAGTTCTATTATCCCCATTTTACAGTTGGGGAATGTAGGGCATTGAAAAAAATACGACCTTTTTTCCTGTAGAATGTCCTTCCTTCTGGATATGTCCACTTGTTTTCTCATGGTGTCATTTAGCTTTTCTTCTGTCCTTTGTATTGTAAACTGGAAATTAAATTTAAATGCTTGATAATCTTTCTCGCAAATGATATGCCTCATTTAAAGTCACGTGGTTGACCCATTAATATAATGTTAGGTCACTGCATTTAGAATGACTACATACTTTTATCCTTTCGTTCAATTAGTAATACTTTGTCTTGTCACTGTTTAAATGTTTATGGTGTTTTACACCAGTTGATAATCTTTGACTGAAACAGTTGTATTTGGGTTTGCAAAATGTTTTGAGTTTTGCCTGCTGTATTTTAAAGATGATTTTTAGTATTTGCTGTTACAGTATAGCAAGTATTTTAATGGTGTCTTAAAAACTAGTAGTAGCCACTAGCTATTGTATGTATGCTGAATAGTAAAAACAAGTATTTGCTGTCTCCAGTCTTAGTACTACGAAGATACTGAGTTTCAGATTACATATTATAGGATACAAGCTCACAAATAAGTAATTTTGTTGTTGTTGTTTTTGGAGTTGGGGACTCTGCTGCGCAGGCTGGAATGCAGTGATGCGATCATGCCTCACTGCAACTTCATATGCCTAGGCTCAAGCCATCCTCTTGCCTCAGTCTCCTGAGTCGCTAGGTCTACTGGCACATGCCACCACTCCAGCTAATTGGGGACTATTATTATTATTATTATTTTTGAGACAGTTTCGCTCTTGTCACCCAGCTAGAGTACAATGGTGCGATCTCGGCTCACTGCAACTTCTACCTCCCGGGTTCAAGCTATAGAATCTTCCTCAGCCTCCTGTGTAGCTGAAATTACAGGCACCCGCCACCATGCCTGGCTGATTTTTGTATTTTTAGTAGAGGTGTTGATCCACCCACCTCAGCCTCCCAAAGTGCTGGAATTACAGGCATGAGTCACCGCGCCTGGCTGGAACTATTATTTTTATTTAAATATCGTATTTATTTATTTATTGAGACTGAGTCTTGCTGTCGCCCAGGCTGGAGTGCAATGGTGCGACCTCGGCTCACTGCAACCTCCACCTCCTAGGTTCAAGCGATTCTCCTGCCTCAGCCTCCCTAGTATCTGGGACTACAGGCTCGTGCCACCATGCCAGGCTAATTTTTTGTATTTTTAGTAGAGACGGGGTTTCACCATGTTAGCCAGGATAGTCTTGATCTCCTGACCTCATGATCTGCCCGCCTCAGCCTCCCAAAGTGCTGGGATTACAGGCGTGAGCCACCACACCCGGCCAATATCCTATTTCTTTCTATGGAGACTGGGTCTTGCTGTGTTGCCCAGGCTGGCCTCAAACTCCTGGCCTCAAGCAGTTCTCTTGTCTCAGCCTCCCAAAGTGTTGGGATTACAGGTTTGAGTCACTGTGCCCAGACAGACATGTTTTATTTTTTTCTGTTGATAACGTTGGTGCCAAGGGACTTTTAAATAGCTGGGATTGTTTGAAAGATATTGTGATGGCTTGAGAGTCTTTGTAGAATAAATTTTAAAAACTATTTTATTGAGATATAATTTATAAATTTAAAAATGCACAGGTCTTGAGTGTACAGCTCAGTGACTATGCTTTCACCTATTTGATTATCACTCAAGAACAAGAGATGGAATATTTCTGCTCAGAAACACCTTGCCCTTTCCACCCAGTCTTTCCCCTGGATGATATTCTGTCTCCTACCAAAGAACATTATAGAATTTGTTTGTTTGAGGTGGGATCTCACTCTGTCACTCAGGGTGGAGTGCAGTGGGTGCAGTTACAGCTGTCTAAACCTCTTGGGCTCAGGCAGTCCTGCCACCTTAACCTCCCAAGTAGCTGGGACCACAGGTGTGCGCTACCATGCCTGTTTTTTTTTTTTCTTTCTTTTTTGTAGAGATGGAGTCTTACTATGTTGGCCCAGGCTGGTTTTGAACTCCTGGGCTCAAGCGATCCACTTGCCTCACCCTACCAAAGTGCTAGGAGTACAGGCATGAGCCACTGCACCTAGTTTTAGAACATTCTTTTATAAAATGTTCTTGAGATTTATCCATGTTGCGTTATTGGACTTCATTTTATTGCTGGTAATGTATTGTATGCCGCCATTACTTTTTACTTAAAAATTTTCTTTGCCGGCTATGCACGGTTGTTCACACCTGTAATCCTAGCGCTTTGGGAAACCATGGTGAGCGGATCATCGGAGGTCAGAAGTTCAAGACCAGGCTGGCCAACATGGTGGTACCCCATCTCTGCTAAAATACAAAAATTAGCCTGGCATGATGGCGGGTGCCTGTAATCCCAGCTACTCCGGAGGCTGAGACAGGAGAATCACTTGAACCCGGGAGACGGTGGTTGCAGTGAGCCGAGATTGCGCCATTGCACTCCAGCCTGGGCAGCTGAGCGAGACTCAGTCTCAAAAAAAAAAAAAAAAAAAATTTCTTTGCCATTCTCTCTTGGTTTTTGTTTTGTTTTGTTTTTATTTTTAAGGGAATTAATTTAAAAACTTAAATTGAGAGGCTTGTATTTGTGTATTTTTCACTGCGGCTTTAACCTCCTAGGCTCAAACGATCCTCCCACCTCAGCCTCTGGAGTAGGTGGCACTGTAGGCTTGTGCTATAACATGTGGCTAATTTAAAAATTTTTTTGTACACAGGGTCTCACTAGGTTGCCCAGACTGGTCTCAACCTCCTTAGCTCAAGCAATCTTCCTCACCTCATCCTCCCAAAAGTGCTAGGATTACGGGTGTGAACCACTATGCCTGGCCATTCTTCTAAGAATATTTTTGATACGTATGTGTAAAGCTTGCAGAACTCTTTCCCCTTTTGTCTTGGCTTAC
Organism: Homo sapiens; assembly: GCF_000001405.40. Taxonomy (NCBI): domain Eukaryota; kingdom Metazoa; phylum Chordata; class Mammalia; order Primates; family Hominidae; genus Homo; species Homo sapiens. The sequence goes on from NC_000004.12 coordinate 56,925,586, forward strand.
ACCTATAAATTCATTTCGGAGGCATAAAACAGACAATTGGTAGATTTATAAAGAAGAGAACCTGTTACTAGAATTGGGAAAAAGAATTTAAAATTGTTTGTACAGGGCAAAAGTTAATATTCAGGTAGGTACTAATTAGAAAATCTTGATGAATATATTTTAATATAAGCAAGACTTCATGGCAATAAAGTAAAAATTACGGGAGAAAAAGAACGGAGCAAATAAATCATGCCATCAAATTTTAAACAGAAAATTTCTACATCCTCCCTTTCCGTTCACCATTCCTTAGGTGGACCCTCGCACCTTGATGGATGCATGCTTGCTCTATAGATCTCCTTATTCATCAGAGTTATAAAATGGTGCTATTTTAATTATAGTTATTTTATTAGTGTGTAAATATGAAGAGAAGAGATAAATTCCACTTATCTATTTACTCATGATGTAGGAAAGACAGGATACGTAAGAGTCTTCCCCTTGATTGATCGATTGATTGAGATGGAGTCTCACCCTGTCGTCCAGGCTGGAGTGCAATGGCACGATTTCAGCTCACTGTAACCTCCGCCTCCTGGGTTCAAGTGATTCTCCTGCCTCAGCCTCCCGAGTAGCTGGGATTACAGGCATGCACCACCACGCCTGGCTAAGTTTTTGTATCTTTAGTAGAGATGGGGTTTCACCATATTGGCCAGACTGGTCTCCGGCTCCTGGTCTCCAACTCCTGACCTCTTGATTCGCCTGCCTCGGCTTCCCAAAGTGCTGGGATTACAGGCGTGAGCCACTGCGCCCAGCCTTTTTTATTTATTTATTTTTTTGAGATGGAGTCTTGCTCTGTTGCCCAGGCTGGAGTGCAGTAGTGCGATCTCGGCTCACTGCACCCTCTGCCTCCCGGGTTCAAGGGATTCTCCTGCCTCAGCCTCCCAAGTAGCTGGGACTGTAGGCACGCATCACCACGCCTAGCTAATTTTTTTGTATTTTTACAAAATGCCTCCCCAAATTTTATATTTTTACAAAAATGCCTCCCAAAGTTTTGGGACTACAGGCGTGACCCACCGCGCCCTGCTGAGTCTTCCCTTTTATTTATCCATACTCAAAGTTACCAATTGGTTCCAAAAGTGAACAATTATAGGTAACACATTTTGAGTTCTTGCTGTCTGCTCCATGTTAAGGACTTTACATAGATTAGATTATTTATAGCTCACAACACTTAGAGAGTATTTTATAGATGAAATTGAGGCCGGGCGCGGTGGCTCACGCCTGTAATCCCAGCACTTTGGGAGGCCGAGGAGGGTGGATCACCTGAGATCAGGAGTTCGAGACCAGCCTGATCAACATGGAGAAATGCCGTCTCTACTAAAAATACAAAATTAGCCAGGCTTAGTGGCACATGCCTGTAATCCCAGCTACTAGGGAAGGTGAGGCAGGAGAATCGCTTGAACCTGGGAGGCGGGGGTTGCAGTGAGCCGAGATCGCGCCATTGCACTCCAGACTGGGCAACAAGAGTGAAACTCCATCTCAAGAAAAAAAAAAAAGAAAGAAATTGAACTCTAGAGAGGTTTCAGGACTTTGCTCAAAGTCTCAGAGTGAGCAACTTGCAGAGCTCATGTTTTATCTCCCAGATGGTCTAGCTCTATCTAGAAGTTCTTAGGCCTTATGCTACCTATCTTTCTACATTCTATGTCCACGTATGTTAAAATGTTTGTCTCCATTTAAATCATTCACTGGAGAGAACCAGGTATAGAGTAATGTAGCATGTTGTAGAAACTTGCATATTTGTAAATCTGTTAGTAGACCAACATGGAGAAGAATTGTCCAGTCAGCTGAATATCTAATTTGACTACCTGGATAAGGTGATTATTTTATCACCAGGCATTTTCTAATCATGTAAAACTTAACATCTACATGGTTTTACCTAATGTCTGAGTTTTGCTTTATGAAAATTTTTAGTACAATTTGATATGAATTTGAGAATGTTTGAGATGAATTTTCATAAATGTCAATTTCCGTTTTTCTACTATGCATTCCATTGGACCAGTGGGGTATGGATACCATTTGGTAATATTTACTAGAGTGTGATCTAGATGGGTATGTATTCAGGTAGAATGTATTACTCTTATGCCTTTAATTTGGGGGTGGGGGTTCTGGTTTTTTATGTATCAGTGATTGTGACTTTGCTTATTTTACATACCATATCTATTTGTGTGCCACTTCTCATTACCTAGTTCCTTTATGTATTTTATAGAAAGGTGGGGGGAAAATCAAGAAAGTTTTCTGAATAATTACCTTGGCCTATATTTTTGCTTTAAAATAGCAATGCTAGCGCAGGAAGTTTGCTAAGTGAAAATTTACTCAGCTCTTGCCATGACGGACAGAAGGATTAAATTTCAAGAAAAAGCCTTTGCTCAGACTAAAGCAGAATTTCAAAACTTTTGCACCTAGGATCTGGGAGTATCGCCCAGAGTGAAAGATATTTTTCTCAAGATTTACCATAAGAAATTTAGGGTGGAGGGAGTATGGGAATTTTATTTTATTTTTATTTATTTTTGAGACGAAGTTTCGCTCTTGTCGCCCAGGCTGTAGTGCAGTGGTGCGATCTTGGCTCACTGTAATCTTGCCTTCTGGGTCCAAGCAATTCTCCTTCTTCAGCCTCCTGAGTAGCTGGGATTACAGGCATCTGCCACTACACCCGGCTAATTTTTTGTATTTTTAGTAGAAACAGGGTTTCACCATGTTGGCCAGGCTGGTCTTGAACTCCTGACCTCAGGTGATCCACTGCCTTCGCCTCCCAAAGTGCTGGGATTACAGGTGTGAGCCACCACACCTGGCTGGGAATTTTATTTATTGATGTATTTTTGAGACAGGGCCTTGCCCTGTTGCCCAGGTTGGAGTACAGTAACACATTCACAACTCCATGCTACTTCAGATTCCTGGGCTTAAGTGGTCCTCCCGCCTTTGCCTCCCAAGTAGCTGGGACTGCAGGTGCACTCCACCATGCCTGGCTAATTTTTTTTTTTTTTTCTTTTTGTGAGACAAAGTCTTACTGTCGCCCAGGCTGAAGTGAAGTGGTGGGATCTCAGCTGACTGCAACCTCCGCCTCCTGAGTTAAAGCAATTCTCGTGTCTCAGCCTCCCTAGTAGGTGGGATTACTGGCATGCAACACCACGCCCAGCTAAATTTTTTTATATTTTTAGTAGAGATGGGGTTTTACTATGTTGGCCAGGCTTGCCTTGAACTCCTGACCTCAGGTGATCCACCTGCCTTGGCCTCCCAAAGTGCTGGGATTTACAGGTGTGAGCTACCGCACCTGGCTGGGAATTTTATGTATTGATTTATTTTTGAGACAGGGCCTTGCTCTGTTGCCCAGGTTGGAGTTCAGTAGCACATTCACAACTCACTGCTACTTCAAATTCCTGGGCTTAAGCGGTCCTCCCGCCTTTGCCTCCCGAGTAGCTAGGACTACAGGTGCACTCCACTATGCCTGGCTAATTTTTTTTTTTTTTTTTTCTTTGAGACACAGTCTCGCTGTCACCTAGGCTGGAGTGAAGTAGTGCGATCTCAGCTCACTGCAACCTCTGCCTCCTGGGTTAAAGCAATTCTCGTGTCTCAGCCTCCTGAATAGGTGGGATTACTGGTGTGCAACACCACGCCCAGCTAATTTTTTTTGTATTTTTAGTAGAGATGGGGTTTCACCGTGTTGGCCAGGCTGGTTTCAAACTCCTGGCCTCAAGGTATCCGCCCACCTTGGCCTCCCAAAGTTAATTTTGTTTTGATTTATTTTGCTCAGGTTGTTCTCTAATTCCTGGGCTCAAGCAGTCCTTCTGCCATGGCCTCCCAGAGAGTTGAGGTTATAGTTGTGAGCCACTGCACCTGGCCAGAATTTTATTTTCTACTCCATTAGGCATTTAACTAAACACACAAAAAAATTTTTAAGTTGATAATATTCCTCCAAATTAACATCCAGAGCCCAATTGAACTTTGCCAATATGTGTATGTCTTAAAGAATCTCTGTTCTTTAGTAGTGCTTGAGGACTCTAACTTGAACTTTTTTGAAGCTTGTGGTTAACTGAGATTTATTCCTCTCTTTTGAGAATCAATGTCAAGGGATAGAGAAATGTTATACAAATAAATATGGTAAATGTAAGGTGCATGATACAGCATTTTAAATAGTCTTTGTTGTTACTTTACATATACAGTTCTTTATATTTTAATCTTGAATTTGTCTTAATCTATGTCTTCTCTCATACTTTTGATTTGCCTTCAGGTGAGAAGCCATTTAAATGTGATCAGTGCAGTTATGTGGCCTCTAATCAACATGAAGTAACCCGCCATGCAAGACAGGTTCACAATGGGCCTAAACCTCTTAATTGCCCACACTGTGATTACAAAACAGCAGATAGAAGCAACTTCAAAAAACATGTAGAGCTACATGTGAACCCACGGCAGTTCAATTGCCCTGTATGTGACTATGCAGCTTCCAAGAAGTGTAATCTACAGTATCACTTCAAATCTAAGCATCCTACTTGTCCTAATAAAACAATGGATGTCTCAAAAGTGAAACTAAAGAAAACCAAAAAACGAGAGGCTGACTTGCCTGATAATATTACCAATGAAAAAACAGAAATAGAACAAACAAAAATAAAAGGGGATGTGGCTGGAAAGAAAAATGAAAAGTCCGTCAAAGCAGAGAAAAGAGATGTCTCAAAAGAGAAAAAGCCTTCTAATAATGTGTCAGTGATCCAGGTGACTACCAGAACTCGAAAATCAGTAACAGAGGTGAAAGAGATGGATGTGCATACAGGAAGCAATTCAGAAAAATTCAGTAAAACTAAGAAAAGCAAAAGGAAGCTGGAAGTTGACAGCCATTCTTTACATGGTCCTGTGAATGATGAGGAATCTTCAACAAAAAAGAAAAAGAAGGTAGAAAGCAAATCCAAAAATAATAGTCAGGAAGTGCCAAAGGGTGACAGCAAAGTGGAGGAGAATAAAAAGCAAAATACTTGCATGAAAAAAAGTACAAAGAAGAAAACTCTGAAAAATAAATCAAGTAAGAAAAGCAGTAAGCCTCCTCAGAAGGAACCTGTTGAGAAGGGATCTGCTCAGATGGACCCTCCTCAGATGGGGCCTGCTCCCACAGAGGCGGTTCAGAAGGGGCCCGTTCAGGTGGAGCCGCCACCTCCCATGGAGCATGCTCAGATGGAGGGTGCCCAGATACGGCCTGCTCCTGACGAGCCTGTTCAGATGGAGGTGGTTCAGGAGGGGCCTGCTCAGAAGGAGCTGCTGCCTCCCGTGGAGCCTGCTCAGATGGTGGGTGCCCAAATTGTACTTGCTCACATGGAGCTGCCTCCTCCCATGGAGACTGCTCAGACGGAGGTTGCCCAAATGGGGCCTGCTCCCATGGAACCTGCTCAGATGGAGGTTGCCCAGGTAGAATCTGCTCCCATGCAGGTGGTCCAGAAGGAGCCTGTTCAGATGGAGCTGTCTCCTCCCATGGAGGTGGTCCAGAAGGAGCCTGTTCAGATAGAGCTGTCTCCTCCCATGGAGGTGGTCCAGAAGGAACCTGTTAAGATAGAGCTGTCTCCTCCCATAGAGGTGGTCCAGAAGGAGCCTGTTCAGATGGAGTTGTCTCCTCCCATGGGGGTGGTTCAGAAGGAGCCTGCTCAGAGGGAGCCACCTCCTCCCAGAGAGCCTCCCCTTCACATGGAGCCAATTTCCAAAAAGCCTCCTCTCCGAAAAGATAAAAAGGAAAAGTCTAACATGCAGAGTGAAAGGGCACGGAAGGAGCAAGTCCTTATTGAAGTTGGCTTAGTGCCTGTTAAAGATAGCTGGCTTCTAAAGGAAAGTGTAAGCACAGAGGATCTCTCACCACCATCACCACCACTGCCAAAGGAAAATTTAAGAGAAGAGGCATCAGGAGACCAAAAATTACTCAACACAGGTGAAGGAAATAAAGAAGCCCCTCTTCAGAAAGTAGGAGCAGAAGAGGCAGATGAGAGCCTACCTGGTCTTGCTGCTAATATCAACGAATCTACCCATATTTCATCCTCTGGACAAAACTTGAATACGCCAGAGGGTGAAACTTTAAATGGTAAACATCAGACTGACAGTATAGTTTGTGAAATGAAAATGGACACTGATCAGAACACAAGAGAGAATCTCACTGGTATAAATTCAACAGTTGAAGAACCAGTTTCACCAATGCTTCCCCCTTCAGCAGTAGAAGAACGTGAAGCAGTGTCCAAAACTGCACTGGCATCACCTCCTGCTACAATGGCAGCAAATGAGTCTCAGGAAATTGATGAAGATGAAGGCATCCACAGCCATGAAGGAAGTGACCTAAGTGACAACATGTCAGAGGGTAGTGATGATTCTGGATTGCATGGGGCTCGGCCAGTTCCACAAGAATCTAGCAGAAAAAATGCAAAGGAAGCCTTGGCAGTCAAAGCGGCTAAGGGAGATTTTGTTTGTATCTTCTGTGATCGTTCTTTCAGAAAGGGAAAAGATTACAGCAAACACCTCAATCGCCATTTGGTTAATGTGTACTATCTTGAAGAAGCAGCTCAAGGGCAGGAGTAATGAAACTTTGAACAAGGTTTCAGTTCTTAGTTTGTAAGGTATATTACATTTTATATTCATTTATGATAGCAGACAACCTTTTAAGATTGCTTTAATTAGTATCTGATGTTGATTTTTAAGTGGCATTCTTTTCCTTAGGACTTTTTATGTATACCTGTTGATTGTTGTGTAAATTTTAGTAAATCTAAGAGAGTGTACTAAACCAGCAGGTATCTGTTAGCTTATGTGTTTAATTGAAATTAGAAGGCTAAGATGGTATAACAGCATTTTATTGCTTTGTCCAGCTACAACTTGTCATTTTTTTCTCCATGTCTTATCTTCCTGTTTCACTTTAGTTTATTCTTCGTTTTTTATTGAGATCTATAAAAAATTGGCTTACTTAATAGCAAATTACTTGAAGAATTTGCCTGCTTTATATAAAGTTAGCACTTTAAGATTTTTTTTTTTAGAGATGAGAAGACATTTAAATTGAAGAAAAATTCCCCCAGCAATAGACAGTCTATCAGTCCAAGTATTTACTTCCTGAGTTTTGATCAATATTTTTTATTTGTGTATGTTAATCGTCATAAAAACAGTGATTTTGGTGTGTTTTTTATTTTGGTGCTTTAATGGCTTAAGATGTTGCACATTTTTTTTTTCTTTTGGTTTCTGTTTATGTTTTTTTGCCTATGCAGTTAAATTTTTCCTAGAAATAGCATTTGTGTTGAACAGTAACACTTTATACATATATATATGCATGTTTATTTTGTTTGGCGTCTTTGGAGGGATGCTTTTAGACTTGTTTGCAAAAGGGCAGTTTTCTTTTTCTTTGCTGCAGTTGTCTATTTTGCAGAATAATAGTGTGTGCAAGTTTGTGAGCAAATGAAATATGCAGGTTCAATCTATTGATTTTGATTTTTACATCTTATATCTATGCCAGAATCTGTATTTCATATAACTTATTTATTTCGAATGGATGTAGTAAATTCACAGCTATCAGTTTTGATTTTGCAATAAATAAACCACTAGGTTGCATGTCGAACAAATTTTTATCTCAAATACCAACCATCAGTTTTTTTTTTCATGTGTTTTGGTACAGCTAATTCCTAATTGTAGAGTGTTAAATGTTTGAGGAGAACCTTTTCTCATAGATGGTTGGTGTTCATATGGCTACTTTACAATAAAGAGAACTGTAAGTGATATTTGGAAACTACAAACCTGGAATTAGGAGATATAATTATTCCTTCAAGTTTTATAGAATATCACTTGGGAGATTCCAAAGCCATAGCTATTACGCGGCAAACCTAGGATAAGAAAGGTAGTATGAGTGCTGGTAGACCAGCTGCAACTTTCCTATACAGTGAAAAAGGCTGGTGAAACAAGTACAGTCCAGATTTTTTAAAATCATACTTTCTCAGGGATCTCCACAAACTGGTGGGTGTCCTGGCTGTCTGTGTGATAGCCTCTTTCTATAGGTGAGGCCTCAAATGAATTGCAGCTATCCTGGTGTTCCTATGAGGGCACTTTGTATGAAAAAGGGCATGTACTCCAAAACATTTTTGTAGGTTCTTTGGCCAGTTGCCAAAGAGTGTGAAAGAATCCAATAGAGGATTTTTCTTACTGATAGCAGTCATTCATTGCAGTAAAATAAAATATGATCCCATTAGGGAATCTTGAATTCTGACCTCCCATACTCCGTTTTGAAATAACCACTTTATATTTCATTTTTTAAAAATCTGATGATCTCTTTGAGGCAGGTTTCAGATTTGGCAGTACAACATGAAAGATTAGGAAAAGCATTAATAACGTGTGGGTGGAAAGCTTGTTAAAAATCTGAGAGTGAAGTTTGAGTTAAAAGTTGTTTGAACATGGCATTGACTGGGAGGCCAAAGATTTAAAGAAGCGGAAGATTCTTCTCTTAAGACATGAGGAGTAAGTTGTGTGATAATGGTATGTGTTTTGTGTGCATGAATGGACATTGTAAATGTTGAATTCTAGGCTCCGACAATCATTGTCAACAGAAGATCAAGCTGCAAATATTTATGTTTTAAAACTTAAATTATAAAGCTAGTTAAGTCTTTCTAATGACTAGTTTTAATGTTCATGGGTACATTTTACCTAAGTTACCGTTTACATTGTATAGAAAAAGATACATCTTAAGCACAGATTGGTTATTAGGAATTAGTTTGGGGAAGAGGTTTTTTTGTGGATTCTTTCATACTGCAAAGAAAAACCATTTGCCTTTTGGGGAATTGAGCTAACTTCTAATCTAGTCTTAAGACTAGAATGCTAAAAACAAAAACATGAAGGAAATTAAAACCCCTTATTATTAAATTGATTTGTAAAAACATTGTTACTGGAAATTTATTGGACTTGAGGCCTTCCTCCAGAAAATAAGGACTTGATTGTCAGGCCTATATTAGGTTCTGAACCTTAATGCCATGTATTTGTACTTACTAAAAATTGTTTCAATGAAAAGTACATTAGCAGTATGAACTTCTGGTCCAGTTGGAAGTTTTTCCATTTGAAAAATGTGATGTTTGCATGGAACTGTTTGAAACTTTTTTATTTTCTAGTCCCCCTCCCCCACACTGGATAGAATTTAGCCTAGAATTTTCCCTTTGGATAAAAGAACAAAAATTGAACATGTTATTTGTAAATTGATGTTTAGTAATTAGTGATAAACTTGAAATACTAGCATATATTATAAGCCTTAATCTTAGGTAGTCTTATGAAAATGAATCTCTTAACTATCTTTTGAACCTGTATTCACATTGGTTTTCAAGATATTTTAAGTTATATTTTTTCCTCTTTTCAGAGCTGCTTCTTATTCTGGGGCTACTTTTTTTTTTAGTTGTGTAATTCACAAAGGGCTGCATTTTTTTTTTTTTTTAATAAGGCTTATAACTATGGCTGGATCTTTTGCTCTAGTCTTCTAAGAAGGGCCATTTTATTTTTTAGAGTCACTTCTAAAGTCATGTGGTAATTAACTTTGGAGACTGTTTTGCGTATGAGTGCTGATACAAATTAAAACCCAAGTAGACCTCATTGCATGTCACCCTATGAATGTTGACAATGGAAGGAATACCTTGCCTGTAGTATACTGTCACTTCTGGATTGATAAGCTGAGGAAGAAAGTTAAGTTTCTTTTTTACATAAGTCAGAAAAACTTACAGCTGGTGTTCCTAGTTTCCTGGTTGACCTCAGCAGATGAAGTGAACAGATAGTGTTAATTCAGATTGAAGAAATTATCTGAATCTTGGTTTGTGTAGATTTACAATCTACATGCAATATTAACTAAATCAGATAGCTTTTACAGTTTCACATGTGTACATAGGTTCCCTCCCGGTCCCTTCCATATCCATTAGTTATTGAACTTTCTAAACTGGCATTGAAACATTACAACAATGTTTTGTTGCACCAATTTTATAAACTTAAGCAGTGCAATACGTGTTACTTTTCTGAGGCAAACCAAAGGTAAATTTCTCAAGGTTCTTGCTGCCTTCTTTAGCAGCATTTGATGGAAGATCTTTTATACATTTGTAATAGATAAAAATAAACCAGATTGCAAATCCTTTTTTAAAATCCTAAACCATGTACCAAGTTTTTGGTCCAAATTATGTAGGATAAGTTAAACTTAAATTGCATTCTATTAACCAATATGAGTGTATTTCTGTAAGCATAGTTATGTTGAAATAAAGTTTTAAAAACCATGATGCCTTTGTTTATTATTGGTATATCCAGAATGTAGGAAAGCCAAATTTATGTTGCTGGAACTGCAAGTGTATTAATAGGCTTTTGAAGATTATTTCTCAGGCTGGGCGCAGTGGCTCACGCCTGTAATCCCAGCACTTTGGGAGGCTGAGGCAGGTGGATCATGAGGTCAGGATTTCAAGGCCAGCCTGGCCGACATAGTGAAACCACGTCTCTACTAAAAATACAAAAATTAGCTGCGTGTGGTGGCAGGCGCCTGTAATCCCAGCTACTCGGGAGGCTGAGGCAAGAGAATCGCTTGAACACAGGAGGTGGAGGTTGCAGTGAGCCGAGATCGTGCCATTGCACTTCAGCCCAGGCGAGAGTGTGAGACTCTGTCTTTAAAAAAAAAAAAAAAAAAAGTATCACAGGTAGAAAAGTCACAGCATGTTGTCTGAGGTAACAGTCCAGTATGGGTAGTAACCCAAAGCATACACTGCTTGATGGGAGGTGCGGGAGAAATTGGACAATTCACACAAGATTTTAAATAGTAATTACTTCCCAACCACAAGTCCCCTTAATAGTTTTCATATGCATATCCCTTTTCAGTAGCAGGCCTGGAATTAGTGAATTTTGATTCATGAAGATGTTTTATTTTATGTATTTATTTTTTTTTGAAACAGTCTCTGTCGCCCAGGCTGGAGTGCAGTGTCATGATCCTAGCTCACTGCAACCTCTGCTGCCCGGGTTCAAGCAACTCTCCTGCCCCAGCCTCGCAAGTAGCTGGGATCACAGGCGCCCACCACCGCGCCTGGCCAATTTTTGTATTTCTAGTAGAGACGGGGTTTCACCACGTTGGCCAGGATGGTATCGATCTCCTGACCTCCTGATCCACCCGCCTCAGCCTCCCAAAGTGCTGGGATTACAGGCATGAGCTACCGTGCCCGGCTGTTTTTTATAAAATGAGACGGAGTTCTGTGTTGCCCAGGGTGGACTCAGATGATCCTCCCACCTCAGTCTCCCTAAATGCTGGGATTACAGATGTGAGCCACCATGCCTGGCCTGTGTGTTTTTTTTTTTTTCTTCTCCCAGACGGAGTCTTGCTCTGTCGCCCAGACTGGAGTGCCATGTCATGATCTCCTTTCACTGCAACCTCGGCCTCCAGGTTCAAGCGATTCTCCTGCCTCAGCCTCCTGAGTAACTGGGATTACAGGTGTCCGCCACAACACCCAGCTAATTTTTGTATTTTAGTAGAGATGGGGTTTCACCATGTGGCCCAGGCTGGTCTCGAACTCCTGAGCTGAAGTATTCCTCCGACTTTGGCCTCCCAAAGTGCTGGGATTACAGGTGTGAGCCACCACGCCCAGCCTGTTGTTTTTTTGTTTTGAGAAACGGTCTTACTCTGTCTCCCAGGCTGGAGTGTGGTGGCATGATCACAGTTCCTGCAGCCTTGAACTCCTGGGCTCAAGTGGTCTTCTTGCCTCAGCCTCCTGAGTAGCTGGGACTACAGACCTACCCCACCACGCCTCTTGCCGCCTCCTCTCAAAAGCGTTCGTATTATAGGCATGAGCCATCATGCCTTGCCACATTTTGTTTTGATGCAGTGTCAGATCTGGAAGATTCTGAGTCAGGAGAATGGTATTTCATATTTGGATTGGTGAGTTATTCACCCTCTTCCCACTTCCTGCAAAACTCCTTATCAGCAACAAAGCAAAATTAACTTTTTTTTCCTCTGAGACAGGGTCTTGCTCTGTTGTCCGGGCCGTAGTGCAGTGGCACCATCATGGCTCACTTCTGCCTCAACCTTCTGGACTCAAGCAAACCTCCCACCTCAGCCTCTTGGAGTAGCTGGAACTACAGGTGCATGCCACACACCCAGCTAGTTTTTTTCTTTCTTCTTTTTTTTCTATTGACAGGGTTTTGCCTTGCTCCCCAGGATGGTCTTGAACTCTTGGACTCAGGCAGTTCACCTGCTTCGGCCTCCTAAAGTGCTGGGATTACAGGCGTGAGCCACAATGCCCGACTACAAAATGAATTTTCTAAGCATTGATTTTATTATGGTAGAGTTGATGATGAGTAGCATGGAATTTTCTAGCTGAGCTGGGATATATGGGGAGTTTAGCTTGAATGTACAAATCCTTTGATTTGGGGTGTTTAATGAATGAAATAATTGCTACAAGGTCTCTCTCCAGTCCTTTGCTGTTGCTTTCCCACAACTATCCTTGGTAAGGGTTTTTAACATACATTACACATTCATACTTGCCTTGTTGCCCCATCCCTTTTTCTTCCCAAGGGTCTCACTTGGGTTGAATATAGAAAGAGTTAACAGTATAGTAGGGTGAGCAGCCTGTTAAAACTCATCCTCAGCTTCATGAAGGCAGATTGATGAAAGTTCTAAGAACCATATGCTAACATCTACTCAGGGAGGTCAGTGTGAAGAAAGTGGTGGCTTTTTTTTTTTTTTCTTTTTTTTCTTTTTGAGAACGGAGTATTGCTCTGTCACCCAGGCTGGAGTGCCCTAGTGCGATCTTGGCTCACTGCAACCTCCGACTCCTTGGTTCAAGCGATTCTTCGGCCTCAGCCTCCCGGAGTAGCTGGGATTACAGGCACGTGCCACCATGCCCAGCCAATTTTTGTATTTTTAGTAGAGATGGGGTTTCACCACGTTGGTCAGGATGGTCTCCATCTCCTGACTTCGTGTTCCGCGCGCTTCAGCCTCCCCAAGTGCTGGGATTACAGGCGTGAACCACCCCTGCACCCAGCCGAAAGTGGCTTTTCAAAGGATTTGAAGTTCACTGTATCAAGTGCTTTGTGGGCCCCGCAGTGGGAGCCAGGTTTACAAGGCGATTCTCTTCTATTATTAAGCAGATCATTTTAACTTTACTAAGCCTGTTTCCTCATCTATAAAGTGGATGTGTAGCACATCTATCTATAGAGTGGCATTTGCTTGGCATATAGTGCTAGCATTAAGACCTCTTCCACTAGATAACAAACCAAATATTAAAGAAAAGGTGCTTTCTCAATTTCTAGTTAAGTTGTATAGCTCATCTCCTTTTTTGCATGGTTTGCGAAGTAGTGAGCATTTTACTGGTATATAAGTAGTATGTAAGCCTTTGTGTCAATCAACATTTCCATGAGAGCCAGAATGCTTTTATTTTTACATACTGGCCCTTATAGGGACAAAGAGTTAATTGCCTAGGCCAAGAATAGTATATGTATATTGATATTAACTAATACACAATGGTAGTTTTACTGTGATTTTAAAATTCTGATAATGTAGAAATCTCTTTGTAAACAGACTGTTTTCTTTCTGTAAGCCTCCAACAAAGTAAGGAGAGTTGCCGGGCGCAGTGGCTTACGCCTGTAATCCCAGCACTTTGGGAAACCGAGGCGGATGGATCACCTGAGGTCGGGAGTTTGAGACCAGCCTGGCCAATATGGAGAAAACCCATCACTACTGAAAAGACACAAAATTAGCCGGGCATGGTGGTGCATGCCTGTAGTCCCAGCTACTTGGGAGGCTGAGGCAGAAGAATTGCTTGAACCTGGGAGGCGGAGGTTGCGGTGAGCCGAGATTGCGTCATTGCACTTCAGCCTGGGCAACAAGAGCGAAACTCCATCTCCAAAAAAAAAAAAAAAAAAAAAAGTCATCCCAAGTAGCAGGAAATAGCAAGACTTGAAAAAGATTATTATTTGTTTTTGAGACAGGGTCTCACCCTTTCACCCAGGCTGGAATGCAGTAGTGCGATCTCATTTCACTGCAGCCTTGGCTCACTGCAATTTTCCTGCCTCAGCTTCCCAAGTAGCTGGGACTACAGGCATGCGCCACTACACCCGGCTAATTTTTGTATTTTTAATAGAGATGGGGTTTTGCCTGTTGGCCAGGCTGGTCTCGAACTCCTGACGTGAAGGAGCCCTCCCACTTTGGCCTCCCAAAGTGCTGGGATTACAGGGGTGAGCCACCGCACCCGGCCAAAAAAGATATTTTTTTCAACTTGGTTTTGAGAAAGGTTCAAGCTTACAGAGACATTGAAACACCTGGCCGAAAAATATATTTTTTTCAACTTTATTTTGAGAAAGGTTCAAGCTTATAGAGACACTGAAAGAATGGTATACTAGGATGGGCGTAGTGGCTCACGCCTGTAATCCCAGCACTTCGGGAGGCCAAGGCGGGCGGATCACCTGAGCTCAGGAGTTCAAGACCAGCATGGCCGACATGGTGTACCCCCCATCTCTACTAAAAATACAGAAGTTAGCCGGGCATGGTGGCACGCGCCTGTAATCCCAGCTACTCGGGAGGTTGAGGCAGGAGAATCGCTTGAACCCAGAGGCGGAGGTTGCAGTGAGCTGAGACCGTGCCATTGCACTTCAGCCTGGGTGACAGAGTGAGACTCTGTCTCAAAAAAGAAAAAAAAGAAAAAAGAAAACATACTCCTCAGTTGGATTCACCACTCACATTTGCTTTCTATATATTTATGTTATTTGCTAAACCACTAGAAATTCAGTTGCAGATATACCCTTTCTAAATATGTCATTTGTATCTCCTAAGGATAAGGGCATTTTCTTCTACAATTAGTATAATTAATTCGGGACATTGAAGATTAGTATTATTAAAAAAAAATTTTTTTTGAGACAGTCATCTAGCGCAATCTCGGCTCACTGCAACCTGCACCTCCCGGGTTCGGTTTCAAGCCATTCTTGTGCCTCAGCTTTCTGAGTAGCTGGGATTACAGACGCGTGCCACCACTCCTGGCTAATCTTTTATTTTTAGTAGAGACGGGGTTTCGCTATGTTGGCCAGACTCTGGAACTCCCGGCCTCAAGTGATCTGCTCACCTTGGCCTTCTAAAGTGCTGAGATTACAGGCGTGAGCCACCGCACCCAGCAAGATTAATGTAATGTTCTAGTATTAGTCTGTACAGATTGAGTATCCCTTAACCAAAAAGCTTGGGACTACAGTGTTTTGGATTTTGGATTTTTGAATATTTGCATTATACTTACCGGTTGAGCATCCCAAATCTGAAAATAAAAAATCTGAAATGGTCCAATTCAGATTTGGGATGCTCAACGAATGTCTTCAAACTGATAAATGTGTTGATACCTAATCCCCTCCATTTATTACCCATTGCACTTGTCACATTTCTTCAGTTTCCTTTAACTTGGAACAATTCCTTAGCCTTTGTCTTTAACAGTGACACTTTAAAGGGTGCACACCAGATGTTTAAAAAATGTCCCTTAGTTTTTTTCTGTTTCTTCCAGCTCCAGTTCAGGTTATGCATTTTGGCAAGGATACTTAACTCTGTTATATTACATGAGAAGGCACATGATGTCAGCTTATTCCAATATTTGTTGTGTTAGGTTGTTAAGGTGTTGTCTGCCAGATTTCTCTACTGTAAGGTTTCTTATAATTCTGTGGGAGTATACATTGAGTCTCCTTCCTCAACAAACCCACTGATTTTAACATCTGTTGGTTCTTGCTTGAATCAGTTATTACTGTCATACCTTATATATTAGCTGATAACTTCTCCAGTCAAGAAGAGCTTTCCCTTCTCTCATTTCTTTTATATCATATCTAATTTCTACACCAGTGTTGGTGTAGACTCAATTCTTAATTTGATTAATGTGTTATGACCCATGACAGTCATTCACTTTACCCCATTCAGCTGTTGGGGGCTGGGGTGCTCATCTCAGGTCCTTGAATGAGACTTTGTACAGTCTATTAATACACTGAAGGGTTCCAATCTGTGACCAACGATGTTCAAACTCAGCCACATCAAACGTCTGTATAAGTCATAACAGTACTATAAGATTTAAAATTTATGAAAGCTTGATGGAATACCTTAAGGGATAAACCGCAAATGGAAATTTACTAGTACTGAAGATTCTTCCAGAAGAGGCAATCTTAGAGAACAATATCCTAACTCTTTTATTAACTTTGAAATACCACAATTTTCATGTCTTCATTTATGTGCTCTAATTAGATAATGTTTAAGTCACAACTCACACAATTACGTGCTCAGAATTCATCTTGATTACAGCTCTCTTCCTACTAACTCTATTTAATTTGTTTCCTCTCCAGAATTAATCACTGTTAACTTGTTACTTACTTGTATATGCGGATTGAAATGCATGATTTCTCAACATGGAATCAGCATTTGCAGCCTAATGCGCTTATTTTTATTAATATCACACCTCTCACAACTTCATGCTGATCCACGTTCATGTTGTAGATTAAGTTATCTACTATTGTATTACTAAATCCTAAATGTTACAGGTTATTAAAAAATCAGATCTGGCCGGGCGCAGTTGCTCACGCTGTAATCTTAGCACTTTGGGAGGCTGACATGGGCAGATCACTTAATGTCGGGAGTTCAAGACCAGCCTAGCCAACACGGTGAAACCCCGTCTCTAATAAAAATACCAAAATTAGCCAGGTGTGGTGGCGCATGCCTGTAATCCCAGCTACTCGGGAGGCTGAGGCAGGAGAATCGCTTGAATCCAGGAGGTGGAGGTTGCAGTGAGCTGGGATTGCTCTACTACACTCCAGCCTGGGCAACAGAGTGATACTCCTCAAGGAAAAAAAAAAATCAGACCCCTATGTCTTTGAAATCTAGTAAGTTAGTGTAAGTCTAAAGTAATATCCATAAATATCATAATTTGTTATGGTCTTTTAAATATTCTCTTTTCCACTTAACATTTCCAAAATCAACATGATGTCCCTTAATATCTTATAAAGTCGAATTTTTTTTTTCTTTTCCCGACACAGAGTCTCGCTCTGTTGCCAAGGCTGGAGGGCAGTGGCATGATCTAGGCTCACTGCAACCTCCACCTCCCGGGTTCAAGCGATTCTCCTGCCTCAACCTCCCAAGTAGCTAGGATTACAGGCACCTGCACCACGCCCAGCTAATTTTTGTATTTTTAGTAGAGGTGGGGTTTCACCATGTTGGCCAGGATGGTCTTGAACTCCTGACCTCAGGTGATCCGCCCCTCTTCGGCCTCCCAAAGTGCTGGGATTACAGGTGTGAGCCATGGCCTAAAGTCGAATTTCTTTCTTTTTTTCTTTCTTTCTTTCTTTTTTTTTTTTTTTTTTGAGATGGAGTTTCGTTCTTGTTGCCCAGGCTGGAGTGCTGTGGCGCAATCTCGGCTCACCACAACCTCTGCCTGCCAGGTTCAAGCGATTCTCCTGCCTCAGCCTCCCAAGTAGCTGGGATTACAGGCATGCGCCACCACGCCAGGCTAATTTTTTATATTTTTAGTAGAGATGGGTTTTCTCCATGTTGGTCAGGCTGGTCTCGAACTCCCGACCTCAGGTGATCCGCCCCCCACGGCCTCCCAAAATGCTGGGATTACAGGTGTGAGCCACTGCGCCCGGCCCTAAAGTCGAATTTCTTAACATTTGATTCCTGAAAAAGGTGGTACAGAAATAAAATATCAGAGTAAAGAGATAGTTGGCACTAATAAAACGAAAAGCCAGCTGGTCAATAAAGCCCCATAATATTCCATTTATTTTTATTACAAATAGGACTGTAATTCCACAGCAGCATTGAAATGCCAAATGAATAATTACTAGAAGGTATCCAAAAAATTCTCTAGCACCCAAATCTCAAACTTGAAGAAGTAGCAAACTTAGCCTACAGAAATAAGAAGTCTGCATGTAAGCATTATTATGTAGGAAGTGATGTCTCTCACAGACTAACCTGTGTACCATTCTCTTGGTTACAAACAACAGCACACTATTTCTTCTCTTAAAGTCTTGTAGTCTATGGGGGAACTGTGTAGTGAACCATCCTGGTGACTCTGGTAAGGAGATTAATACTCTGACTTTCATGTGCATAGTCAGGAATGCTTTAGTTTACAGGATCAAATGTAGCTACACCTATGCCAGGAATAAAAGGCTCAATTTTGACAGTTTTATTTACTGACGATAAATGGGATGTTTGATACTGTTCTGCAATTTGTGAAACTATTAATTTGGAGATCTTTGTCAGTAAGGAGACCTTCATTCTTTAAACTACTGCATAACGTTTCATATTATGGATGTGTCTTAGTTCACTTTGTGCTGCTAAGACAATACCTGAGACGGAGTAACTTTTAAAGAACAGATTTCTGGCCGGGCTTGGTGGCTCATGCCTGTAATCCTAGCACTTTGGGAGGCCAAGGTGGGAGGATTGCTTGAGGCCAAGAGTTCAAGACCAATCTGGCCAACATAGTGAGACCCTGTCTCCATTTAAAAACAAAAAACCCCTCAAAAACAGAACTTTGGGGGACACATTCAAGCCATAGCACATAGCAGGATGTATCATGGGTTAATCATTTTAACATCTATTATTTCTGGGACATCCTTATTGTCAAAATTGGTTGACAGCGTATTTTGAGAGTGGAAGCCATGGTTAAGTGAATGGTTCACATACCCATAATTTATTTCTTACAACCCTACAAGTTATGTTTGTTCATCCCTGTGTTCTTTTTTTTTCCTTTTTTTTTTTTTTTTTTTTGAGACAAAGTCTCTTTCTGTTGCTCAGGCTGGAGTGCAGTGGCGTAATCTCAGCTCATTGCAACCACTGCCTCCCGAGTTCAAGTGATTCTTGTGCCTCAGCCCCCTGGAGTAGGTGGGATTACAGGCGTGGGCCACCACGCCTGGCTAATTTTTGTATTTTAGTAGAGACGAGGTTTCACCATGTTGGCCAGGCTGGTTTTGAACTCCTGTCGTCAGGTGATCCACCTGCCTTGGCCTCCCAAAGTGCTGGGATTACAGGCATGTGTCACCGCACCCGGTCTATCCTTGTGTTCTTAAGGTAGAACTACGTGGCTGGGCGCAGTGGCTCACGCCTGTAATCCCAGTACTTTGGGCGGCCGAGGCGGGTGGATCACGAAGTTAAGAGATTGAGACTATCCTGGCCAACATGGTGAAACCCCGTCTCTACTAAAAATACAAAAATTAGCTGGGCGTGGTGGCGTGCGCCTGTAGTCCCAGCCACTTGGGAGGCTGAGGCAGGAGAATAGCTTGAACCCGGGAGGCAGAGGTTGCAGTGAGCCGAGATCGCGCCACTGCACTCCAGCCTGGCAACAGAGCCAGACTGCGTCTCAAAAAAAAAAAAAGAACTACTTTCATATTTGCCAATAGTACCAAAGCTTTAGAGCCATTATGTTAAAAGTTTCTTTTTACACAGAAGGTGTATTTGCAATGTTTAATTCAGTGTTTATTAAAACAACAAACAATGAGTAACATCTTACTGGCTTCCCTCTATTATGACATCTAACCACCAGTTTAAATTTACTAAAGACTAGCTGGGCACAGTGGCTCACGCTTGTAATCCCAGCACTTTGGGAGGCCAAGGCAGGTGGATCACCTGAGGTCAGGAGTTCAAGATCAGCCTGGTCAACATGGTGAAACCCCATCTCTACTAAAAATGCAAAAATTAGCCAGGTGTTGTGGTGAGCACCTGTAGTCCCAGCTACTCAGGAGGCTGAGGCAGGAGAATCGCTTGAACCTGGGAGGTGGAGGTTGCAGTGAGCAGAGATTGCACCACTGCCCTCCAGCCTGGGTGACAACGCGAGGCTCCTCAAAAAATAAATAAATAAATTTACTAAAGACCATAAGAAGCTTACCAACACTTGGCAGATTAATTTCATCCTTTTGACAAAAGTAAATGTATAAAACAGTTGTACCCTGATTCTGCTTTATTTTTATTTTTTTATTTGAGAGAGAGCGTCTCACTCTGTTGCCCAGTCTGGAGTCAGTGGCTTGATCTCAGCTCACTGCAGCCTCAACAGCCCCCGGCTTAAATGATCCTCCCACCTCCACCTCCTGAGAAGCTGGGACTACAGGCATATGCCACCATGCCGGCTAATTTTCTTTATTATTTGTAGAGACAAGTTCTCACTGTGTTGCCCAGGCTGGTCTCAAACTCCTGGGCTCAAGCAATCTGCCCTCCTCGGCCTGCCAAAGTGCTATGATTACAGGTGTGAGCCACCATGCCCGGCCCTGATTCTACTTGTACAGAGAGATCTGAGATAGCATAAGCCAGCATTTTTAGATAAGCCACTCTATTCATTATGTGTGCAGTTCTTTACAACCGTAACGGAGGTGGGCGGATTACTTGGGCTCAGGGCGGATTACTTGGGCAACCAGCCTGGCCAACATGGCAAAACCCTGTCTCTACCAAAAAATACAAAAATTAGCCGGGCATGGTGGTGCATGCCTGTAGTCCCAGATACCTGGGAGGCTGAGGCGGGAGCATTGCTTGAACCCCGGGGGGTAAATGTTGCAGTGAGCTGAGATCACACCACTGCAGATCCTGGGCGACAAAGCTAGACCCCGTCTCAAAAAAAAAGAATACGTCTTAACGTTTTGGATTTGTTTGAAAATGTTCTTCGTTCTTGGGCCTGTGAGCCTGCTGTATTAATAGCCTTGCTATTTGTCTCAACTGATTCACTTATTAGAATATCACTTGAGTTGAAGACACTTGTAGTCGGCCAGTGTCTCTTGGTGTCCCAGAACCAATAACTGACTCTAGAAAGCAGGAAGCCGTGAGAGCAACAAATGTCCCCCAAATGGCTATCTGCTTGCTTGGTGTCCACTGGACCCTTGTGTTGTATTTTGCTTAATTTTAAATCTTTTAAAAATGTAAGCTGCTTTTTGTGCTGTCCTCTCCTGTTTCATGACCAGCCACAGCAGTAATAGCACTGATAGCAGTAATAGGCATAGGAATTTTCTTTCTTTCTTTTTTTTTTTTTTTTTTTTTGAGACGGAGTTTCCCTCTTGTTGCCCAGGCTGGAGTGCATTGGCACAATCTTGGCTCACTGCACTCTCCACCTCCTGGGTTCAAGCGATTCTCCTGCCTCAGCCTCCTGAGTAGCTGCGACTACAAGCATGCATCACCACGCACGGCTAATTTTTGTATTTTTTTTTTTTTTTTTTAGTAGAGATGGGGTTTCTCCATATTGGCCAGGCTGGCCTCAAACTCCTGACCTCAGGTGATCCGCCCTCCCAAAATGCGGGGATTACAGGTGTGAGCCACCGCGCCCAGCTGCATTTTCTGTCTTAATCCTGCACCTTTTGGGTGTTTTCCTCATCTGCAGGGCATGCCTGCGTGTATGCACGTGCGGGCACACACACGCGCGTGCACCTTTAAATTCTTCACTGAGGCTTGCTGGAGTTCTGTCTCTGGTGGGTAGATGGCTTACAGCAGGCAGCGCAAGATCCGTCCACCCCATTCAGATAAAGACAGGGATTTCAGGGCCGTGGTCCCTCAAGTCAATGAACTCCAGAGGAAAGGACTCTTCTGGAGATACCAGAAGACTCTGGTATGAGCAAAGCCCAGACTCTCCTGGGCTGTACTCATGTTACAAGAAAGGGATCCCCCAGCCTGGCCAGTACGGTGAAACCCCATCTCTAGTATAAATACAAAAATTAGCCGGGCGTGGTGGCCTTTGCCTGTAGTCCCAGCTACTCGGGAGGCTGAGGCAGGAGAATCGCTTGAACGTGGGAGGCGGAGGTTGCAGTGAGCCAAGATCGCGCCACTGCACTCTAGCCGGGGCAACAGAATGAGACGCTGTCTCAAAAAAAAAAAAAAAAAAAAAAAAAGGCGGTCCCGATCCAGACCCCAAGAGAGTGTTCTTGGATCTCGCGCAAGAAAGAATTCAGGGCAAGTCCGCAGTGAAAGCCAAGTTTATTAAGAGAGTAGACGAATAATGGCTGGGCGCAGTGGCTCACGTCTGTAATCCTAGCACTTTGGGAGGCCGAGGCGGGCGGATCCCGAGGTCAGAAGATTGAGACTATCCTGGCTAACATGGTGAAACCCCGTCTCTACTAAAATACAAAAAAATTAGCTGGGCGTGGTGGTGGGCGCCTGTAGTCCCAGCTACTCGGGAGGCTGAGGCAGGAGCATGGCGTGAACCCGGGGGACGGAGCTTGCAGTGAGCCAAGATTGCACTCTAGCCTGGGCTACAGAGCAAGACTCCGTTTCAAAAAAAAAAAAAAAAAAGTAGAGGAATAAAAGAATGGCTACTCCATAGACAAAGCAGCCCCAAGAGCTGTTGGTTGCCTATTTTTGTGGTTATTTCTTGATGACATGCTAAACAAGGGGCGAATTATTCATGCCTCCCCTTTTAGACTGTGTAAGGTAACTTCCTCACGTTTGTAAACTGTTATGGTGCTGGTTGGAGTGTAGCAGTGAGGACAACCAGAGGTCACTGTCGTCGCTAGTTTGGTTTTGGTGGGTTTTGGCCGGCTCCTTTACTGCGACCTGTTTTATCAGCAAGGTCTTTATGACCTGTAGTTTGTGCTGATCTCCCATCTCATCCTGTGACATAGATGCCTTAACTATTTGGCAATGCAGCACCTTAGGTTTTAGCTCATTTTACCCAGCTCCTATTTAAGATGGAATTGCTCTGGTTCACATTCCTCTGACATTTCCCCCGGCCCTTTTATAGGAGAACCCTTAATCCTAAAGGTTGCAGGGGGATTAAGATCTATCTTCTGTAACTTCTTCAGGCTGAATAGGGGGCGAAGATATTTCTGCCTAACTATGAGGGTCTCTTGCTAATTAGGGTAGAGAGGAGCTCAGTCAGAAAGCATCAGTATGGTAAGGTCCATTCATAACTCTTGAGTTTTGACAAAAGGTGATATCTGGAAGATTAGTGTTTAAGAAAATATTTAGTAAGCTTGTCCTGTATTCCTACACAAAGAGTATAACAGCAATATATTGCACAAGAGTAAAGCAAAATAAGTAAAGTTATTCCAAGTAAACTAAATTAGAAGGCTTTTCATGAACTGGGCAACTGTTGGAACTAAGCTGATACAGGGTTGTTAGCTGATTGTAATGTGTCCAGAATAAGAATATTGATCCAGATTTTTACATTACCCATCCTCTTGTTTCTTCAGAGCAGCAGTCAGAGATTACTGCTTGGTTCACAGGAATAAGCAACGTTAGCCTAAATCGCAGAAACAAACTTAAAAATAACTAATGAGACTAGAATTTAATAACAAGTGTAGCATAGTTCTTGAAACATAATATTTCTCTCCAGTTTCCTATTTTTACTAAAGAGAAATCATGATAAGACTGATTTGCTTTATTATACTTGGCCTGATTATATGTATAAAGTGCAGCAAGAATAATTATTTTTTACATAAGCTCTTTTTAAATTGGCTTTGATGGAACTCTGTTCCATAGAAGGAATTTCAGATAAGACTTTTTTTCTTTTTGCTATTAACTTTTTTTTTTTTTTTTTTTTTTACCATTCATTCAACTGTTTGCTCAGAGAGAAACCAGAAATCTGACTGGTAAGAAATTCTTATCTTTTTCCCGGGATGCCAGGCTTCTGGGTTCCCTTTCCCTGAGTGGCCCTAGTGATGTGGCTTGTGGCACCATCGCCCTGGGGGCCAAGCAGCATCATAAAGGTAAATTTTTTTTTTGTTCTGGCTAGAGCAAAATATGTGTGATAAAACATAGACATTAGCCATTCTGCTTAGCACCCAATATCAAACTGGCAAGGCTTAAATTTGCCCCTAGATGGACCCTGTCATCTTTTTTTCTCTTCTTTCTTTCCTTTTTTTTTTTTTTGACAGAGTCTTGCTCTGTCACCCAGGCTGGAGTGCAGTGGCATGATCTCAGCTCACTGCAACCTCCGCCTCCCAGGATCAAGTGATTCTCCTGCCTCAGCCTCTTGAGTAGCTGGGATTACAGTCACGTGCCACCACGCCTAGCTAATTTTTGTATTTTTAGTAGAGACAGGGCTTTACCATGTTGACCAGGCTGATCTCGAATGCCTGACATCGTGATCCACTCGCCTTGGCCTCCCAAAGTGCTGGGATTACAGGTGTGAGCCACCGCGGCCGGCAACCCTGTCATCCTTAATCCAGCCTCCGACTTGGAGTTTCAACACATGGACTCTGGGCAATATGGTTGCCCTGAGTAGCAGAAAAGATTAAAAAGAAAAAAAAAAGGGAAAGGAGAGAGAAAAAAGCATTGCCTGTGGCAGGGTGGGGAAGGCAAAATGCTCAGAGAGGCCAGAGAAAGACCCACCCATTGCAGCAACACTGAAAAGTTCAGGTGTCTGCGGCTGCTGTCATGAAGGTATCTTTTCCGGCAGTCGCATCAGCTCTCAAGTTTCCCCTTATAGGGAGGAAAAAGCTCCCCATGACCCACGATCCTGTACATACCTAATCCTGTCACCCACAGCCATCAGCAAAGAATGCAAGGCAGATTAATACAAAGAGCGTAGCCTGCAGTGCCAAACCCCTTTTAGTTGAGAGGTAGACTTTACTGAGAGGGGTCTCTAACCCCCTAAATCTTAGAAGGGACTCTAACCCGCTGTTAGTCAAGCATCCTTGCCTTTTATTAAGAGGGGCCTCTAAACTACTCTGTCTTAGGGGAGACTCTAACTCCCCTAAGTTGGGTCTCTAACCCAATCCCATTCTTTACCTGGGTACCCCACCACTTACCCAAAGTCGTCCAATCACTGCTGGAGTCTATTTCCTTTGGGTCAGGGGGTCTCCTCGGTATTGCCCCTTTTGTGGTTTGCAAGATAGATGTTACCAGACCCCACTACTTACCCAATGTTAGCCTTTGGGTCGGGAGTTCCTGCAGTATAGTCACTTCCCTGGTCACCAGAAAGATGTTACAGGACCCCAACATTCACCCAAAGGTAGCTGTTGGGTCAAGGTTTCTGCACTATAGTCTCTTCTGTGGTCACCAGAAATATGTTTCAGGAAAGGGGGTCCCGATCCAGGCCCCAAGAGAGGGTTCTTGGATCTCACGCAAGAAAGAATTCAGGGCGAGTCCACAATGCAAAGTGAAAGCAAGTTTATTAAGAAAGTAAAGGAGTTGGGCATGGTGGCTCACCCCTGTAATCCCAGCACTTTGGGAGGCTGAGATGGGTGGATCACTTGAGATCAGGAGTTCGAGACCAGCCTGGCCAACATGGTGAAACCCCGTCTCTACTAAAAATACAAAAATTAGCCTGGCATGGTGGTGCATGCCTGTAATCCCATCTGCTCGGGAGGCTGAGGCAGGAGAATTGCATGAACTCAGGAGGTGGATGTTGCAGTGAGCTGAGATCGTGCCACTGCACTCCAGCCTGGGTGACAAAGCAAGACTCTATCTCAAAAAAAAAAAAAAAAAAAAAAAAAGGAAAGGAATAAAAGAATGGCTACTCCATGGACAGAGCAGCCCCGAGAGCTACTGGTTCCCCATTTTTATGGTTATTCCTATGCCAAACAAGGGGTGGATTATTTATGCCTTCTCTTTTTGGACCATGTAGGGTAACTTCCTGATGTTGCTGTGGCATTTGTAAACTGTCATGGCGCTGGTGGGAGTGTAGCAGTGAGGATGACCAGAGGTTGCTCTCATCACCATTTTGGTTTTGGTTGATTTTGGCCGGCTCCTTTACTGCAACGTGTTTTATCAGCAAGGTCTTTATGACCTGTAATTTGTGCTGACCTCCTGTCTCATCCTGTGACTTAGAATGTCTTAACCATCTGGGAATGCAGCACTGTAGGTTTCAGCCTCATTTTACCCAGCTCCTATTTAAGATGAAGTTGCTCTGGTTCACACACCTCTGACATTCATACCTATGTGGGCAATGTGCCTTGTAGCAGAACCTGGAAAATCTCAAGATATTCCCTGAGACCTATGCAGATCCCCAGATTTCAAGTCTTGCCAGAATGCTTGATCACTTTCATTAGAGTAAGTGGCCTCTTCAAACTTAATAACCTTGTAAATATATGATGAAATTAATTCATAAAGCATTTAAAAATCACCTTTTGGCCAGGTGTGGTGGCTCATGCCTGTAATCCTAGCACTCTGGGAGGCCGAGGTGGGCAGATCACTTAAGGTCAGAAGTTAGAGACCAGCCTGGCCAACATACTGAAACCTCGTCTCTACTAAAAATACAAAAATTAGCCAGGCATGGTGGTACACGCCTGTAGTCCCAGTTACTCGGGAGGCTGAGGCAGAAAAATCGCTTGAACGAAGTGGAGGTTGCAGTGAGCCGAGATTGTGCCACTGCACTCCAGCCTGGGCGACAGAGCAAGACTCCATCTCAAAAAAAAAAATTGGCTTTACACCTTTTTGACCAATGTTTTTTTCATCTTGATAGTTTTTACACTAACTGATGGGGACAGTTCAAGTAGTTTCTTTTTGGATTTCAACACTATCACATCTCTAGATACCCCAATATAAGATTCTTTTTTTTTTTTTTTTTTGAGATGGAGTCTCGCTCTTTCACCCAGGCTGGAGTGCAGTGGCGCGATCTTGGCTCACTGCAAGCTCTGCCTCCTGGATTCACACCATTCTGCCTCAGCCCCCCAAGTAGCTGGGACTACAGGCACCCGCCACCGCGCCCGGCTAATTTTTTGTATTTTTAGTAAAGACGGGGTTTCACCGTGTTAGCCAGGATGGTCTTGATCTCCTGAACTCGTGATCCGCCCACCTCGGCCTCCCAAAGTGCTGGGATTACAGGCGTGAGCCACTGCACCCAGCCCCAATATAAGATTCTAGTAAAACATGGAGTTGAAGATGGATTTAGGAACAAAGGGACCTCCTATATGGTTCTCCTTGTTCCCTGCCTCCCCTTCTGTCTCAGTATGGGCCCAGTGTGCTCTGGCAGGACAAGCGGGTGTGGGGAGGGGAGGGATAGAGATGCGAAAATGCTGGCAGATGGCCACTGCTAAAAGGGGTTCTGAAATTACTTCCAGCCACACGGCCTCCCCACCTCTCTCCCTGGTTATGGAGCCAGGAAAAGAAACGAGTTTGTATGGCTTCAGGACCCTCAGCTTGAACTCTGCCTCAAACCCTTGTCCATTTTTCTTTCTTGGAGAGCAGTAGGATACTATTTTGAGACATGAAGGCCCTTCATTTCTGTGTTCTCATTACCTTCCCCATTACAGAGACTTCCCAGGTAGAGGACTTCCTAGGATAGCTTTCTTCTAGTATAAGTACTGGAGCTAGAGGGAGAGATAGCCCAGAATTGAGTCTGCATGGATTTTTTTTTTCATTGAAATTTACCCAAGTAATATGTACACATTAATAAGTAAAAACAAAATATTCCTAAAGGATTTATGATAAAATCAAAAGCTGAAAATCTCTCCCCACTTCTTTGCTCGTCATATAGCAGCTCTGTGTATCAGACTTCTGAGGTAAATTTAAATTAGGATAATATTTCTCTTTTTTTCTTTTCTTTTCTTTCTTTCTTTATTTTTTTTAAGACGGAGTTTCATCTTGTTGCCCAGGCTGGAGTGCAGTGGCGCAATCTTACCTCAACACAACCTCTACCTCCCAGGTTCAAGCGATTGTCCTGCCTCATCCTCCTGAGTAGCTGGGATTACAGGCATGCACTACCATGCCCAGCTACTTTTTATATTTTTAGTAGAGATGGGGTTTCACCATGTTGGTCAGGCTGGTCTCGAACTCCTGACCTTAGGTGATCCACCTGCCTCTGCCTCCCGAAGTGCTGGGATTACAGGCATGAGCCACTGTGCCTGGACTCAGTATTTCTTATTTGATAGATTTATATTGGATTTTTTTTTTTTTTTTTGAGATGGAGTCTCACTCTGTCGCCCAGGCTGGAGTGCAGTGGTGCAATCCCGGCTCACTGCAACCTCCACTTCCCAGGTTCCAGGTTCAAGCGAGTCTTCTGCCTCAGCCTCCTGAGTAGCTGGGACTACAGGCACACGCAACCACACCCAGCTAATTTTTGTATTTTTAGTAGAGGCGGGGTTTCACCATATTGGCCAGGCTGGTCTCGAACTCCTGACCTCGTGATCCACCCATCTTGGCCTCCCAAAGTGCTGGGATTAAAGGCTTGAGCCACCGTGCCCGGCCTGGATTCACTTTCTATAGGCCAATTAGATAGCACATTATATTTGTATTTTCTTCAGGGTGATCAACGCCAAAAGCTTGTGATGGATTAAAATAGCCACAAATTCCAGTACATGTTTGAATCTGTGCTGCCATTGTGACTTGCTTTGACCAATAAATGCAGCAGAAGTGGCACTGTGTGACTTTGAGCTTCGGCCTCCAGAGGCTTTGCAAGCTCTACTCTCAGGCTTTTTGTGAACACTGTCACCTTGTGAACAAGCTTGAACTAGCCTACTTGAGGATGAGACCCTTGGAAGAGAGAGTGATCAATGGAAAATGCCTCACTTGCTCAGCTGTTACAACCATCTCAGCTGAAACTCCTGTGCGTGAGGTCAGCCTGGCTGTGTGCTGTGTGCAAATGCATGTCGCCACAGAGCAGAAGTACCATTGAGCGGAGCCTAGATTAAGTTGCCAAACTAAAGAATGGGAGCAAATAATCGCTTGGTTCAAGTCACCAAGTTTCAGGGTGGTTTGTTATTCAGCAATAGATGTGGATATAAACCTAATCATGTCCTCAAACCTAGTTAATAAAAAAGAAGCATTTTCAACGAACAAATGAGCAACTGTACCTAGAAGTGACTTACTCCATGCCCAACGGGGGAGTTAGTGGGTACATGGGACAGTTACACATTGTTCTCCTTTGTTGAACAGTCTCTTGTCCACGTTCCCATGCTGAAAAATTTTAACACATTTCTCAGAATTAGCTTTACATAAAGCTTTATTTATCTAATGAAAAAGCTAGTGTTTCAGTAAAATACATCTTTTATCTGGTATTTTAAAGGAAAGCAGCCCCATTTCTTTAATTTGCCTTCCTGTTGAGTATTTCACCATAGTTTTTTTTTTTTTTTTTTTTTTTTAAAAGACAGAGATTCGCTCTTGTTGCCCAGGCGGGAGTGCAATGGCGCGATCTCAGCTCACTGCAACCTCCGCCTCCTGGGTTCAAGCGATTCTCCTGCCTCAGTCTCCCGAGTAAGCTGGGATTACAGGCGCCCGCCACCATGCCTGACTAATTTTGTATTTTTAATAGAGATGGGGTTTCTCCACATTGGTGAGGCTGGTCTCAAACTCCCAACCTCAGGTGATCTGTCTGCCTTGGCCTCCCAAAATGCTGGGATTACAGACGTGAGCCACCGTGCCCGGCCTCACCACAGAGTTTAAAGTCGAAGACAGGGAAAAAAAAGATAAATCTATTTAGGTCAAATGCTAAATGCTGAGCAAAACTTGCAATAATAGAAAGCTTTTAATTGGACAACCCAGTAACTCCTGTTTAGGGAAAGTCAGTAAGATGTAGCAAGAAACAGGCAACTGGATTGAGAGCTACACAAGTAGGAAAAGCAGGGGCATTTAAACAAGTTCAGGGCCAAATTATCAAATTGGTTTTTGAGGCTTTTTGATTTGCAAGTAAATGGGGATCACCGGTTCTAATCTCATGAGTAGGATTAGGATGAAAAATTACAGTCTCTTTTCTATGATAGTTTAGTGTAATTTTTGGATGTTTGCTTCCCAAATTTTCTGTATATCGAATTTACTATTTTCTTAATCAGAATTGTGGGTAAGGATTTCCATGCATGCTGTGATCTGTCCGTGGTACTTGGCAAGCTCATCAGCAATGTGAAAGATTCCCAGCCAGCCAGGGAAGCACAGTCCATTTAAAGCCATCTGAGGTGGTGAGAGAGCATGGAAATCAAACTGGGATACCTGTTTTGGTTTGGGCAGCAGTGCTGAAGTAAGACAGCAAGGGCACAGCACATTACACACACACACACACACACACACACACACACACACTGCTCTGAGACAAATGCTCAGGGAGAAATTATATATGGTAGAATTCAAAGGAAGCCAGAAGGAGATTAAGTGGTAGTTGTCCAGAATTCCCGAGAGAATTGTGCTATTATCTTTGAAGGTCTTCAAAGTAGGTTTCCTTCCTAAGGTTGAAAAATTCTCACCTTTAGATTTGTTGATGGGTTTTAGTATATAGAGGAATTACTGTGCAGTGGTTGAAGACATGGATATTGATGGAACTGTTCTTTTTTTTCTTTTTTTTGAGATGGAGTCTCACTCTGTTGCCCAGGCTGGAGTGCAGTGTTGTGATCTTGGCTCACTGCAACCTCTGCCTCCCGCGTTCAAGGGATTCTCCCTGCCTCAGCCTCATGAGTAGCTGGGATTACAGGTACCCGCCACTATGCCTGGTTAATTTTTGTATTTTTAGTAGAGACGTGGTTTCACCATCTTAGCCAGGCTGGTCTTGAACTCCTGACCTCATGATCCACCTGCCTCAGCCTCCCAAAGTGCTGGGATTACAGGCCACTGTGCCCGGCCAGAACTGTTCTATATTGTGATTATGGTGGTCATTAAACAAACATATACGTGTGATAAAATCCATAGAACTGTACATGAAAACAAAGTCTGTTATAATTAAAAACCCCAGGCTGGGCACACGGTGGCTCACACCTGCAGTCCTAGCACTTTGGGAGGCCAACTCAGGAAGATCGCTTGAGCACAGGGGTTTGAGACCAGCCTGGGAAATATAGTGAGACCTTGTTTCTACAAAAAATTAAAAAATTAGTTGAGTGCGGTGGCGTGTGCCTGTAGTCCAGCTACTTGGGTGGCTGACATGGAAGGATTGCTTGAGCCTGGGAGGTGGGTGCCATAGTGAGCTGAGACTGTGTCACTGCACTCTAGCCTGGGTGACAGAGTGAGAACCTTTTTCAAAATAAAACAACGAAGCCCCACATGAGTTCTGGAGATAGAGTGCCTGGGTTTGTTTGAATCACAGCTCCATCACTTATTAGTTAGATCCTGGGTAAGTTATTTGTGCCTCAGTTTCCTCATCTGTAAATGTGGGTAATAATAGTATTTCTGCATGGGGTTGCTGTAAGGATTCAGTTAATATATGTAAAGCACTTGAAAGAGTGCCTGGCTCATTTTATTACTATATAAGTGATAGCTATTATTATTATTATATAAGTATAAAGGAGTAAAAAGATATATGGGCTATCATATGATTATAGCAACTACGAGTAATCTGAAGTCTGAAATACAACAACCATGAGGTACTGGCTTTATGCAGGAAAGGAAGAAACTCTATAAGAGGTTAGTGTAAATGCTACTAAGCAAATTTAAGTTTGCTCTTTCCCTATTTTCCAGGGAAGGCAAAAACCAAGCAAACAAAAAAATCCTCTCACTCTATTGATCCATTCATTGAATGTCTGCTATTTTCTTTTTCTTTTCTTCTTTTTTTCTGAGACGGAGTCTCACGCTGTCGCCTGGGGCTGGTGTGCAGTGGCACGATCTCGGCTCGCTGCAACTTCTGCCTCCCAGGTTCAAGCAATTCTCCTGCCTCAGCCTCCCGAGTAGCTAGGATTACAGGCATGTGCCACCTTTGTATTTTTAGTTGAGACGGGGTTTCACTATGTTGGCCAGGCTGGTCTCAAACTCCTGACCTCGTGATCCACCTGCCTCGGCCTCCCAAAATGCTGGGATTACCGGGGTGAGCCACCACGCCCAGCCATGCCTGCTATTTTCTAGGGCTTACTGAAAGGTTAGAAAGGATCTTGGCAGTCTTTCACTTCCATATATTTCACTTCCAATATCACCTGACACATGATGATGTATTCTCTAACGTGTCTGCTTGTTTTGTGTATGTGTGACCTCAGTTTTTTCCAATTTACCACAGCTACCAGGTAGAGGTACTGACGGTGTCTGTGATTAAGCATCATACTATTACAGCATCTACCAATAAGAATATTAAGACCAAATAAATTCTCCCACTAGATTGACTACACAGTAGGTAAATTCGGAGAATTATTTGCGAAGCCAAAAGCAGCTTTTGAAAGCAGGAACCTGGGAATCCAAGCAGTGGGTGTTTTGAGGATGATCCAGATACACTTAGGAGTATTCAGATCATGAAACTCCATGACATGAAGGGAAAAGGTGAGGCATCACTGCAATATGATGTTAAAATAGTAATCTTGGCCTGGTGTGGTGGCTCACACCTGTAATCCCAGCACTTTGGGAGGCTGAGGTGGGAGGATTGGTGAAGCTAGGAGTTTGAGACCAGCCTGGGCAACAAAGTGAGACCCTGTCTCTACAAAAATAAAAAATTTAGCTGGGTGTGGTGGCACCTGCCTATAGTTCCAGCTACTCGGGTGGCTGAGGCGGGAGTATCACTTGAGCCCAGGAGGTCAAGGCTGCGTTGAGCTGTGATTACACCACTACACTCCAGCCTGGGCAGCCGAGTGAGACCCTGTCTCTGAAAAAATAAAACAACAACAACAAAACAAAAAACAAAAAAACCTATCTTGAACCATTCCCCTCTCACGACAAGGTCTTAATGGGGGCAGATAATATGACAGAGAGACATTCAGAGCAGGCAGAGGTGTCATCGATTTGATTCACGAGTCTGAAATCTTGTTTTTAATGTTTAAGCATTACTCTTTGACAATTGAGAGAAAACAATCCCCCTGGGAGGAGGAAAGTGGCCAAAAGAAAATGGAACAGCTGAGAAAGAATGGAAATGATTCTAATGCTCCACGACACAGAGCCAAGTGGGAGGGAAGCCAGGGTAAATGATCCGAGCCCGTCTATGAAACAGCCCGCCTCAGCTTGCGCGCTGGGTGCTTACTCAGTGAAGCAATAACAACTCTGTCATGGCTGACACAGCTGGAGCTCCTCCATGTTAGTCAGCTGCAGGAAACCAGCCTATGTCCATTGTGCAAGAAGAGTCTGAACACTAGAGACACAGGCACACAAGATTGCATCTCTACTCCGCTTCTCCTTGGTTGTTATGGGAAGTGAGTGTCTCAAGTTAAATAAACTAGACTCTGGGGAACTATACAGTAAAGACTTAGTGATCGGCACAGCTTGGCATTTATGGTGATTAAAGATACAAAACATATTACAACTTTAATTTGTCTTAGTAACTTTGAAGAAGATGTTGTTATTTTAGTTTAATTAGAGGGGGGAAAAGCAGAGGGATTACGTGTAACTTTTTAAAATAAAACTTTGAACCTAATATCACATAAAAGTCAAAAAGTACTTTGATGGAATTTATTTTACTTCTTTTGGGTGTCATGAATACAAAAGAGGTGACATGCTCAACACCACAGTGCTGCAGAGCCAGGTAAACAATCTAGAATAAACTTGCTTCATTGTTTTCTAGCAACCCCTAACCACCTCTGTGATCTGTGGAAGTGAGGAGTTGGTACTTTGCCCTTAATTTCTCCTCCCGTTCCTGGCCAGAAGAGCCCACTAATTCTTGTACCCTGTCATAGTGTAAGTGACTACTGATTCAAAAGATGTCGTTATATTCAGATTAATGGATAAAGAAGTACAGTCATGTATCGCATAATGACTTCTTGGTCAGCAATGGGCCACATATACAGCCGTAGTCTGGTAAAATTATAATGGAGTCAGAAAATACCTATTGCCTAATGATTTGTGTTACAATTGCCTACAGAATTCAGTACAGCAACATGTTGTACAGGTTTGTAGCCTAGGAGCCATAGGCTATACCATACAGCCTAGGTGTAGAGTAGGCTATACCATCTAGGTTTGTGTAAATACACTTTATGATGTTTGTCCAAAGATGAAATTGCCTAACGATGCATTTCTTAGAACACATCCCTGTTGCTAAGCAATGCACTACTGCACCAATACAGTAATGGAACTTTCTTAAAGGAAAATCTACTAGGAAACACTTGATCCTAGCAGTGATCCTAGGCTGCATTAAATTGGAGGCACAATATGGAATAAATTAATACCAGATCCCAGTAGAAGTCCTCAACTAATTCTAGGCATAGAGCATCTTTCTCACTCTTTTTGCTGGCTTTCTTTCCTGCTTTTTTTTTTTTTGAGATGGAGTCTTGCTCTGTCACCCAGGCTGGAGTGCAGTGGTGCAATCATGGCTTACTGCAGCCTCAACCTCCCAGGCTCAAGGGATCTTCCCACCTCAGCCTCCTGAATAGCTGAGACTACAGGTGGGTGTCACCATGCCCAGCTAAATTAAATTTTTTTTTTTGTAGAGACAGGGTCTTAACTATGTTGCCAGGGCTGGTCTTGAATGCCTGGCTTCAAGGGATCCTCCTGCCTTGGCCTCCCAAAGTGTTTGGATTATGGGTGTGAGCCCTGTTTTCTGAAATACATTTTCTTAAGTTGTCAGGGTGATAGTAGTCAGTTTTTAGATTGTTTCTCCACAAAGGCCCAGTTCACCCTTTGCTGGCTTTCTTTCCTGCCTGTTTTTTGTTTTAATTCTACCTAAATATCCTGGCCTAAGCTCTGAACTGTGAACTCCTGTTTTCAACCATAGGTAGAAATATAATGACCATAATTTTTTTTTTTTTTTTTGAGATGGAGTTTTGCTCTTGTGCCCAGGCTGGAGTGCAATGGCACGGTCTTAGCTCATCGCAACCTCTGCCTCCCGGGTTCAAGCGATTCTCCTGCCTCAGCCTCCCAAGTAGCTGGGATTACAGGCATGTGCCACCACACCTGGCTAATTTTGTATTTTTTTTTTAGTAGAGATGGGGTTTCTCCATGTTGGTCAGGCTGCTCTCGAACTCCCGACCTCAGGTGATCCACCCACCTTGGCCTCCCAAAGTGTTGGATTACAGGTGTGAGCCACCGCACCCAGACACAATTTTAACTTATAAAATAAATGGTATTTCATTCCCTCCAAAATAAAAACTAGAAATCAACTGCCAATCAATTTTCTCCATTTGGGAAGCTGCCGCCCTCTAGAGGTAATATGATGTTGGGGGCACTTTCCAGTTGTCACCAGGACTGACAGCAGAGGGAGTTGCTACTGCATTTAGTGTCTGGGATGAGAGATACCAGACATAATGAAATGCAGTTTTTTTGTTTTTTTTTGAGACGGAGTCTTGCTCTGTTGCCCAGGCTGGACTGCAGTGGCGCGATCTTGGCTCACTGCAGCTTCCGCCTACCAGGTTCCAGGGATTTTCCTGCCCCAGTCTCCGGAGTAGCTGGGACTACAGGCACGCGCCAGCGCAGTCAGCTAATTTTTGTATTTTTAGTAGAGACGGGGTTTCACCTTGTTGGCCAGGATGGTCTCAATCTCCTGATCTCATGATCCGCCCGCCTCGGTCTTCCAAAGTGCTGGGATTACAGGCGTGAGCCACCGCGCCCGGCTGAAATGCAGTTTTATATATAAAGAAAGAACCACCTTGCCCAAGATACCAGTAGTACTCACTTTGAAACACTATGAAAGGTCTACAACAAGTTGCATCATCTTAAAAAATTCTCCATTATATTTAATCTAAGAGGACTTAGAAGAGGACTGAGGAGTGGGGAGAAGACAGGAGAGTGTGAAATACATGGGGGCTCCCATATGTTGGGACAGAACATGGTCCTCTCAGGAATTTCATGGCTCTAACTGCGTTTCAGCCTAGCTTATCTTACCAGCATTTATTTCAACATTAGGATCTGGGACTTGACTTGCCAATTCTTCATGACACAGCTGTGGTACTACTTACTCAGCTAGGAATAACAAAAGGTGTAGACTTTTTCTTTTTTCCTTTTTTCAGACAGGGTCTCGCTCTGTTGCCCAGGCTGGAGTGCAGTAATGTGATCATAGCTCACTGCAGCCTCCATATCCCAGGCTCAAGTGATCCTCCTGACTCAGCCTCTCCAGTAGCTGAGATTACAGGCACACAGCGCCACACCTGGCTAATTTTTTTGGGTTTTAGTAGAGATGAGGTCTTGCTGTGTTGCCCAGGCTGGTCTTGAACTCCTAAACTCAAGCAATCCTCCTGCCTTGGCATCCCAAAATGTTGGGATTACAGGCATGAGCCACTGCTCCTGGCCAATAAAGACTTCTGATTGATGTAATGTTATTCAGTCATATAAAGATGAAATGTAAATAAAATGGTTAAAGTGTCCTCTCAGTTGCAGAATAGACCTCAGTTGCTAGAAATACATAGCTTTTTAAAAATCTTTATTTATTTAGTTTTTTTGGGATGAAGTTTTGCTCTTGTTGCCCAGGCTGGAGTGCAGTGGTGTGATCTCGGCTCACTGCAACTTCCTTCTCCTGGGTTCGTGCAATTCTCCTGCCTCAGCCTCCCGAGTAGCTGGGATTACAGGTGCCCACCACGCCTGGCTAATTTTTGTGTTTTTAGTAGAGATGGGGTTTCACCATGTTGTCCAGGCTAGTCTCTAACTCCTGACCTCAGGTGATCCACTTGCCTTGGCCTCCCAGAGTGCTGGGATTACAGGCGTTGAGCCACTGTGTCCAGCCGACAATTCATTTTTATTAAAAAAAATAATAGAGATGGGGTCTCACTATGTTGACCAGGCTGATCTTGAACTCCTGGCCTCAAGCGATTCTCCTGCCTTGGCTTCCCAAAGTGCTGGGATTACAGGTGTGAGCCACTACATCTGGCCTTGAATCCTTTTTTATCTAAGATTTTCAGGCATTGTCAAATTGTGTAAGGTAAATTTCTACTTGTTCTCTAGTATCCATTCTCCCCATTTTTCCTTAATAAAAACCCCAAATGGTTCCCATTTCCTCCTCCATTTCCCAGCTTCCTTATGGGTGGGTGTGGCCATGTGACTTGACCTGTGGACTATGTAAACTGATGTGTGCAACATCCAGCTTTTCTTCCCTTCTTTTAAATAGGGAAGTTGCTTGCTCTCCATACTTTCCCCCTTTTTACCCTTGCTGGAAAAGGATGACAACTTGGGCAGCCACCTTAGACCTACAGATGGCCATGGAATGTTCCACCAGCTGGATCCTTGGAGCAGAGCCACCTACTCACTTCTATCTTATTTAAGCCAATGAATTTTGGAGAAATTAATTTTCCTGCCATTTTTTCATATACTGACTGCTAACTCCAAATAAGAGAAATGACATCTGGTCTCAATATAAAAAACAGTAGTGAGGCGGGGCATGGTGGCTCACACTTGTAATCCCAGAACTTTAGGAGACCGAGGTGGGTGGACAACATGGTGAGAACTTGTCTCTACTAAAAATACAAAAATTAGCCAGGGGTGGTGGTGCATACCTGTTATCCTAGCTACTCAGGAAGCTGAGGCATGAGAATTGCTTGAATCCAGGAGGTGGAATTTGCAGTGAGCCGAGATTGCACCACTGTACTTCAGCCTGGGTGACAGAGCAAGACCCTGTCTCAAAAAAAAAAAAAAAAAAAAAAAAAGAAACAACAGTAGTGGGAGAAACTTGAATATAGCAGGCTTCCAATTTTATATATATGTGGGTCACAGATACATACCATATACATACTATACAAAAAAAAAAACTTTTTATAAGCTGAATACATTATGAACATAAGTCTTGAATAGTTTAAAAAAGTTAACTGTTAAGAGCTTTGAAAAGGGTGAGGCTGGCCGCGGCGGCTCACGCCTGTATTCCCAGCACTTTGGGAGGCTGAGGCGGATGGATCACCTGAGGTCAGGAGTTCGAGACCAGCCTGGCCAACATGGTGAAACCCCATCTCTACTAAAAATACAAAACTTAGCTGGGCATAGTGGCGCATGCCTGTAATCCCAGCTACTGGGGGGCTGAGGCAGGAGGATTGCTTGAACCTGGGAGGTAGAGGTTACAGTGAGCCAAGATCGTGCCACTGCACTCCAACCTGGGCAACAGAGCAGGGCTCAGTCTCAGAAAAAAAAAAAAAGAAAAAAGAAAAAAAGGGTAAGAATGGGAGCTTTATTTATGCGTTATATGTTTAATACAAATTCAATGTATTTTGTTGTGTTCAATACAGTTAATATCTGGAGTGAACAAGGTCGGTCTCATACATTTATCTTTCCTTTCTTCTTCCTCACGTTGTACATAAGGGAAGGAGGCTTCTTGGTTTTATAGGCCACACTTTTCTTGATGCGCTGTCCTTTGATGTTAACAATATATGGCAAGAGAGGGGGCCGGACGGTCAAAACTGTTCCTTCAGGTGTATAGCCTCGGAGATGCAGTCTGTCCTTAAAATTAGGTGTTACTGAAACCCAACCTATGCAGGCATGTGACACAACACAAAAGGCTGTTAGCAATCATCTTATTAAAAATACCAAACCAAAGCTGAAAATGGACTATCAGAGAACGCTGTCACTCTCTTTCACTCTCTTATTATTTTATTATTTTTTAAGAAACTGCGTCTTGCTATGTTACCCAGGCTGAACTCAAGTTCCTGGGCTCAAGCGATCGTACTGCCTCGGCGTCCCGAGAAGCTGGGGGCACAGGTGGACACACCTTAGTTTTAAAAAAGCATACAATGCGTTTGTGCAAAGTACAAATTTATTTTCAGAATAGGTTGTATTTTATGAATAAACTAGTATGTACACCTTAAAATAATCAGCTTTCATCAGTTAAGGCACTTTTCTATAAAAAAAATTGTCGGTAAGGCTGCTTTATTCACTTTTTGTTTTTTTTTTTTGAGATGGAGTTTGGCTCTTGTTGCCCAGGCTGGAGTGCAATGGCATGATCTAGGCTCACCGCAACCTCCGCCTCCTGGGTTCAAGCGATTCTCCTGCCTCAGCCTCCCGAGTAGCTGGAATTACAGGCATGCGCCACCATGCCCGGCTAATTTTGTACTTTTAGTAGAGACGGGGTTTCTCCATGTTGGTCAGGTTGGTCTCAAACTCCCGACCTCAGGTGATCCGCCCACCTCGGCCTCACAAAGTGCTGGGATTACAGGTGTGAGCCACCGTGCCTGCCCTTTTATTCACTTTTTAAAAAGTGCTTGGCATAAAATTACCTGCAGAGGAAAACTTGATGTCGGCCACTGCTTCAGATGCCCCCAGTCCTTCTTTTAACATAATGTCTTCAGCAACAAGAGGAGGAAATCCTGCCATTCGTTCTTTTCCACCCATTGGAATCTTCCAATGAAATAAAGATATTTACAAGTTCAAATTAAATTTCTTGGAACTCTAACATTAAGCAAATCACTGATAAGATAATTCTGTACAGGGATCAAGAATAAAATCCTTTCAAATATTCAACTGTTGAAAAGAACTTGCAATCACTTCTGGGGTCAAATGAAAAGCAAGGGAACTCTGTGATGGGATGAAGCTTACAAATCTCAGGGCTCTGGGCCACACATTGGGCAAGCACCTGGCAGAAGCCTCTGGACAGGAGAATTGTGCTTCACTGACACTGTTTTTAGAATCCTCCACAGGGCCTCACATAGATTAATGTTGGGCAATTAAGGCACGGTCCTTCTAAGTACCTTAGTTCTTATAGGTGTGGCCATCAGGATTAATGCCTGGTCTTTATGAGTTAAGGGTCCATATATAATGGATAAGATTTAGCTTTTATGTTTACAGGTGTTTCCACGATTAGAAGTAATTGAGTAATTTTTTTTTTTTTGAGATGGAGTTTTGCTCTTGCTGCCCAAGCTGGAGTGTAATGGCACGATATCAGCTCACTGCAACCTCCGCCTCCAAGGCTCAAGTGATTCTCTTGTCTCAGCCTCCCGAGTAACTGGGATTACAGGCGCGCACCACCATACCAGGCCAATTTTTTTGTATTTTTAGTAGAAACAGGGTTTCACCATGTTAGCCAGGCTGGTCTCAAACTCCTGACCTCAAGGTGATCTGCCCACCTCGGCCTCCCAAAGTGCTGGGATTACAGGTGTGAGCCACTGCGCTTGGCTGTAACTGGGTAATTTATTCATCTATTCATTAGCAAATCTCTCCTGTGTTTAGCACTAAGAACACAAAGATAGATTTTGCAGTATGGTTTCTGCCCCCAAGGAAATCAAAGGGGTAGATAATATGTAAGCTAATACAAGGTCAGAAATGTAATGTGAGGCATCTATAAGTACTATGGTTGTGAAGGAAGGAGTAATGAATGTGTTCAGTCAAGGAAAACATTAGTAAAGAAGCTATATATATATAACAAAAACAAGCAATATATGAGCAATATTTTGAGAAATGAGTCAAAGTTATTTGGTGGAAAGATATTTTCGGTCGCCACAGGTACAGATAAAAACTGGAAAAAGGATGATGAGTTCGGGGAACTATAGCTTAATTGTCCAAAGTATGGTGTGTGTGTGTGTGTGTGTGTGTGTGTGTGTGTATTGGTGATGAGGCTGTCAGGAGTTTATACAACTTTTTGCAACAATGTCACTATTGGGCACTCAAAATGTGGCTGGTGACACTAAGCAACCATATTTTAAATTTTCCCTTTTTTTTTTTTTTTTTTAGAGACAGGGTTTCACTCTGTCACCCAGGCTAGAGTGCAGTGGCATAATCATGGCTCACCACAGCCTCATACTCCTGGGCTCAAGTGGTCCTCCTGCCTTAACCTCTCGAGGAGCTGGGATTACAGGTGCATGCCACCATACCTGGCTAACTTGAGCAAATTTTCTTTTTTTTTTTTTTTTTTTTTTGAGATGGAGTCTCTGTTGCCCAGGCTGGAGTGCAGTAGCGCAGTAGCGCGATCTTGGCTCACTGCAACCTCTGCCGCTCTGGTTCAAGTGATTCTCCTGCCTCAGCCTTCTGAGTGGCTGGGATTACAGGCACCCATCACCACGCCTGGCTAATTTTTGTATTTTTAGTAGAGATGGGGTTTCACCATCTTGGCCAGGCTGGTCTTGAACTCCTGACCTTGTGATCCATCTGCCTTGGCCTCCCAAAGTGCTGGGATTATAGGCGTGAGCCACCACACCTGGCCACTGAGCAAATTTTAATTGTCACTAATATATTTAAACTTAGCCACATGTGGGCTAATGGCTACCAAATTGGACAGTGTAGTCTAGAGAAAAAAATAGCTGTGTGGCTATTCTAGGATCAGTCTATATAGAGCAATTTTGCTTTATAGCCAGAATTCTCAAAGAGAATGAGGTGAGGGAAAGCTAGCTCAAGATATTGTATAACAGTTCTGTACAACAAAGGCTTTCTTAACAGAGCTATGGGACCATCCCAGTGTATACTAACCATA
This sequence comes from Homo sapiens, assembly GCF_000001405.40. Taxonomy (NCBI): domain Eukaryota; kingdom Metazoa; phylum Chordata; class Mammalia; order Primates; family Hominidae; genus Homo; species Homo sapiens. The sequence goes on from NC_000004.12 coordinate 56,966,592, forward strand.
ACCATGCAATCAAGGCATGTTGCCTTACCTGGAGTAACGTATGACCTGCATGCTTCTGATACAGAGCGTCTGCCCTGTCCAAGGAGGTGATATGCACAGGGAGGATGTTGGAAGCCACGACTGTAAACCAAGCTGACTGATTTCCCTTAAGAAAGGAAGAAGTTATCTGACCTGGTGAAAAACTTGGAAAACCTGCATATTCAAGGTACAATCAACTAAAAAAAAAACAAACCAAAAAACAAAAACCCAATCAGACTCCCTTTATAAGTACTGGTATGGCAGTAGCTGTAAATCAAATTATTACTAAGAACAGGGGCACAATACTGAAGCAGTGCATTTCAGCAATTCATGTGAAACTATGACTTCTTTGACAGACCCAATACTATTTTTGAAAAAAGTCTATTATTAAAAATTAAAAGGAAATACTATCTGCTTTAATTGTCTCTGTGTAAAGTTAGGTTTAAAATATTAACATTTTATGTGTTCTGATGAAATATATAAGGGTGCAAGCCTGGTGTGGTGGCTCATGCCTATAATCCCAGCATTTTGGAAGGCCGAGGTGGGTGAATCCCTTGAGCTCAAGTTTGAGACCAGCCTGGGAAACATGGCAAAACCCTGTCTCTATAAAAAATACAAAAATTAGCTGGGTGTGGTGATGTGTGCCTGTAGTCCCGACTACTTGCGGGGCTGGGGTGGGATGATCATTGGAGCCCAGGAGGTTGAGGCCACAGTGAGCCGTGACTGTACCACTGCACTCCAGTCTGGGCAACAGAGAGAGATGCTGTTTCAAAAAAAAAAAACAAAAAAACAAAAAAACAAAAAACCAACCCCAAAAGCAAAAAACCAACAACCTCCCAAAACGAAATATATAAGGGTTCTAAGTGTGTAAGGCAAAATTTCTAACAAAGTATGAGCAAACACAAAACCCAAGAAATGTGCTATAGTAATGGCACACAGTTGTATTGTGTTGTTGGACATATCCATATCCATGTTTCATTTTCCTTTTTCTCTTCACTTTAGCAAAATGGAGAGCAATTCTATAGACACTCCAAAATCCCTAGATGCTATATAAACGAATACCAAACAAAAACGTGTATGCATAAAAACACACATATCATGGTATACAAAGTGTGGAATTAATTTAACGCCTATAACCCTGTACCTAAAGGTTTGACTTTATCCCATAGGTTTGACTCTATCCCATAGAATAGGGATAGTATCTTGTCTTAAATGCCAAGCTGTGTAGGGTACTCAATTGAAAACGTAAGTTTTCAAGACCTAGCACTTTTTTGGGGGGATGAGGGAGTAGGGCATTTCTTTTCCCCAAGTTTTTTTTTTTTTTTTGATATGGAGTCTCGCCCCATCACCCAGGCTGGAGTGCAGTGGTGCAATTTCAGCTCACTGCAGCCTCCGCCTCCCAGGTTTAAGTGATCTTCCTGCCTCAGCCTCTCTAGTAGCTGGGATTACAAGTGTGTGCCACCACGCCCAGCTAATTTTTGTATTTTTAGTAGAGATGGGGTTTCACCACGTTGACCAGGCGGGTCTTGATCTCCTGGCCTCAAGTGATCAGCCTGCCTCAGCCTCCCACAGTGCTGGAATTACAGGTGTGAGCCACTGTGCCCAGCCATCCCCAAGTTTTTATTACAGAAATTTTTAAACATAAAAACAAATTAAACCCAATACAATCATGGCTTAGTTATCAACATTTTGTCAGTCGTGTTCATACATCTGCTTCCTTAAAGTGAATCCCAATATTTTAAAATCATTTTTTAATAGTACAGACTTTTCTTACCTGCAGGAAATCTATGCGGCCTATAGCACCCAAAAACAGAACCATTCCTGGTTTAAGCACAAAAGTTCTTGGAACAATGGACTGTGTTGGCAAAACAATATTTACTTCTTTTTCTGTTAGAAGATTTAAAATCTGTGAAGCAAATGGCAGATTTTTAAGAAAATACTTTTATTGAAAATATGATATATTATGATTTACCCGTAAAATAAAAAGTGATGAAAAATATGCCAGACTTCAAAATAAACCAAATTATGTCAGAGTTTGCTATGCATCAAATTTATATAGATTCTTCCTGTCTAAATTAATTTCAATCTGATGGCTCTACCCTTGTTTTACAACTTAATCTACAGTAATGGCAAAATAACTTTATAGGTGTATGAGACTTTCCTATGTCAGCAGCATTCCCTAAATGTCAAAATTAATGTGAACCTGAAAACATGTTGATTCAATACCAAGATAGAAAATATATGCTCTCCTTATCAAGGCTTGTGGGCAGTAGCAATTTCCGCTTAAAGTAATGGTATACGTGACCTTATGTCCTAGTGGTAAGTATGCATGCATTAAATGCAAAATGGTCACCCCATTCTAGGAGCAAGTAAAGTGGCTGAAGAACCTCTTTCTAAATTCTGGTCTTCAATTTCCTTATTTCTCCCAAATATTCAGCAGAGAATGAGAAAAAGTTATAAATCCCCTATGCTTATAACACAGAGGATTTATAATTTATCCCTATGATTTATAATAAATCCCTTCTAAGGATGACAAGTTCCTAGAGAGACTAGAGAAAAATAGAAAAGGAAAGACAGAAGTACAAGATTCTGCAAAGATTTAAGGAATCAAAATCTGGTTAAAAAAGAATAAAGAAGGTACAAATTGGACACAAAACTTGTAAACTTCTTTCTTAACAAGAGGCTGGGCGCGGTGGCTCACGCCTGTAATCCCAGCACTTTGGGAGGCTAAGGCGGGCAGATCACCTGAGGTCAGGAGTTTGAGACCAGCCTGAACAACATGGAGAAAGCCCATCTCTATTAAAAATACAAAATTAGCCGGGCGTGGTGGCGTGCACCTGTAATCCCAGCTACTCGGGAGGCTGAGGCAGGAGAATCACTTGAATCCGGGAGGCGGAGGTTGTGGTGAGCCGAGATTGCACCACTGCCCTCCAGCCTGGGCCATAGAGCAAGACTCCGTCTCAAAGGAAAAAAAGAGAATAACAAGAAAATAAAAAATAGAAATGATACATAGCAGCTCACAAAAAAATAATAAGGGGGCTGCAGATAGTTTTCTTCATTATTTGTGTTTGAAAAGGCACATTAAAAGCCATTTGCAGGTCAGCCATGGTGGCTCATGCCTGTAATCCCAGGACTTTCAGAGGCAGCGGCAGGCAGATCACTTGAGCTCAGGAGTTTTTTTCTTTTTTTGAGACGGAGTCTTGCTCTGTCACCCAGGCTGGAGTGCAATGGTGTGATCTTGGCTCACTGCAACTTCTGCCTCCCGGGTTCAAGCAATTCTCCTGTCTCAGTCTCCCAAGTAGCTGAGATTACAGACGTGCGCCACCATGCTTGGCTAATTTTTTTGGTATTTTTAGTAGAGACGGGGTTTTGTCATGTTGGCCAGGCTGGTCTCGAACTCCTGACCTCAAGTGATCCACTTACCTTGGTCTTCCAAAGTGCTGGGATTACAGGTATGCACCATTGTGCCCAGCTGAGCTCAGGAGTTTGAGACCAGTCTGGGCAACACGGCAAAACCTCACCTCTATGAAAAATACAAAAATTAGCTGGGGTGGCGTGTGTCTGTAGTTCCCAGCTACCCTGGAGGCTGAGGTGGAGGATTGCTTGAGCCAGGGAGGCAGAAGTTACAGTGGGCCAAGATTCCACCACTGCACTCCAGCCTAGACCAGACTGGGCAACATAGCGAGGTCCTGTCTCTACAAAAACTAAACAATTAGTTGGGCATGGTGGTATGTACCTGTGGCCCTAGCTACTTGGGAGGCTGAAGTGGGAGAATTGGTTGAGCCCAGGACTTTGAAGTTACTTGATCACGCCACTGCATTCCAGCCTGGGCAACAGGGGAAACCTTGTCTCTCTTTTTTGTTGAGACAGGGTTTCACTCTGTTGCCCAGGCTGGGCTGCAGTGGCATGATCTCGGCTCACTGCAACCTCTGCCTCCCAATAAGTGTATCAAGTGATTCTTGTGCCTCAGCCTCCTCAATAGCTGGGATTACAGGCATGTACCACCATGCCCAGCTAATTTTTTGTATTTTTAGTAGAGATACAGTTTTGGCATGTTGCCCAGGCTGGTCTCAAACTCCTGGGCTCAAGCAATCCTCCCACCTCGGCCTCCCAAAGTGCTGGGACTACAGGTGTGAGGCACTGTGCACAGCCTGAGTCTTAATACTTTCATTTCACAACAGAGATCCTTGGTTCAGTCTGGGAAACCCTGGTTTAAGACATCAAATAAGTTTATCTGTAAACTAACAGAGAAGCAAACTACCAGTGCTGACAGACGTTTATATCTAAAAATTTGGGGTTCTCATTCTGCTGTCTAGAGTATTTTGCAAATTCTTGCCTTTCTGACACAACTATTTAATAGAGGATATATGACTGAAGTAACTGCTATGCCTGATCTAATAGCATCTGAAAGGGAAGAATTAGTCTGGGCGTAGTGGCTCCCATCCACAATCCTAGCACTTTGGGAGGCTGAAGTGGGTGGATTACCTGAGGTGAGGGGTTTGAGACCAGCCTGGCCAACATGGCGAAACCCTGTCTCTATTAAAAATACAAAAAGTAGCTGGGTGTGGTGGTACATGCCTCTAATACCAGCTACTCGAGAGGCTGAGGCAGGACAATCGCTTGAACCCAGGCGGCAGAGGTTGCAGTGAGCCAAGATCATTGCGCCACTGCACTCCAGCCTGGGCAAGAGAGTCAGACTCCATCTCAAAAAAAAAAAAAAAAAAAAAAAAAAGTATGGTGGGGGAAGAATTAGTTCATTAAGCTAAAGTGACAGAATATTATTAGAAAGCAGCTCTGAACTTTTGGACTGCTAAGGAAGAAAAGATGGCATGAGCAATTATTCCAGGAGAGCAATAAAATTTAAAAGGTGTGTATGATTCAATGACAGGGGACACCAAATAGAATACAATTCTGAGAATGTAACTATAAGTGTTCCTGATGAGGCCAAGAAAAGTACCTAAGAAACCAATGTGGTTTTGTAGGGAGATACAGAGATAATTAGAAAATCGGAAACTGGTCAGTAACCAGATTCGAAGGAAATGATTAATGAATCTGTTGTGAGGCTGTATCCTGGATGCACATTTGAGTCAATCAATGATCTGAATGAAGATCCAAACTGCAAATATAAAAAGTAATGAGATTGAATGAATATTTAACAGAGTAAGATATAGGCTGAATTTAACAAGACAAAGTCAAAGTTACCTATGAGGCCCAAAGTTGTCCATGAGCAATTGGATAAAAGAGAGGCATAGGGACAAGACAGGTGGAGTTAATGCTATTCTTTTTTTTTTTTTTTTGAGACAGAGTCTTGCTCTGTCACCCAGACTGGAGTGCAGTGGCACGATCTCAGCTCACTGCAAGCTCCGCCTCCCGGGTTCACACCATTCTCCTGCCTCAGCCTCCCGAGTAGCTGGGACTACAGGTGCCCACTACCTCCTGGCTAATTTTTTGTATTTTTAGTACAGACAGGGTTTCACCGTGTTAGCCCAGATGGTCTCGATCTCCTGACCTTGTGATCTGCCCGCCTGGGCCTCCCAAAGTGCTGGGATTACAGGCGTGAGCCACTGCGCCCGGTCGGAGTTAATGCTATTCTAAATCATGCTCACCTGAGAGCACTGAGTTCTCAGTGTCACACTTTAAGAACAAACATAGAAAACATTCTGAAGAGGCCTGGGCCAATGAATAGCCTGTTTCCTACAGCACAGCTGTAGGAAATGAAGACAAATAATCCAGATTGTGGGCACAGTGAATGCTCAACGTTTGCTGGATGAAGTAATGAAAGAGAAGAAAAGGGAGGGATAGGTGAAGAAGAGATGGGACGTTACATTTTAAAATATTTGTCTGGCAAGGGAAATAGGTATTACCTTAGTCCCAGATGGCTTTGGGGAACAATGGATACATGTTACAGGGAGACTATTCAGCTCAGTACACTCAATACAAAGAGAAGGTCAAAGACCCAAATGAGTTACCTTGGAAGGTGACATGACAGTTTCAGCTTTGGTGAGTCACTCCTTTCAGTTCAAGATGGAGGACCCCTTGATGGATATGTTACAGAGGTAATTCAAGCAGGGACTAGGGAGTTGGACTCCAGTGATATTTATGTGTTTTTCCAACCTCAAAACCTAGGCTTCTGTAAACGTTTCCCTAACCAAGGTAACAATCACAATGATAAAATAAGTTGGTTGTCAGCAATGAAGTCTATCAAATGGAACACAGAACTTGATGGCATACAGATTCACCCCTAAACAGCTTTCATGAATGAATCAGAACTGAGTCTAAAATGGAAGTATACTTCTTTTCCTGTTTTCTGCCAATTAAGACAGCAGTACTTGTGCAATTGAAAGTAAATGTTTCTGAGGCTGATATGACTAGTAATAAAACTCCAGTTTCCCATTTAGCTGGCTCTACATGCATTACACTCTTTCTCTATTGCAATTCCCCTGTCTTGATAAATTGGCTGTATCTGGGCAGCAGGCAATATAAACCCATTAAAAAAGAAAAAGAAAGTAAATGTTTCTAAAAGAAACCAAATACATACACAATTTTCTTTTGTAATTCCAGGGGTGTCATAAAACCAGTGGGCATCTTTCACATCTTGTGCAGTCAATTCTACTTGTTTGGTGGATTTGTGTGTACCCATAACAGGGTCATTTTCCATGTCAAAGGCAAGTGAATCAGCATCAAACTCAAAGGGAATGTTATCCTTCTGTTCTTCTGAATACAAGAATGTCCTTCCAACTCTTCCTAGAACAAGTTATAGTAAGGTTATTAGTCACTCCTTTAATACTTTTAACTCCAGACATAATTTTTATGTTTCCCTCAAACAAGTTACTAAGATTACAGTGTAGGGAAGTGAGACCATAATGATACTTTTGCTTTTTTTTTTTTCCAAAAAGCAGTGGGAGTCAACTCTTGCAATAATCAAGCGTGTGGCTGGCTGTGTACATGGAGTGGCGGGGGCAAGGGTGTGTGGAAATCAGACTGTTTTAAAGAAAGGCTGAAAAGATATACCAAGGAAAGACAGACAACCTAATCTAAAGCTGCTGCATGGAGTAAAAACTTTTACTACCTGTACTGCTCTGGGTTTCCAAACAGTAGCCTTATCGCTAAAGGGCCTCTTTGTTGCAGAATAAGGAAGGCAGTCTCTCCCCACAAAAACTGGCTAGCCTCGGACAGCTGTATTTCAGGTTGCTTAACAAAGAATTTTAGCATAGTACCAACGAGGGTTTTCCCATAGAGGATGCTTACCTACGACATAACCATGCTTTTTGAGGACATTAAGCTGATTTTGTTCTTGCTCACTAAGATCTTCTTCAGCTTGAGTTGAATCTTTTTTAAGTCTTTGATGCCTTTTAAACATTCTGTAAGGAGTTGGGTTGCAAATAGGAAACTTCAGAAGGTTTAATGTAGTACCTGAAATACACAGAATAAATACATCTTTACAAAAGGGAATAAGGGGGAAGAAAATGAACATTTTTGAGGATCTACACTGTGTTGGTTACTGTAATAAAATATAAAATTACTGCCACTTTACAAATGAGGAAATAGGTTAAGAGATTAGTTCACAGGGGAAACCAGAATTGGAATCCAAAATCTGTAGGCCCGATTTCTTTCCATTTTTATCACATTACCATTCAGTATAAAAGTAATTTTTCTGTAAAATTCAAAGTGCAAGACAGAGAAGAGCAGCTTACTAAATGAAACTTTGGTTTCAAGGGAACAAATGGGGCAGTCAGTTTTGTCAACTTAAATTTAAGCCTGGCTGAGCGTAGTGGCTCACACCTGTAATCCCAGCACTTTGGGAGGCCCAGGCGGGTGGATCACTTGAGGTCAGGAGTTCGAGACCTGCCTTGCCAACATGGTGAAACCCTGTCTCTACTAAAAATACAAAAAATTAGCTGGGTGTGGTGGTGCACACTTGTAGTCCAGCTATTTGGGAGGCTGAGGCAGGAGAATCGCTTGAACCTGGGAGGTGAGGGTTGCCGTGAGGCGAGATCGCACCACTGCACTCCAACCTGGGCGACAGAGTGAGCCTCTGTCTCAAAAAAAAAAAAAAAAATTTAAACCATAGAAGGACTCATTTTCTAATTACAGAAGTTTGTTTCTTTCTTTCTTGTTTTTGAGACAGCGTCTTGCTCTGTTGCCCAGGCTGGAGTGCAGTGGTGTGATCTTGGCTCAGCCTCCCAGGTTCAAGCGATTCTTCACCCTCAGCCTCCTGAGTAGCTGGGATTACAGGCACCAGCTACCAAACCCGGCTAAGTTTTGTATTTTTAGTAGACATGGGAGTTTCACCATGTGGGCAGGTCTGGTCTGGAACTCCTGACCTCAGGTGATCTGCCCACCTTGGCCTCCCAAAGTGCTCGGATTACAGGTGTGACCCACTGCACCTGGCCACAGAAGTTTCTTAAAGTCACAAGACTGATACTTCTGTTTTTTTGGGTCTCTGTTGTCCAGGCTGGATTGGAGTGCAGTGGCCCAATTAGGGCTCACTGCCACCTCAACCTTCCAGGCTCAGGTGATTCTCCCACCTCAACCTCCTGAGTAGCTGGGACTACAGGCACGCACCACCAGCCTGACTAATTTTTGTATCTTTAGTAGAGACAGGGTTTCACCATGTTGCCCAGGCTGGTCCTGAACTCCTGAGCTCAAGCAATCTGCCCACCTTGGCCTCCCAAAGTGCTAGAATTACAGATGTGAGCCACTGAGCCCGGCAAAGCCACACATCAAATTGCACTAATGGGCTGGGAGCAGTGGCTCACACCTGTAATCCCAGCACTTTGGGAGGACGAGGTGGGCAGATCACGTGAGGTCAGGAGTTGGAGACCTGCCTGGCCAACATGTTGAAACCCTGTCTCTACCAAAGATACAAAAATTAGCTGGGCATGGTGGTGCTTGCCTGTAATCCCAGCGCTTTGGGAGGCCAAGAGTTCCAGACCAGCCTGGCCAACAAGGTGAAACCCCATCTCTACTGAAAATACAAAAATTAGGCCAAGCGCGGTGGCTCACACCTGTAATCCCAGCACTTTGGGATGCTGAGGCGGGCGGATCACGAGGTCAGGGGTTTGAGACCAGCCTGACCAACATAGTGAAACCCCGTCTCTACTAAAAATATAAAAATTAGCTGGGCATAGTGGCGTGCGCCTGTAATCCCAGCTACTCAGGAGGCTGAGGGAGGAGAATCACTGGAACCCGGGAGGCGGAGGTTACAGTGAGCCACTGCACTCTAGCCTGGGCAACAGAGCAAGACAAGACTCCGTCTCAAAAAACAAAACAAAACAAACACAAAAATTAGCTTGGTGTGGTGGCGCATGCCTCGAATCCCAGCTACTAGGGAGGCTGAGGCAGGAGAATCACTTGAACCCGGGAGGCGGAGGTTGCAGTGAGCCGAGATCACGCCACTGCACTCCAGCCTGGGCGACAGAGTGAGACTCTGTCTCCAAAACAAAACAAACAAACAAAACACAAAGTTCATTAGGTTCAGACAGTAAAAAGGACGCACACTTTCTGGAACAATATACAAAGAAGTTACAAAGCAAATCTCCAGAACAGGAACTTTGCTTTGTTCCCTGGTCTATCTCCAGTGCTTAGTGACTGGGAACAGAGACGTGCTCCATAAACACTTCCATTGAAAATTACTACAACACATCCTCAATTTTCCCTAGCAGTAAGCTGACACAGAAGAGAGGTGTGACCAGAGTGGGGAGAGAATTTGTAAAGGGAAGGGTACAGGCAGCCCGCAGTGGACATTAAGGGAGGATGTACTCGGTGCCTCGGCCAGGACCAGACGTCCACCTTGCCAGGAAACGAAGAGGGCGAGCCTCCTAAAACTCACCTGGCCAAGGGGAGATGGTGGCTCTGTCGATGGCCTCGGAGCCCTTGGCAGTGCAGTAATCGGACTCCAGGAGCGTGTTAAAGAGAGTGGATTTGCCGGCGTTGGTGGCGCCCACTAAGTAGACGTCCCCACGGTAGCGCCAGGAGCGCTGAAGGGCAGAGATCAACTCTTCCACTCCATAGCCGGTCTTGGCGCTGATCAGCCGCACGTCCCTGACCACTGTGCGGGACCAGTTCGGCGGATTCGGATTCTCCCCGTCCTGTGGCTCGTCCTTGACGGGGCGCTGTGGCCCTTGGTGGCCAGGGGCCAGCAGGAGCCCGGCGCGGGCACAGTCCTCCCACAGTCGCTCCCGCAGCCTCTGCCGGTAGCCAGGAGCATCCTGGGGCAGGAGGTCCACTTTGTTTCCCAGCACGATCAGCTGCTTGGGGCCCACCAGCGCGGGCAAGTCGGGCAGCAGGGCGTCGGGCAGGTCCAGCAGGTCCACCATGTAGAGCACCAGGGAGGGGCCGGGCCGCCGCAACGCGGCGCTCACCAGCTCCAGGTACTGCTCGCGGCTCACCTGCAGGCGTAGAGCGCGCCGGTGGTGCGACAGCAGCCAGCAGCGCTGGCACACGGTCCGTGCCAGCCCGCCGTCTGCCTCCGCCGTGCGGAGGAACTTCTCTCGGGGCAGGTAGCCGGGCACTCCGGCGTCCTGGCAGTGCAGCTCTGCCCCACAGCCCGAGCAGTTCACGCCGCTGGGCGGCAATGCCGGGTCCGGGTGCCCCACGACCGGGTGCTCCCGGGACCTGGCCCGTAGGTTTTGCTGTCGCCGCTCCTCCCGCCGCTGCTGCCTCTGTCGCTCCTCCTCCTCCTGCTGTTGCTGGAGCTCCTGCAGCTGCTTTTCGCGGGTGGGTTGCGGCTCCGGATCCAGGATGTACTCCGGGAACAGAAAACGCTCCTGCATGTCACCACCTTCTCCAAAGCCCTCCGTGTCCACGGGGTCATAAGGAAGCTCGCGTCCCAGACTCGATGAGTGCTGGAAGGAGGAGGCGGCAGCGCACCTCCTCTCCAGGAGCGGCTCCCGGAGGCCATGGCGCGCTGCCGTGGGAGCGGATCCACGAAGGAAAAGGCTCAGCAGCCTGAACGGTAGGCGAGCGGGCAGCATGAGGAAGTAGCTCCAAAGGGGCGGAGCCACCAGCGCGCACGCGCACTAGGGTCCGAGGCGCGCATTTGACCCGAGACGAAAGCGCGTGGGTACTTGGGAGCTGTCCTGGTTGGTTTTGCGTCTAATCCCGTCAGTTCTCGCGATTTAAGCTCTGAGACTGAGAACCTACTTAAAGCTATGGCAAAGGCACTGGAGGATTGAGCTAGGTGGGCAGAAAAGAGCAGTGAGTGTTTTGGGTTTTTTCACTTTCAGGCTTAACGCCTCACTGCTAGCACAAGCCGCCCTTAATAAATCACACTTAAAAAGGAGCTTCCGGGGTCGGGCGCGGTGGCTCACGCCTGTAATCCCAGCAATTTGGGAGGCCGAGGCGGGCGGATCATGAGGTCAGGAGATCGAGACCATCCTGGCTTACACGGTGAAACCCCCATCTCTGCTAAAAATACAAAAAATTAGCCAGGCGTGGTGGCGGGCGCCTGTAGTCCCAGCTACTCGGGAGGCTGAGGCAGGAGAATGGCTTGAACGCGGGAGGCGGAGGTTGCAGTGAGCCGAGATCGCGCCACTGCACTCCAGCCTGGGCGACAGAGCGAGCCTGTCTCAAAAAAACAAAACAAAACAAAAACAGAAAGGAGCTTCCGGCCGGGCGCGTGGCTCACGCCTGTAATCCCAGCACTTTGGGAGGCCGAGGCGGGTGGATCACCTGAGGTCAGCAGTTCGAGACCAGCCTGGCCAACGTGGTGAAACCCCGTCTCTACTAAAAATACAAAAATTACCCGGGCGTGGTGACCCTTGCCTGTAATCCCAGCTATTTGGGAGGCCGAGGCAGGAGAATCGCTTGAACCCGGGAGACGGAGGTTGCAGTGAGCCGAGATCGCTCCACTGCACTCCAGCCTGGGCGACAGAGCGAGACTCCATTTCAAAAAATAATAAATAAATAAAAATAAAAAATAGCTTCGTGTTTTGGTCCTTATAAAGGCAAATAAATTGAGCATCCCAATGTTGCGGATTCACAGGACGAACACTTTTTAATAATAAGTATACCTGGTTTTGTTTTCAGGTGTCGTTATTTGTGCAACAACATTGAAAAACAAGCAGAAATAAAACATTGACGGAACGGATACGACCGCAGATTGCGGGAGCTGTCCTCTCAATCAGCCCGGCAGCGGCGGCCCACAATTTACGCGTGTGCAACCCTAACCCCGGCCCAAGCTTGACCTACAATTTGCGCAGGCGCAGATCCTAACTTTGGCGTCCCTGTGGGCGGCCTTTGGTGTGAGACGCGTGGTATTCTGGGAACGTCGGAGACGGAAGTTACTTCGTCTTTAGCTCCTGGCGCTGCTGGCTTCTGGGCGGTTTTTGTCTTTTGATTTCAAGAGTTAGGAGCTCGAGAACCGTTTGGCAATATGTACGACGCGGATGAGGGTAGGTGAACGCTCAAAACACACGCCGTGGCGGTCCATTTAAGCAGGAAAGCGTTGGGAACTGATTGGATTGAGGATTTGGGGCCTTCCCATGCGCCGGCTGCACAGTCCCCAGCCTTGTTCCCACACTTACCAGGCCGGGAACGAAACTGGGGTAGGGAGAGGCGGAGGGTGCAGGGAACATAGTGTTAATGTTCCAGGTTACGTTCACTGCTGCTCTCTGCACTTTCTCGTTCCGTTAGATCTGATCCTCGTTTCCTGTGGTGAAGTAGCGTGCAGAATCGTAAGATAAATTACGTTTTGAATTTGAAGCAAAGGGCACCCTTTAAAAATTTTCCTTAAAGCCACAGTCGACTTAACGAATAGCTCAATTGTTGAGTGTCAGCCTGTGTCAGGCAGTGTGGAAGGTCCTGGAAATATTCCGGGACAGAGAATATCGGGGGGTGGGGGTGGCGGGGGGGACTCGGTTTAGTCTGACATTTCTTCATACTGTTTGTAAGTCAAAGTAAATTGTCTTAAAGGATGACTTTTAACTTCCTCTTCTCACAATGTCACAGTTCTCAGATGATATGTATTCTGCTGCACTGGGCCAATGTATAATACCTGTTTGTTTGCGCATATGGAATTCTTAGTAGTGGCCGAGCGCGGTGGCTCCCGTCAGCACTTTGGGAGGCCGAGATGTGCAGATCGCTTGAGACCAACCTGACAAACATGGGGAAATCCTGTATCTACTAAAAATACAAAAATTAGCCTAGTGTGATGGCGTGCGCCTGTAATCCCAGCTACTCGGGAGGCTGAGGCCGGACGATCGCTTGAGCCCAGGAGGCGGAGTTTGCAGTGAGCTGAGATCGCACCACTACACCACAGCCTGAGTGACAGAGTTAGACTGTCTCAAAAAAAAAAAAAAAAAATTCTTAGTTGAGTCTAGTGTATTTTCGTAGCCGCCTTTTCCATTCTCCATATCTGCTAATTCAAACCTTATTTTCTTATAGCTCTCAATTCCTTGGCCACCCCCTACATCTCCTCTCTCTATTCCCTCAGGTACTTCTGATAAATCAGATGGAAAAAATTGAAGCAAAAGCTTAATTTTTTTTTTTTTTTTTTAAGAGATGGGGTCTGGCCATGTTGCCCAGGCTGGTCTCAAACTCCTGAGGTCAAACCATCTGCCTGTCTCGGCCTCCCAAAGTGCTGGGATTACAAGCATGAGCCAATGTGCCCAGCCAAAAGCTTAAACTTTTAAAGCTGTTTAAACTTCTGTCTCATTTATATCTTGTGTTGTAGAAATTTATTAGCATCATTATATTCCTTGTTCTTTTTTAACTACTATCTCAGTAGAAGAAAAATTCGAAAAAAAAGATTTTTAAAGCATAATTTTTGGCTGGGTAATATATTCTCATAGCTCACAAGCCAGAAAATTTAAAAATGTTAAAGTGGGGTGGCTGGTGCAGTGGCTCACGCCTGTTATCCCAGCATTTTGGGAGTCTGAGGCGGGTGGATTACTTGAGCTCAGGAGTTCGAGAGCAGCCTGGGCAACATGGGAGACCCCTCTCTATAAGAAATAGAAAAATTAGCTGGGCGTGGTCTTGCTCACCTATAGTCCCAGCTACTTGTGGGGCTGAGGCTGGAGGATCGCTTGAGCCTGGGAAGTTGACACTGCTATGAGCTGAGAACAAAGTGAGACCTTGTCTCAAAAAAAACAAGTTAAAGTGTCACGTCTCCTTCTTACCCACCATCTGCCCAGTTTGAACTCTCCACAGTGGGTAACTACAGTTATAACAGTTATAAGAGGTTCTTATCACTCCACAGTTTCTTTTTTTTTTTTTGATGGTCTTGCTCTGTTGCCCAGGCTTGAGTGTGGTGGCGCAATCTCGGCTCACTGTAACCTCCATCTCCCAGGTTCAAGCAGTTCTCCTGCCTCAGCCTCCCGAGTAGCTGAGATTACAGGCGTACACCACCGTGCCCAGCTAATTTTAGTATTTTTAGTAGAGATGGTTTCTCCACGTTGGCCAGGCTGATCTCAAACTCCTGACCTCAGGTGATTCACCTGCCTCGGCCTCCGAAAGTGCTGGGATTGCAGGTGTGAACCTCCAAGCCCAGCCTCCACAGTTTCCTTATGCATATTTAAGCAAATATAAATGGGATTTTCTCTTTTTTTAAAGACAGTAATATTCACACTTTTCTCCACTTTTAGATTTTGTTTAATGTGTCCAGGAGATTTTCGTATCAGTACACAGAAAGCATCGCGCCCCCCCTCCCGTGTCCCCACCCCCAGTTACTTAGTTTGTGTGGATGTACCATAACTTAAGTAGTCTCTTGATGGATATTCGGTTTATTTCTAGTCATTTTCGGGTTCAAACAGTGCTGTAAATGAATAATCTTGTACGTATAATTTGCCCAAGTATGTCTGTGGGATACATTTCTACATATAAAATTGTCAGGTCAAATGATATGCACGTTTAACATTTTGCTAGATGATGCCAAGTGACCACCATAGTGGTGATTGTACTAATTTTGCATTCTTATTAGCAATGTATAATGATCCTGTGGAAAAAGAGTTTATCAGGGTTGCTTTAGCAGTGAACCTACATTTTATTGCCCATGTCCTCTGAAATGTTTATTAGATAACGTCCTCATCAGTTTTCAGTCACTATGTGAAAATGTCAGATTTCTGTCATCCACATGGAAACAAGTTAAATTCTTTTCATTGTTACCTTTTTCTTCTAGTATTTTACCTTTCTTCTTTCACTCACAGCCAAACTTATAAAAATAATAAGCTGTCCTTGTTTCTAATTTTCATCTTTCATGTGCTTTTCAACTGATTACAATATGTTTCTACTCATGCTACTACATTAAGATAGCTCTAAGATTGACAGCGACTTCTCAATTGATAAATGAGATGGATATTTAAAACTTATCTAAACCCTGTGGTCTTCAAAACTGTTGATGACATCTTCCCGGAAACTCACTCAGCTTTCTAGCGACATCACTTTCACTTGATTTTTCTTATCTGACTTTTCTCATTTTCTTTCCTGTTCACATTCTCCTTGGGTGATCTCATCCATTTTCCATTGTTTCAGTTACCATCTGTATGCGGATAACTTCTGAATGTGTATACTTCTAGTTTAAAATCTGGGGTATCTAACTGCCACTAGCCAACTAGGATATCTCCCAGGCTGCTTAACCTTGTCAACTGCCCAAACTGAGCTAATTATTTTCTTTTGCTATTCCCCTCCCAAAGCCACTGCCTCCTGTCTTCTCTGTCTCGGTGAAGGGCACATTTGGCCCTCTGTATCTGTAGGTTTCACATCTGTATATTCAATTAACCTTGGATTGAAAATATTAAAAAGCTTGAGGCCAGGAATTTGAGACCAGCCTGGGCAACATAGGGAGACCTCATCTCTACAAAAAAATTTAAAAAATTAGCTGGGCATGGTGGCATGTGCCTGTGATCCCAGCTCCTCGGGATACTGAGGTGGGAGGACTGCTTGAGCCCTAAGAATTTGAGGCTACAGTGAGCTGTGATCACACCACTGCACTTCAGCCTGGGTAACAGCAAGGCCCTGTCTCAAAAAACAAAAAAGAGAATATTAAAAAAAAATTGCGTCCTTGTAAAAATGTACAGACTTTTTTTTTCTTGCCATTATTCCATAAACATTACAAGTAAATAATTATTTATATAGCATTTACATTGTATTAGGTATTATAAATAATCTAGAGATAATTTAAAAGATACAGGAGGATGTGTGCCTAGGGTATATAACAGTGCCATTTCATGTCAGGGACTTAAGCATCTGTGTTTGGTATCTATGGGAGGTCCTGAAACCAGTCTCCAATGGACACTGAGGTACAACTGTTGTACCCTCTGTTGTTGAAACCGAAAGCCTGGGCATCATTTTTGACTCCTCTCTTTCACCTCTATATCTAATCAGTCACCAAGCCCTGTTGGTTCTGTCTCCTAAATATGTCAAATCTGGCCACTTCTCTATCCCCTCCACCATCATTCTAGTTCATGTTGCTGCCATCCCTTGCCTAGATTACTCCTAACTGATTTGTATACTTCCAATCCACTCTCCACACTGGCCATAGGGATCTTTCAGAAATGAAAATCTGACCTAGCCACAACCCTGCTAAACTCATATCTCTTGGTAAAGGCCAAACTCTTCTTATTCCACTTCCAACTTCACAATCTGTGCTTCCGCTACATTGGCCTTCTATCATTCTTTGAATATGCCATCCTGTCTTGCATTATGGGGTCTTTTGCACAATTTGTTTTTTTCTATTTGGTAGGATTCTTTCTTGACTCCTACCTTTGTCCCTTCCTTTTGCCTGATTACTCCTGTTTATAACACGAGATCTCTGCTCAGGTTTTTTTTTTTTTTTTTTTTTTGAGATGGAGTTTCCCTTTGTCCCCCAGGCTGGAGTGCAGTGGTGTGATATCGGCTCACTGCAACCTCTGCCTCCCAGGTTCAAGTGATTCTTCGCCTCAG
This sequence comes from Homo sapiens, assembly GCF_000001405.40. Taxonomy (NCBI): domain Eukaryota; kingdom Metazoa; phylum Chordata; class Mammalia; order Primates; family Hominidae; genus Homo; species Homo sapiens. The sequence goes on from NC_000004.12 coordinate 56,983,491, forward strand.
CCTCCTGAGTAGCTGGGATTTCAGGGATGCGCCACCATGCCCTTCTAATTTTTGTATTTTTAGTAGAGACGGGGTTTCACCATGCTGGCCAGGCTGCTCTCAAACTCTTGGCCTTGTGATCCACCTGCCTTGGGTTCCCAAACTGCTGGGATTACAAGCGTGAGCCACTGCGCCCGGCCAGCTTTTTAAAGAAAATTTTAGAGACGGGGGTCTCGCTTTGTGGCTCAGGCTGGTCTCGAACTCCTGGGTTCAAGTGATCCTGCTGCCTTGGCCTTCCAGTGGTGGGATTACTGACATGAGCCACTGCACCTGGCCTCTGCCCAGCTTTTGGGAAGTCTTCCCTAACCTTTTCAGATCTTTGTCAGGAATATTCATATCACTTTTTTTTTTTTTTTAGACAGGGTCGCACTCTCACCCAGGCTGGAGTGCAGTGGCGTGATCTCGGCTCATTGCAACCTCCACCTTCTGGGTTCAAGCGATTCTCCTGCCTCAGCCTTCCTAGTAGCTGGGACTACAGGCAGGTGCCACCATGCCTGGCTAATTTTTGTATTTTTAGTAGAGATGGGTTTTCTCCATGTTGGCCAGGCTGGTCTCGAACTCCTGGTCTCAAGTGATCTGCCTGCCTCGGCCTCCTAAAGTGTTGGGATTATAGGTGTGAGCCAGTGCGCCCAGCCTGAAAAAAAATCTGATAAATGGATGAGTAAATGAGTCTCCTTCATGAGTTCATTTTCCTTTGTATGACTTTTAAAGTTGTTCCCAGATATCCTGCCTTCAGCCTTCCTTGTCTGTGTATAATCTCATTTTTCTCCCACCCATTTGTTAATGATTCCAACTATGTACTTTTTTTTTTTCAAATTTTAAAACGTTTATTTTATTGACACATAATAGATACACATTTGTTATATGCCAATGTATATCTATTATGTGTCACATGTTCTTTGTCTATAATGTAGACTCTTCATTTGAGTTTATATTCATATATGTGTGCCTACTAGAAGTATTTGAAGGTATTGTGATCTATAGATATCTCTAAAGCCGATCTCATCATTACCTCTCCTTTTTCCACCATCTTACTTGCTTCTCCTGTATGGCAGTGATGTTAACTTTTAATCTCTCATCAAAGCTAGAAATGTCTGAGCTATTATACATAGCTTTGTCTTTCTTACCCTTCCCTCAGGTGTAGGGATTAATAATTCCAGTCCATTTAAGAAGTATTTATTAAAAATTTATTTTGTATATGTATCAAATTTTGAACCCAGATCTCCTGAATTTCATAGGCTATATATGTGTACATTAGAATAAAAGCCAAAAATACAGCACACTTATTCTTTCCCTTAAGAAGATGGGACTAATATTAGAGGACCAGTGCACACTGATTTTTTTTTGAATGCATATTTAAATTACTGTTGCATAACTACGCTAAAATTTAGCTACTTAAAAAATTATTTTGTTATGTTCATGGATACTGTGGGTTAGGATTTTGGACAGGGCATAGCAGGCATGACTTGCCTGTGTTCCACCGTGACTCTGGTTCATTTGGGAAGACATTAAGGCCAAGTGTTGACAGCTGGGTGAGAGATGATCTGTAGTATTGACTATGTCTGACATGAGACATTAGCTTAGGAGGACTCAAGGACTAAAATTGCTAATGGAGCATCTGTAAGTGGCCTCTACTTATGGTTCGGGCTTTCTCAGTATGTAGCAGCCTCAGAATAGTGTATGTCTTTACAAAAAAAATTTTATTTTATTTTTTTAAATTTTTGAGACAGAGTCTCGCTCTGTGGCCCAGGCTGGAGTGCAGTGGCGCGATCTCAGCTCCTGCGAGGAGGCGGACCGCCCATTCCGTGCCCGGTAGCCGCGAGGGACCGGTGGTAGCCGCGAGGGACGGGCGGCGGGCTCGGTGCTGTGGCGAGGCGGGGATGGCACTCCCCCCCGCCGCCCCGTGGGGCGGCCCCGACTTTCGGGCGGTGAGTGAGAGGCGGGCCCTGCAACCTCTGTCTCCTGGGTTCAAGCAATTCTCTTGCCTCAGCCTCCTGAGTAGCTGGGATTACAGGCATGTGCCACCCTGCCTGGCTAATTTTTGTCTTTTTTAGTAGAGACAGGGTTTTGCCATATTGGCCTGGCTGGTCTCGAACTCCTGACCTCAGGTGATCCACCGACCTTGGCCTCCCAAAGTGCTAGGATTACAGGCCTGAGCCACCCCTACTTTTTAATGACAGCTCAGGGCTCCAGAAGGAAGTGTTTTAGCAAACATGACAGAAACTTCATTGCCTTTTCTGACCTGGCTTCTGAAGTCATGCAGCATTGCTTCAGCTGCATTCTCTTAAGTTACAGGAGAGTCAAAATCTACCCGATTCAAGGAGAGGGTGCATAGACCACTATATGTGATGATAGGAGTGTCAAGATCACATTATAGAAGACCATGTCGGATGGGAGATAGGCTTGTGGCCATCTTTGGAAAATGCAAACTTTCATACCTGTACATGTATGAAATGTTGCTATAATAGATTGCCCCACCTTAGGGTATTGCCCAGTTGTTGGAATCCTTCCATGGCTCTGCCCCCTTACCCTGTTCTCTGACTCTAGTGTCTGAAAATCTTGCTGATCAATAAAATGGAAAACTTAACATTCATACAACTTACATTGAACCTTTCTAATAAACCTCTTTTTATATTGGAAGAATACCTGTGTGACATAGACATAAATTATTTTATTAATGTAATTGAAATTTTAGAAAAGTGGGGTGAAAGCATTACTTATTCAGCAGAAAGTAAATATGTTTCTGCTACTTAAAGTCATAGGAGCAAGATGTTAACTAAGTGGCATCTCATTGCAAATGAGTACAATATTTTTGTTTTTACAGATATGCAATATGATGAGGATGATGATGAAATCACCCCGGATTTGTGGCAAGAAGCATGCTGGATTGTAATCAGGTAACTTTGGACCAAACTGAATTAGCCTGAAAAGGCACTTTAGATTTCCTGCTTATTCTTCTTGATAAATAGCTCTTCTATATAAATATGCTACATGAGAGTAGTTATTTTATTTATATATTTAACATTTTAAGTATTTCAGATCTAAAAGTTACACAAAGAATTCATTTAATCATTTTAACCAGATTCCGAAAATGTTACCCTGTACTACATTTCTTTGTCTTTTTCTCTTTTTGTATATATATATTTTTTTCTGAAACATGTGAGAGTAACTTGCAGATCATTTGACCCTGGGAGGTTGAGGTTACAGTGAGCGAAGGTCGCACCGCTGCACTCCAGTCTTGGTGATAGAGTGAGACCCTGTTTCCAAAAAAAAAAAAGAATAACTGCAGACATAAGAACATTCTTTTACATAATCACAATTATGGTGATCTTATTTAATCTATAGACCTTACCCACATTTTGCCAGTTGTCCCACTGGTGTTTATAGCAAAATACAAATTTTTCTGATCCTGGATCCAACCTAGGATCACATATTGCATTTACTTGTCATGGCATGTTCTTTTGTTTCCTTTAATCTGGAACAGTTCCTCAGTGTGTCTGTTCTTTTTTTTACCTTGACATTTTTGAAGAATACGGGCCAGTTACTTTTTAGGATGCCTTTCCGTTTAGGTTTGTCTGATATTTCTCATAATTAGATTCAGATGATTACTTTTGGCAGAAGTGACATAGTCTCAGTGCATCATATCAGGAGGCATGTTTGTTTCATTACTAGTAATGTTAATTTGATTGCTTGGTTTTCTCATTATTTTAAATGGACAAAGTTAAAATTGGTTGTATTTCATTCCAAATTCCCATCCAATTCTAAGTGTAACTAAATGTAATAAAATTACGAGAAGCCTTGTATAGGTAAGAAAAGTAACTTATAAGTGATAAAGTAACATCCTGTAAGGTTAGGATGTTAAAGGCTTATAACTCTTCTCTCTCTTCTCTCATCCCCTGACACCTGTTTTATATACAATAAGATGATGATGGATGCCTCTCTGAGCCCCATCAGCTCCAAGGTGCATGTCCTTTTGGTCAACATTCTCTCTTTTCAAAGAACACATGCTTCCAACATTCTGCCAGTTGTATTCAGAGTATAACTGAATAACCTTTCTTGAACGTTGTTTTGTGAAAGAGATACTGATTTGCCTATAATCCCAGCACTTTGGGATGCTGAGGCAGTCAGATCACTTGAGGTCAGGAGTTGGAGACCAGCCTGGCCAACATAGTGAAGCTCCGTCTTTACTAAAAAATACAAAAATTAGATGGGTGTGGTGGCGCACACCTGTAATCCCAGCTACTTGGGAGGCTGAGGCAGGAGAATCACCTGAAATTGGGAGGCAGAGTTTGCAGTTAGCTGAGATGATGTCACTGCACTCCAGCCTGGGTGGCAGAGTGAGACTCTGTCTCAAAAAAAAAAAGATGTTGATTCAGCATGTTGTCCAGAATCTTACAAAAAAAAGTATTGAAAGCCAGGTGCTGTGGTGTGTGCCTATATAGTCCCAGCTACCTGGGAGGCTGAGGCAGAAGGATCACTTGAGCTCAGGAGTTTGAGTGTTGCCTGGGTAACATAGTGAGACCTTGTCTCTAAAAATAAATAATTAAAAAATATATATTGAGTTTTTGGGATATAAGTATATATTTTTCCATAAGGAGTTGATGGTGAGGATAGGAGCTCTGTTTCTGGTGGCAGGGTTTGGAGAAGGGGCCGGGGCGGCAGTTGCCATGTTTGGTTGCAAAGGTAGCAAGAAGCCCCTGAAACAGCCCAAGAAGCAGGCCAAGGAGATGGACGAGGAAGATACAGCTTTCAAGCAGAAACAAAAAGAGGAGCAGAAAAAGCTTTAAAATAGAAGGCTGTGGGGAAAGGGCCCCTGGCCACAGGTAGAATTAAGAAATTTGACAAAAAGTCTTGGCGAGGTGGCTCGCACCTGCCCGTAATCCCAACACTTTGGGAGGCTGAGGCCGGTGGATGACTTGAGCTCAGGAGTTTGAGACCAGCCTATGCAACATAGCCAGACCCTGTCTATCTCTTTTTTTTTTAAAGAAAGAAAAAAAGAGAAATCTGGCAAAAAGTCAGCTTTTCATTGTGCCTGAGGTGATGGTGACCTTTGATTCCATTTGTATTTAAACATCTGTATTCCCTGCCATAATATCTTTTGCCACCTATAGCTAGAATGAAGCATTGTCCTGGAGCCATTTAAGAGTAAACTTTTGTAAACACAAAAAATAAAACAAATTGGCTGTAGAAGACTAAACTTTACTGAGACAGTTACATCTTCTGTGATGTTTGGGTGTTAAACACCAAGAGATATTTTATTAGGAAACAATAACCAGGTAGATGTTCTGTGGAGTGTGCCTATATTCTACATTCTCCCGGTAGAAAAAATATTTTATCTTAGGTGAAAAGAAGTTGTTTTCAACATATGTGGTAGATTGCTCAAGGATAAAATACTCTATTGTGAACTGTCATAGCATTTATCATTTGTTACAAAATAAATTATTTGATTTTTAAGTTTAAATTGACTGTAGATACTTTGGCTATTGAGAAATGAATTTTGATTTTTTTTTACTTTTTAATATCAAGTGATCTTGTGAATGTGATATTAGTTAATATCACAAGTAACTTCATAAGATGACTTCAGGTAAAATAAACAGAGTAGAGATCATAAATATGAAATATTTATATAGTTTAGGTGTTTAAGCACCATTCTAATGATTTTGGGTAAAGTAGCTATAGTTCAGCTTCCTGGGGTAATGAAACTTATCTATAGTTTAGAAGCTATTCATCTTAAATTGCCTATAAAAAACCATGGCTATGTATATTACAGGCAATGCCATGTTTTTCTTACAATATCAATGGCTAATCCACATGGTTGTGAGAAATTTCTTTCCCATTATGTGACAGTCTCTACTGAAATAAATTGCCCCAACTGTTATTTAGGTCATACCTTACACATGTGTGATTGTCTGCTGTGTTTTCTACCATAGGACCTAACTTCTAATTTTGGTGGCCATACTTGACTGGATCAGGGTGGGGCCAATTTGTTGGCCTGTCACTGATGTGCGAGGTGACCTGATGAAGCCAAAATGGGAGGCTGATGATTAGTTGGACTCTGCATATTGTCTTAGAAAATTGATGTGAAGATGGGGGAGTCAGTAGTTGGGGAGTAGAAGCTAAGAAGGTCTCACAGATATAAGATGACAGAGGTCACAAGATATAGGAGTGGAGACGTGGAGGTGTGGTGGGGCACTTCCTACTGCTGAAGGGTGATGGGATAATCTTGAGGGTTGTGCTACATCCTCCAGCCTCTGTGATGCCCAGCTTTGCAGCTGTCCCTGGATGGTAATAGGGAGTGATCTGTTGAGATCCTCTTGCACGTGTATCTACTTGTCTCTGTATGTCTTTCCCCACCCCTCACCTGAAAAGTATCTGTTCCTTATAAATATGATGTCTGCTTTTTAGATTGCAGCTCTCTCAGCCATGCTGCATTTTTATCACCAGTCTTTTGCTGAGTATTTTTATGTAAAGACTTATTCTTCTTATCCTACCTTTAAGAATTCAAAATAGAACTAATGATCTATAACCTAAAGTTGGCATTCTCATGCATTATTTTAGTCATTAATATCACTACCCTCCGTCCTATTCAAATGAAAGTTCTTATTGTTATCTTTGACTTTTCTTTAGTTTTCTCTCCTGACATATTTGTCAAGAAGTACTTCAAAGAGGTGGAATAAAATTTGTCCATAAAGGGCATAAAGTTTTTTTTTTTCTTTGAGATAGGGTTTCGCTGTCTCCTAGGCTGGAGTGCAATGATGCAATCATGACTCAATGCAGCCTCAAACTCCTGGGCTCAAGTGATCCCCCTACCTCATCCTCTTGAATATGTGGGACTATAGGCACATGCCACCATGCCTGGCTAATTTTTTTCTTATTTGTTGAAATGAGGTCTCATTGCGTTGCCCAGGCTGAACTCAAGCAATCCTCCTGCCTTGGCCTCCCAGGAGCTGGGATCCTTATAGTTCTTATATTGTGCTTTAAGTATTTTACCCCCAAATATAAGCTGCTTTTCCCCAAATAATAAGTTCTACAAAGAAAATATGCCCGGTTTCATCCTTTTTAAGATACCTCATAGTGTCTTGTTTAGTGGTTGACATATAATGGTTGGTATTTTATGACTGTTTCTTGAATAATGAAAATGGGGAAATAATGAAAATGGGGAATTATGCTAGAAATTATCACTGAGTTGCAACTGACTGAACTCAAATATTTTCCCAGTTCCTATTTTGACGAGAAAGGCTTGGTTAGACAACAGCTGGATTCTTTTGATGAGTTTATTCAGATGTCTGTTCAAAGAATTGTGGAAGACGCTCCTCCTATAGACCTACAGGCTGAAGCTCAGCATGCTAGTGGAGAAGTTGAAGAACCGGTAAGATAGTTCTAATAGTTACACAGGTACAAGAAGCGTATTGGTTTGAAATTTTAGCCCTTCTCTTACCTGGCTTAAAGGTTAAAAAAAGTCAGTTGGAGCTTTTAGCAAAGTACTTACAGCACCGTCAATCACTTTCTGATTTATTTTCTCTAATGAAGAGGTGTGTTTTTTTGCAAGTTATCCCATCCTTATTCACATAGTAGGTATTGAATAGCTGGGAAGAGAGGACTCTGAAATATGAACAAATAAGAGAAGTGAGCCAGAGATGGTCACATTGCTTTAGATAGATAACCCCGCTTTTTTCTCTCACAGTGTAAAAATAATAAAAAATGTTTGAAGGAATTTTCATCTGATTTTATATATTGCATGAAGTACATTATTATAACCATATGAGATAAGAAAGGAAAATCACCCAAACATAGCAGCTATCTTTACTAAGTTTCTTGTAGCTTTTGCTCACATATATGCAGGTTTTTTAGCATTGTTAAAATCATACTAAGGGTATAATTTTATAATTTGGTTTTACATGAGTGATTATAAGAAGGATGTAGTCCAAAATAATGACTGTCCCAGTTTTAGAGAAGTTGAGAGGCAGCTGTTGGAACATATTGGACTTTGAGAGACAGGGAAAACTGAGAAACAAAGTGAGGTAGGGAAAGCCCCCAAAATAGAGCTAGACACAGGGAGAGTTCATTGTTTCTAGCCTGATCAGTTTCTCTTCTGTGTAGCTTATCTCCTAAGTGCTGGTCTGTTATTTCCATTTTAGTTGGACATGCTGTACAGAATTTTGCTGTTAAGAATGAAAGTGATTGGCTCTTCTAGGGCTGTGCTGGAAAGGGGGACATTAAGTTTCTTTTTTATTCTTGGGTCATTTTTTTCTTTTTTACAGGGTCTATAGGTGCCCACCACCATGCTTGGCTAATTTTTTTGTATTTTTAGTAGAGATGGTGTTTCACATGTTGGCCAGGCCGATCTCCAACTCCTGACCTCAAGTGATCCACCTGCTTCAGCCTCCCAGAGTGCTGAGATTATAGGCATGAGCCACTGCACCTGGCTTGTTGGGTCATTTTTTCTTCATGGTCTTTGTATAACAAGCCAGATAACAATATAACATAGCAAATTGAACGTGCCAGTAACAGAAGTACTAAAAGAGGAGTAGATCTCTAACACCTAGTTATCAGAGCTTAGTAGAAAAGATGGAAGAGACTTAAATTTACTATGAAGAACTCTCTTAGAAGAGAAAAGGTGCTTAGTCATTTCAGCAAGGAAATATTTGGTGTGGCCGGTGCGATGGCTCATGCCTATAATTTTAGCACTTTGGGAGGCCGAGGCGGGCAGATCACCTGAGCTCAAGAGTTTGAGACCAGCCTGGCCAATATGGTGAAACCCCGTCTCTACTAGTAAAGTACAAAAATTAGCCGGGTGTGGTGCCAGGCACCTGTAGTCCCAGCTACTAGGGAGGCTGAGACAGGAGAATTGCTTGAACGTGGGAGACGGAGGTTGCAGCGAGCTGAGATCACGCCACTGCACTCCAGCCTGGGCGAGAGGTCGAGACTCTGTCTCAAAAAAAAAAAAAAAAAAAAAAAAAAAAGAAAAGAAAATACTTGGTGTATTTAGGCTGGGGACCACAATGATCAGTATGTGATTTTGGCTTATCTATTTTTTTTTTTTTTTTTGAGACAGAGTCTCGCCCTGTTGGCCAGGCTGGAATGCAGTGGCGCGATCTCGGCTCACTGCAGGCTCCGCCTTCCGGGTTCACGCCATTCTCCTGCCTCAGCTTTTTGAGTTGCTGGGACTACAGGCGCCTGCCACCACGCCCGGCTATTATTTTTTTGTATTTTTAGTAGAGACAGGGTTTTGCCGTATTAGCCAGGATGGTCTCGATCTCCTGACCTCATGATCTGCCCTCCTTGGCCTCCCAAAGTGCTGGGATTACAGGGCTTCTCTATTTTTAATAGGCATTAGGAAGATAAGATGGAACCCGATTGTTGAAAGCTTTGAATGTCATTGGATGTTATGAGGAATTACTGAGAGACTGTCAAAGAATATACATAAAGCATTATTTTAGAAAAGTTACTTTGGAAAGTGATGCTTGCTTGGAATAGAAAGAGGCTAGAGGAGGCCAGATGTGGTGGCTCATGCCTGTAATCCCAGCACTTTGGGAGGCCTAGGCAGGCAGATCTCTTGAGGCCAGGAGTTTGAGACCATCCTGGCCAGCTTGGTGAAGCCCCATCTCTACCAAAAAATACAAAAATTAGCCGGGCCTGGTGGTGCGCCTGTAGTCCCAGCTACTTGGGAGGCTGAGGCAGGAGAATCACTTGAACCCAGGAGGTGGAGGCTGCAGTGAGCCGAGATCACGCCACTGCACTCCATCCTGGGTGACAGAGTGAGACCCTGTCTCAAACAAAACAAAACAAAATGAAACAAAACAAAAGAGACTGGAGGAGATAAAAATCTTAGAATAGCCTATGATTAAGATAATAATGACCTAGACTAGATGATGGCACAGATAAGGAGTAGAGGATTGGCTTCCCTTTGGTTCGTTATCACCACCGTTCTCTTTGCCCTTTATCCAGCCCAGCTTGGGAGACTTGAGTGTCAATAATTAATCATTAGTAAAACGTCTGCTTACTCCTGTTTTCTTCTCTGAGACTTGATTTAGAGAAAAGTACACTATCCATTTATCTCTAGAAAGTTGTCCTCATGGATCTTGTTTTATTAGGCAGCAAGTGAATGTTTAATTGAAAAATTTCTTTTTTTTTCTATGAACTAAGCTATATTCCAGCCAGAGTTGGAAATTCTCAGCCCTTTATATAGAATGATTAGGATATTTTGTGTGTTTTTTAAAATAAAAAAATCTTTTTCTTTTGTTAACTCTACTCCTTTGACAGATTAATTTGTATATTTAACTGAAGAGAGGTTTATTTTTTAAAATGTTCTATTGATTAGATTAGAGCATAGTTCTAGTTGTCTGGATTTGTTATCTTTGTTCTCTGGTCACTTTGTATTTTTGATGATGCTTACCAAGGAGAGGGCACAAGAAACTATGTAGATCATTAATGTAAATCCATTTTAACTGTTTCATATAAACTCAGAGCACATGATGTGTACAGTCTTTACTTTTAGTATATTAAGTCTCTTTTTGTCTTCTGCCTTAAGAAAGCAATTAGCAGATCCTTCTGTAGTTGATAAGTGTGTGATGATTGGGTGTGAGATGTGCCTTCCTTAAACCTTGTTACAAACCTTGTTAGCACATTACCTGTCTAATGTGAAAAAAAATTTTTAAGAAAAGAGGAAAAAAGAAAGTGATTTGGTTTAAAACTTAACGTCTATGCAATATGGATATTGACTTTGGGAAGTCCCCATTTCAGTAAAATGGATTAATTTTGCCAGTTTGTAGAGTTGCTTGTACTTAAAATGTTAATGTCAATTAAAATGGAATCACTAAAACTTTTATGGAAAAAATTATTTACCCTTTTCATGTTTTTTTGTTTAATTTCAGCCACGATATTTGCTGAAGTTTGAACAAATTTATCTTTCCAAGCCTACCCATTGGGAAAGAGATGGTGCTCCTTCACCAATGATGCCCAATGAAGCTAGATTAAGGAATCTCACGTAAGAAAGAATTTTTCCTTGTCAGCAGTAGATACTGAAATAGAATTTTGAAAATGTAATTTTAACCACTTGAGGATTTGTTTTAACAGATACCCTATTGCTTAACTGTGATCTACTTTTATTTTCAAAGGTATTCTGCTCCGCTTTATGTTGATATAACAAAAACAGTCATTAAAGAAGGTGAAGAACAACTTCAGACTCAGCATCAGAAAACTTTTATAGGAAAAATTCCAATTATGTTGCGGTCAACTTACTGCCTTTTGAATGGCTTGACAGATCGTGATCTTTGTGAGTTAAATGAATGCCCTTTGGATCCTGGTGGCTATTTCATTATTAATGGATCAGAAAAGGTATAGTAACATTATTTTAAAAAATTACAAAATGGTAGTTAAAATTTAGTTTAAAGTTGAAATGAAAAAAAAAAAAAAAAGAAAGAAAGATTTTCCTGCAGGATAACCTGGCACTGACAGTTGACTTGTTTAGGGTATGACAGCTAAACTTATATAAACCAAAGCTTTATTTAGCTGTATATAACATGCACTGGGAATTTGGTCAGTTTTGGAGTTTATGTATTTCTATGAAGCATTTATGCAAAATGGAGTTTGTAAAGTTGAAGAATTAAATATTTCAGTGAGCCTATATGGTCAGATTAAATTAAGATGCAGATTTTACTCTCTTTTCTCTTCAGTGATGTTTTGGATTTTATGGCTGTAACTTTCTTATTGTCCAAATAGGTTCTGATTGCCCAAGAGAAAATGGCAACAAACACAGTTTATGTGTTTGCCAAAAAGGATTCTAAATATGCCTACACAGGAGAGTGTAGATCATGTCTTGAGAATTCTTCCCGACCCACCAGTACTATATGGGTTAGCATGCTGGCAAGAGGAGGACAGGTATGGACTGGATATGATGCTATTTGGGTTTATTCCTTTGTGCTTTGTTTTAAAATTTACTAGACTGCCTTCTTTGTCCATAGAAGCTTTTCTGGAGCATATTGTTGTTATATATCGTATTGTTTACCTATCGCTGTGTAACAAATTACTCCTCTAGCAACATTTATCATCTCACGGCTTCTGTGAGTCAGGAATCTGGGTGTAGCTTAGCTGGGTCTTTTGGCCAAGCAACTCTCACAAGGCTGCAATCAGATGTTTCCCTGGGCTGCCGTAATCTCAAGAGTCATTCCCATGGTTGTCTGCAGGATTTAGTTCTTCATTGGCTGTTGGACTGAGTCCCAGGTCTTTGCTCGCTGTTGGCTGGAAGCCTTTCTTTGTTCCTTGCCATGTGGGCCTCTGCGTATAGCAGCTGACAGCAGCATAGCAGCTTGCTTCTTCAGAGAGAGTAAGCAAAAAGAGCCATAGAGAGTACGAGCAAGGTGGAAATCAGTCTTTTATAACTTAAAAGTGGTAGCAACATCCTGTCATTTTTGCCATGTTCTTTTTGTTGGTTGCAAGTCAGTATGTCCAGCTCACACTAAAGAGGGTATTACAAGGGCAATAGTAGGAGGCAGGAATCATTGGGTACCAGCTTAGAAGCTGCAGACCACTGGTATAGTTATAAGCATAGGTTGCTTATAATAATGGAACCTGGTAGTAGCTAGCAGTTCTTAAATATTTGCTGTATGCCAATTCTGTTACTCAGATTGCTTGATTTAATTTTTACAGCTATCTTGGAAAACCTCTATTTCAGTTCATGTGTGTGTGTGTGTGTGTGTGTGTGTGTGTGTATGTATATGTGTGTGTGTGTGTGTATATATATATATATATTTTTTTTTTTTTTTTTTTTTGAGACGGAGTCTTGCCCTGTCACCAGGCTGCAGTGCAGTGGCATGATCTCGGCTCAGTGCAAGCTCCGCCTCCTGGGTTCACGCCATTCTCCTGCCTCAGCCTCCCGAGTAGCTGGGACTACAGGCGCCCGCCACCGCGCCCGGCTAATTTTTTTTTTGTATTTTTAGTAGAGATGGGGTTTCACCGTGTTAGCCAGGATGGTCTCGATCTCCTGACCTCGTGATCCGCCCGCCTCGGCCTCCAAAAGTGCTGGGATTACAGGCGTGAGCCACTGTGCCCGGCCTTCAATTTTATTTAATAATTATGCATGTGTGGGATGCAATGTGATATTTTGATACGTGTATACAATGTGTAATGATCAAATTAGGGTACTTAGCATACCTGTCACCTCAAGAATGTTTTTCATAATATTTTATTTGTAAGATAAGCATTCTTCCCATGTGCACAACATTGCTGGGTATTGTTAAGAGATCATGAAAACACACAATCCTTATTGAGAAGGTGGCCAGGTGTGGTGGCTCATGCCTGTAATCCCAGCACTTTGGGAGGCTGAGGTGGGTGGATTGCTTGAGCCCGGGATGTGAGACCAGCCTGGGCAACATGGCAAAACACTTTCTCTAGCAAAACAACAACAACAAAAACCCAAAAATTAGCTGGATGTGGTGGCAGGCACCTGTAGTCCCGGTTACTCGGGAAGCTGAGGTGGGAAGATGGCTTGAGTGCTGAGGTTGCAGTGAGCCCAGATTGGCGCCACTGCACACCAGCGTGGGTGACAGAGCCAGAGCCTGTTCCAAAAAGAAAAAAAGAGAAAAAAAAGAATGGTTTTATTGGGAATACAAGCTTTAGACATTAAATGGTAGTAACACAGTGCAGAGGCCAAATGACACCTATTACATATAACAGTTTTATAGAAATTTGGAGGAGAATGAGGTTACTAGTATGGTGTGGTCCATGCAAAGTTTTTTTTTTTTTTTCTGAGACAGGGTCTCATTCTGTTGCCTAGGCTGGAGCGTAGTGGCGCGATCTGGGCTCACTGCAACCACCACCTCCTGGCCCAAGCGATTCTCGTACTTCAGCCTCCGAAGTAGTTAGATTATAGGCATGCTCCACCACACCTGGCTAATTTTTGTATTTTTTGTAGAGACAGGGTTTCACTATGTTGCCTAGGCTGGTCTCGAACTCCTGAGCTCAAGTGACCTGCCTGCCTTGGCCTTCCAAAGTGCTGGCATGAGCCACCGCCCCTGACCAGTTCATGAAACTTAATAGAGAAGATGGGACTTGACTTACACTTTGAAAGATGGTATGGATTTATATAAGCAGAGAGAAACTGGAAGGACATTCTTATTAGAGGAGAGTGGGGATGAGTATTTGGAGAATCACTGGAAGATAGCTCTAATTGAGCTGGATGAAGTATGTTGAATAGTGAGTGACAAGTAGATGATCAGGGTGGATCTGGATTAGTGGATCTTAACTAAAGGTTCACCTCAATAACCTAAGACTCTTCCAAGTACAAAAGGGGCCCATTTCCAAATCTGCTGACTCAATAGTGAGAATGGGAGTGGAATGGGGCCCAGGTACAAGTATTTGAAAGAGGTCCCCAGGTGATTGTGATGTGCATTCTTTGTCGAGAGGCATCGGCCTGGATGACAGAGGGCAAAGACATAAACAGTATATTAGGGAGACTATCATGGCAACTCTGAACAAAATGAATTAATTAGAGACAGAGAAAGGAAAATGATCTGGATTTGATGATAGGTTTGATAAGATAAAAGGATGAGTCAATTAAGATACTATGATTTGTATTCTGAGGTTCCAGGAGAGCGGTGAACTTCGAGTAACTGATTTAGGAGAGAACATAATAAGTTCAGTTTTAGATAAGATTTTTGGGGAGTGCATGTTGTAGACATTTTTTTTCTTTAAATTTTTTTTTTTTTTTTGGAGACTAAGTCTGGAGTGGCTCTATCCCAGCTCACTGCAACATCTGCCTCCTGGGTTCAAGTGATTCTCCTGCCTCAGCCTCCTGAGTAGCTGGGATTACAGGCGTGTGCCACCATGCCCAGCTAATTTTGTATATTTAGTAGAGACAGGGTTTCACCATGTTAGCCAGGCTGATCTCGAACTCCCAACCTCTGGTGATCCACCCGCCTTGGCCTCCCAGAGTGCTGGGATTACAGGCATGTGAGCCACTGTGCCCGGCCTGTGAGCCACCGTGCCCAGCCTAAAATTTTAAAAATATTTATAGAGATGAGGTCCCACTATGTTGCCCAGGTTGGTCTTGAAATGCTGGGCTCAAGCAATCCTCCCGCCTTGGCCTCCCAAAGTGCCGGGATTACAGGCATGAGCCACTGTGCCCAGCTGTATTATTTTTTAATGTTCTGCTTGTTCTGGGATAAGATCCATGATGAAACAAATAATAGACTAAATGGAATAATTGATGTCCAGGTGGAAACAACCAATTGGCATTTGGAGATATGGGGGCTGAGGGTACAAGAAAAAGATCAAGATAAACATTTGGGTGTCATATATGAAAAGTTGTTACTGAACAAGTCCATGAGAGGAGTTCTGAAGCAGGAGGCCTGTGGTGGGAGGAGGAAGATGACAGAAGTTATTAGAGGGATTATAGTAATGTAGGGTTATGAGGCCAAGGGAAGATAGAGTGAAATTAATATTGAAGCAAACAAATATGATTAAAACTGAGAAGTCAGGTATGTCATAGGTTAGTAACTTTTAATTTGTCTTTGTATATGCGTACAATTAAAGAGGGAGAAATTGGAAAAAAGAAGCTGTGTGAAAGGGGCTGTTAGTTTTGAAACACTGAGACAAGGAAATGCCTCACAGACCAGCTCTGATTTAATATTTATTTTTTATTGTGTGCTTAGCTTTTTTCCGTATTTGTCTATCTGTATTGTCTCTTTTTTTTTTTTTTTTTACCTCTCTTCTATTTCTTTCTTCCAGAGGTTTAATTTTTTGGAGGGGGGATAGGTTGGGGAGGGTGAGGAATCAGTATTCATATTTTTTTGCAGCCAAAAGTGATTTCCAAATACAGTATTGGGTAATTCTGAGAGAATCTTGGCATGCAGATAGGAGAGAATGGAAGTTGTCTCAGGTCTAAGTGACCTGAGCCTGTATGTAAAATTAGTATACTTGTTTCGGTGGTTTTGAAAAGCAGTCATAGGAGGTTCCTCACAGTATTGGGAGGCGTGCTTCTTTTGAAATGTGCACAAAGAATATATATATATTAAATAGTTCTCTTGGTGTTTTTATATTGCTGTGAGCTTTTGTATATTCATGTTCTAATGATACTTTATTTTTCTAGGGTGCCAAGAAGAGTGCTATTGGTCAGCGCATTGTGGCAACTCTACCATATATCAAGCAAGAAGTTCCCATCATTATTGTGTTCAGAGCATTAGGTTTTGTGTCCGACAGAGATATTTTAGAACATATTATTTATGATTTTGAAGATCCAGAGATGATGGAAATGGTAATGTGAAAGCAAAATGTATTCACAGAGCTTTATAAGAGATTTAGAGTTACTGATTGTTGCTAACCTTAAAACATAGTAGAAAGCTGTTCTGAAGAGTAATTTAGCTGTCACAAATCTTATGCCATTTACTGTGTAGTGAAAGCTTTCAGCCCTGCCTGGGTCTCTTTTCTGACAGTTTGTTGTAAAATAGACATGAAAACCAGAGGCAGCTGGAGTTAATGACAGCAGCAAGAAGAAACATTGGTAAGGAAGCTCGCAGAAGCACACCAGCTTGGTGCAATTTAGTAAAAAGGGAAAATGAGTAGTTGATACCTGTTGTTTAACTTTTTATTTTGAAATAATTTCAGACTTACAGAAAAGTTACAAAAAGGCCAGTCATGGTGATTCACGCCTATAATCTCAGCACTTTGGGAGGCCAGGGCGGGAGGATCACTTGAGTCCACAAGACCAGTCTGGGCAACACAGGGAGACCTGTCTCTACAAAAAATGCAAAAGGTTAACCAGGCATGGTGGCATGTTCCTGTAGTCCCAGCTACTGCGGAGGCTGAGTTGGGAAGATCGCTTGAGCCCAGGAGGTGGAGGCTGCAGTGAACCCTAATCATGCCTCCCCACTCCAGCCTGGGTGACAGAGTAAGACCTTGTCTCAAAATAAGAAAAGTTGCAAGAATAATATATAAAAGTCTTATATGCTCTTCACCCAAATTCAACAGTTGTTACTTTTGTCACATTTGCTTTATCATTCATTCTTTCTATATATAACACATTTTTTTTCTGGACCATCGGAGAGTAAGTTATAGCCAATAGCCTCTTACTCCTAAAGACTTCAGTGTATATTTCCTAAGAATCAGTACATTCACTTAAATAATCGTAGTATAATCATTTAAATTAGAACATTTTACTTAGATACAATACTGTTTTTTTTGGGGGGGAGGATAGAGTCTCACTCCGTTGCCTAGGCTGGAGTGCAGTGGCACGATCTCGGCTCACCACAACCTCCGTCTCCCAGGTTCAAGTGATTCTCCTGCCTCAGCCTCCCAAGTAATTGGGACTACAGGCACGTGCCACCACGCCCAGCTAATTTTTGTATTTTTAGTAGAGACGGGGTTTCACTGTGTTGGCCAGGCTGGTCTCAAACCCCTGACCTCAGGTGATCTGCCCACCTCGGCCTCCCAAAGTGATAGGATTACAACAATACTGTTAATGTACAGATCTGACTCAGATTTTTGTCAGTTGTCCTGATAATATTGAAAACTATTAAGTAATAAGATCTGTACATTAATAGTATATAGTAATTCAAGTTTAATCTCTTTTATAGTTCAGAGTTCAATTCAGAATAACGCATTGCATTTTGATTATATGTCTTTTTAGTCTTTTACAATCCTTCCTTGGCCTTATTTTTTTTGGAGACAAGGTCGCGCTTTGTCGCCCAGGCTGGAGTGCAGTGGCACAATCTCAGCTCTGCCTCCTGGGTTCAAGCGATTCTCCTGCCTCAGCCTTGTGAGTAGCTGGGATTACAGGCACGTGCCACCACACCTGGCTAATTTTTGTAGTTTTAGTAGAGACAGGGTTTCACTGTGTTGGCCAAACTGGTCACAAACTCCTGATCTCAAGTGAGGGGCAGCCTGCGTAGGCCTCCCAAGTGCTGGGATTACAGGCATGAGCCAGCGTGCCTGGCCTCCTCGGCCTTTCTTTGTCTTTCATAACAAAGTATATAGAGGACAGGCCATTTATTTTGTAGAATTGTCCTCAGTTGTGTTTTTCACATATTTCCCCATGATTAGATTCAATTTATGCACTTTTTTGGCAGAAAAAATACTTAAGTAATATTATATGCTTCCCAGGGCATCTCAACAAGAGTCATGTGATGTCATTTTGCCCCATTAATGGTACTGTTAACTTTGATCGCTTCACAGTGGTGTCTGTTAGGTACCTCCACTGTAAGGTTACTATTTTTGTGGGAACCTTTTATGGGAAGGATTTTTGAGGTTAAATGTCCAGTTCCTTATAAATTTTTTCCATTGATGCTCCTTATCTGAACAGTAAATGATATTCTTAAAATTGTCTTAAATTGTCCAGAGCGCTTAAGACTACAGAGAAATCTTTGTCACAGATTTTGCAGGCTAAATCTTTGTCACAAAGTTAGAACAGGGAGTATATTTTAGTTATTTGAATATTTGTTGGTGTGGTTACATGAGAAAATTGGGTTCTGGTTAGATTTTACTTTCAGATTTTGCCAGTAGTTACATACCTTATTATTATTTGAGAAAGGGTCTCGCTCTGTCACCCAGGCTGGAGTGCAGTGGTGAAATTACAGCTCACTGCAACCTCGACTTCCCGGGCACCAGTAATTCTCCCACCTCAGCCTCCTGAGTAGCTGGGACCACAGGTGTGCACAATCATGCCTGGCTAATTTTTTGTATTTTTGGTAGAGATGGAGTTTTGCCGTGTTGCCCAGGCTGATCTTAAACTCCTGAGCTCAAGTGGTTCACCATCCTCGGGCTCCTGAAGTGCTGGGATTACAGGCGTGAACCACCGTGTCCAGGCCCGACCTGGAGTTTTCGTAGTAAAGTGAAAAATATGATATGCTTTATGTATGTTGTCTTTTTGAGTATTACTGTTGGTTTTTTCAGCACTTAGGAAGCTTAAGCCAATTTTTACAAGTCTCTGAGTCAAGCATTCACTTCATAAAACTGCTTTATTTTTTTTCTTCCAAAAGTACATTATTGTTATTCCTTTTTTCTAATCTATATTTTAACAAAATCATTTTTTTTAAACAACAGTGGCAGTTTCCTTTGAAAAATATCACTTTGATTTACTGTACTATCTGTGACCTCACTTTGGTTGACATGGCCTTTTTCTGATCTTTGTTTCCATGATTGGAATTTTGATGTTTAAACTTGTGGAATGGTCCTCGCTTCTGTAGCACATATACTAATACTGGAACAATATGTAGGTTAGCATGTCTCTGTGTAAGGATGAGACACAAATGAGAAGGGTTCCATATTTTTGTTTGACCCCTGGGTCCTCCCCCTTTCTTTAAAAAAAAAAACCAAACAAACAAATTTGTGGACCAGTGATAAAAAGACATAGGAAATCAAGGGCAAGAAAGGCATTTCAGTGTCTGGGATAAGATCAGAGGGCACTTACAGAGGCCAGAGTTGTCAAATGTTACCCTTCATTTCTCATGCTCATTATCGTGTATAGTTGGAAATTTAGAATATGAGAACTGGTATGGAACTTAGAAATTATTTTATATAACCCTTTTGTAGATGAGGAAATCCATTACATGCCTTCTGAGAGGCCACAGATAGTGGCAGGAATGGGAGGCAGGTCTCTTTCACAGTGTGTTTTTAAAATAACCTTTGGGCTGGGTGCGGTGGCTCACGCCTGTAATCCCAGCACTTTGGGAGGCTGAGGCGGGCAGATCACGAGGTCAGGAGATCGAGACCATCCTGGCCAACGTAGTGAAACCCTGTGTCTACTAAAAATACAAAAATTAGCTGGGCATGGTGGTGTGCGCCTGTTGTCCCAGCTACTCAGGAGGCTGAGGCAGGAGAATCGCTTGAACCTGGGAGGCGGAGGTTGCAGTGAGCCAAGATCACGTCACTGCACTCCAGCCTGTGTGACAGAGCAAGACTGTCTCAAAAAAAATAAAATAACTTTTGGGCTGGCATGGTGGCTCACGCCTGTAATCCCAGCACTTTGGGAGGAGGATTGCTTGATCCCAGAAGTTTGAGACTGGCCTGGGCAACATAATGAGACCCCTGTGTCTGTAGAAAAGAAATAGAATGGGTGCAGTGGCTCATGCCTGTAATCCTAGCACTTTGGAAGGCCTACATGGGTAGATCGTTTGAGGCCAGGAGTTTGAGACCAGCTTGGGAAACTCTGTCTCTACAAAAAAAAGAAAAATTAGCTGGGTGTGGTAGTGCATGCCTGTAATCCCAGCTACTCTGGAGGCTGAGGCACGAGAATCACTGGAACCCAGGAGGCAGATGTTGTAGTAAGCCAAGATGGTGCCATTGCACTCCAGCCTGGGTGACAAAGGGAGACTGACTGTGTCTCTTAAAAAAAAAAAGAAAAAGAAGAAGAAGAAATAGTTGGGTGTGGTGGTGTTGTCTGTACTCCTCCTAGCTACCACTGCATTCCAGCCAGGGCGACAGAGTGAGACCCTGTCTCAAAAAATAAAATAAATAACTGTCTCCTTTGTAAAATATTAGGTTTAATTTAAATTAAATCTTTTTTTTTTTTTTTTTTTTTTTTGAGATGAAGTCTCACTCTGTTACCCAAGATGGAGTGCAGTGTCATGATCTTGGCTCACTGCAACCTCCACCTCCCAGGTTCAAGCAATTCTCCTGCCTCAGCCTCCCAAGTAGCTGGGACTGCAGGCACACGCAACCATGCCCGGCTAATTTTTGTAATTTTAGTAGAGACGGGGTTTCACTGTGTTGGCCAGGCTGGTCTTCACTACGTTGGCCAGGCTGGCCTTGAACTCCTGACCTTGTGATCTGCCCGCCTTGGCCTCCCAAAGTGCTGGGATTATAGGCATGAGCCTCCATTCCCAGCAAATCTTTTTTTTTTTTTTTTTTTACATCCAGGGTACACGCTGGATAAAAATTTATTTTTCTTTTGTAGATTTAGGTTCTCACTTTCTTTCCCTGGGTGGTCTTGAACTCCTGGACTCAAGCCATCCTCCTGTTTTGGCCTTCCAAAATGCTAGGATTATAGGAGTAAGCCCCACCCCACGCAGGCCAAACATTTTTTAATACCAAAACTGAAAACAATCTGGCACATTAACCATTTGTAGTTCAGTAAATTTTAATTTGACTATGAAATTTCTGTAAATTGATTTTAGATATCTGGAACTTTATTTTTCCATTGGTAAAATGTAAAAAAGAAACGCACCACTCTTTTTCCTTTTGAGACGGTGTCTCACTCTGTCACCCAGGCTGGAGTGCAATGGCACCATCTTGGCTCACTGCATCCTCTGCCTCCCGGGTTCAAGCGATTCTCTCACTTTAGCCTCCCAAGTCGCTGGGACTACAGGCATGTGCCACTGCGGCAGCTGATTTTTGTATTTTTAGTAGAGATGGGGGTTTCGCCATGTTGCCTAGACTAGTTGCAAACTCCTGGACTTAAGCTATCCACCTACCTCAGCCTCTTAAAGTGCTGGGATTACAGGCATGAGCCACTGCTCCTGGCCATGCACTACTCTTTTTATAATGGAATTATTTGTATCTTTCTAGAAAGGTAATTGCCTGTGCTGATGAGTGGTTTTTGTCAGAGATCGCTAGATCTCTGAGGTATCTTCTAAGAGTTTGTGATTCCTTGATTTTCTAAAAATACTCACATATTTTATTATGTTCATAGGGGTACTTGGCATGTTATAAACTAAGTGACAGTTTACTCATTTTAAGGTAGCAACATGAATTTGAAAATAACTTTTATTTAAATTGTCTGATAGGTTAAACCTTCTCTCGATGAAGCTTTTGTCATCCAAGAACAGAATGTTGCACTAAATTTCATTGGTTCAAGAGGAGCAAAGCCTGGTGTTACTAAAGAGAAAAGAATTAAATATGCAAAGGAAGTTTTACAAAAAGAAATGCTCCCTCATGTTGGTGTCAGTGATTTTTGTGAGACCAAAAAAGCCTATTTCTTGGGGTATGTTAAGTTTCATTGTTTTAAGTTCTTTATCAAGATACAGTTGAGATAAAGGTTTTTCTTAGAGTCAAAAATGATGTTTTTAACATATAAATCAAAAAAAAGTCCAAAACTAAGTGTTTTCCCTCTTTCTTTCTTTCTTTTTTTTTTTTTAAAGATACATGGTTCATAGGTTACTTCTGGCAGCTTTGGGTAGAAGAGAACTAGATGACAGAGATCACTATGGAAACAAGAGATTGGATCTTGCTGGGCCGCTGCTTGCATTCTTATTTAGAGGGTAAGGAATTACAGAATGAAGTCATTAAAGCAGGGAGATTTATTTCACTTTAGATTGATCATTGCATATGGCCAGGCTAAACTGTGTTGGCATCCACGTTGGGTACTTATGAAATTAGCTACATTCTTATTGCTATTTGCTCAGATTTAGTTTTGGTTCATGTCTAGGAAAGCCAGGTTTATGAGGACAATATATTACGTGTTTATATATTTTCTTTATTCCTCTGGTAGCTTTGTAAGATGTTTGAGAAAGCTGAATTATTGCCTTGGTTTTCCTAAGGGCTAATATTGGATTTTGTCCTGCTTTGTACACATATATACAAAAGCTGGAGATAAATATATAAAAATACTGTCAGTGATTGTCTCACAGTATTGGTATTATGTGCAGTTTTTAATTTTATTCTTGATGTTTGTATATTTCCCATATTTTCTATAATTGGAAAAAAGTTATTTTTAAAAATGAAATATGTAGACAGTACAAAAAGGATAACATTAGCATTGTCTTGCACGTGTTTTGTTATTTAGTATGTTATAGATTAGTGTTTTTCAACCTTTTTTTGATATTGCCCCACTAAGGAGCCTCTTTTAACATTTTTGTTTATTGAGATGGAATTTCACTCTTGTTGCCCAGGCTGGAGTGCAATGGTGCCATCTCGGCTCACTGCAACCTCTGCCTCCAGGGTTCAAGCGGTTCTCCTATCTCAGCCTCCCAAGTAGCTGGGACTACAGGCGTGTGCCATCACACCCAGCTAATTTTTCTGTTTTTAGTAGAGACGGTGTTTCTCCATATTGGCCAGGCTGGTCTCAAACTCCTGACCTCAGGTGATCTGCCCACATCAGCTTCCCAAAGTGCTGGGATTACAGATGTGAGCCACCATGCCCCACCTCTTTGACATTTTTGTGTAGTTGCTCCCCTGCCATGTATGTTCACGTACTATACATATATCTGTGCTTTAGACATAAAAGAGCAACAACTTTCACTCTGCCCAAACAATTTTTGCTCACCTTCCCCACGCTTTTTTTTGCAATATTCCTCCTGTTGAGAATATATGTTGTAGACCTCTACATGTTTAAAATAATACCATTTTATTCGGCAGTATGTTTAAGAATTTGCTTAAAGAAGTGCGGATCTATGCACAGAAATTTATTGATCGAGGAAAGGATTTTAACTTGGAGTTGGCAATTAAAACACGGATCATATCTGATGGCCTAAAATACTCTTTAGCTACTGGAAACTGGGGTGATCAAAAGAAAGCTCATCAAGCCAGAGCTGGAGTATCTCAGGTAAGTGTGCCAACTATGACTACAGGCTCAATAGGAAACATGTTTATAGGACTAGTAGATTCTTTTGTTTGTTGAATATAAATTATTTTGCTTTTCTTTCTTGGTCAAAGGTAAAACTACTGGGTGCCGGGTGTGGTGGCTCACACCTGTAATCCCAGCACTTTGGGAGGCCGAGGTGGGCTGGATCACCTGAGGTCAGGAGTTTGAGACCAACCTGGCCAACATGGCGAAACCCCATCTCTATTAAAGATACAAAAATTAGCTGGGCATGGTGGTGGGTGTCTGTAATCCCAGCTACTCTACTTGGGAGGCTGAGGCAGGAGAATCGCTTGTACCTGGGAGGTGGAGGTTGCAGTGAGCTGAGATCATGCCACTGCACTCCAGCCTGGGCAAAAAGAGTGAGACTCCGTCTCAAAAAACAAAAAAAAAAACTTACTGGGGACTTTTGAATTATGAACATGAAATTTTCTTAAATTAGCTATTAGTATTACTAAGATAGATTTTTGGCTTGCAGTTTAGAAACTCAAAGTAATTAAAAAATTAGAGTAGCTGCTTAGTGGGTGAGACAGTCCATGTTAGTGAAATTTTTATGTCTTAAAAGCTCCACATTAGAAGCCAACTAAGAGATAAAAATGGTCATCGCCCTCCTTTGTTGGAAAATACAGTACTTCTGACACTGGTTTCTATATGTTGGTCTGTTGCATATATAATGACTGCAGTAGCTATTCTCAGATGGAGTAATGGAGAAAAGCTTTTTAAAGAGTGTATCACTGGGCATTTTAATTTTTTGTATTTGCTTTTCATAGATGATTGAAAACCTGTAATGTACTTTATGCCATTTTTAGGGGGATCTCCCCCTCCTTTCCTTGTTTAAACTGGCCTATACCAGTATCACCTGATTGATTTGGCATTCGGACACCAATTTCAAGCTCCTTTTTCCTAGAAATCTGGATGCTGTAAGAAATTTTGAGGGGCTACTGATAGCAAAGTTAATATTTAAATTCCTTGTAATTCAGTAAGGATTTATTGGGTATATTTGATATTTGTGATACTGAGTTCACACACATGAATGAGATGCTGATCTCAGCCCTCAGGGAGCTCATCAGCATCTAGCAGAGGAAACAGATTCATTCATGTGTAGCTCACTATGCCCTGTGCTGTGTTATGACAAATGCCACATTGCAAATTCAGTTCAAGGAATTGGTTTTTTTTTTTTTTTTGAGACAGAGTCTTGCTGTCTTGCCCAGGCTGGAGTACAGTGGCAATCTCCGCTCACTGCAAGCTCTGCCTTCTGGGTTTACACCATTCTCCTGCCTCAGCCTCCCGAGTAGCTGGGACTACAGGCGCCCGCCACCACGCCTGGCTAATTTTTTGTATTTTTAGTAGAGACGGGGTTTTGCCGTGTTAGCCAGGATGGTCTCGATCTCCTGACATCGTGATCTGCCCGCCTCGGCCTCCCGAAGTGCTGGGATCACAGGTGTGAGCCACCGTGCCTGGCCCAGTTCAAGGAATTGTTATTGGGACCTGTGATGTGCCAGGCACTCTGCCACATGCTGGAGATGCAGTGATCCTGATCTTCAGTAGTTGACAGTCTATGCTTGTAGATGTAAACAGATAATTACAGCATGGCATGGTAACTGTTATAATAAGAGATGTGCACTGCTGCTCTGTGGAAATGCTGGAGAAAGATACTTAGCACAGCCTGAGAAGGTGAAAAGAAGTCCTTGTTTAGGAGGTAACACCTGAACTGAATCTTGAAGAGTACTTGGAAAACGCCCAAGTTGCGAGGTAGGTAGAACCAGCAGCTCATAAGAGAGCTTAGAGAACTTCTTAATATTCTGAATTAAAAGAGATGGAGGCAGGAAGGAATGTGTGTCTGTCGGGGGAGCTAGAGCAGTTCTGGGTTTTCAAATCAAAGTGGAGGCTTAGGAGGATGGGAACCAGCTCATGAAGAGGAGTGACGTGGTCATTTTTGTTCTTTTGGACAGATTCACAGTAATTGGCAATGTGGAGAAAAGAGAAGGGCAAGTTTGGTGGCAGGAAGATTGTTGCAACAGCCTGGGGTGAGAAGTAATTAGGGACTGGACTAGAGCAGTTTTGTAGAGATGGAGAGTAAATTTTGGAAATATTTAGGAAGTAAGTTTCGTAAGACTTTGTGATTGATTAGTAGAATGGTTGAAAACTCCAATGAGTACAGAAAAGAGAATAGTTCTTCCTGGTGGTGTGTCAGATGGCTTTGTAGAGGTGGTATCATTTCACCAGGCAGAGCAGAGTGGAGAAGTGTATTTCATTCTGTGGCAATAGCATGGTCAAAGGCTTGGAGGTGAGGGTGTATGGTGATGTCAGTGGAGTACAGGAGTGTAAGGAGACTGGTAGGGGAAGGTTGTTTTTGGGGCTTCATTGAGGAGGACTTTAATGTTGTGCTCTTCTGTAGCCAGTGGCTACCTGTTTAATTTTTAAGTGGGTAAGTGTTAATAATTCTGGCAAGTGAAGAGGGTAGATTGGAGGGAACCAGGCAGGGACTTATGAGCTGATGGACGTAGTATAGGTGAGGGGAAATGGGCTGGTCTATTACTGTGACATTGGGAAGGGAGGGGCTAGGTTTTTTAGAATATTTGAAAATAGAATTGATAGGGTATGTTTATAGATGGGTAGAAGGAGGAACTTGGAGACAAAAATGATTTTGAGATTTCCAGATTGAGAGAAAGGTGATGCTGCTTATCCACGACAGAAGACTTAGGAAAGAGGAAGAAAGTTTGAATTGTTTAAGGACTGGGGGAAGATGGAGATTTATAAATAATTAATAATATAGAGCTTGAGTTGTCTGCTTTATATTGCCCTAAATATTATCTTATTTATAAATAAAATCTTGCTTAGTATCCTGTAAGTATTAGTAATGGATGTTTGCATTTTTCTATTAGATTCAGAGGCCTCAGTCTGGAAAAAGTACTGAGATGGATTAGTGATGTCTGCTATGATCAGAGGAGTGTGAGTTGGTAGAATTTAACTTAACACTTACTGAGTACTTAATGAATGCCAAGTACTGTTCTAGGTGCTGGGATACAACAGAGAATAAAACAATTTTAAAAAATTCCCTGCCTTCATGAAACTAATGTCCTAGTGTTTGTTTGGAGACCATAAACAGAATGTTTATGTGGTATGTTTGAATATATTTGCCATCCCTGCTGCAAGTGGCAGGTAAGTTAAAGTGTCAAACAACATTATTCAGGGAAAGAATAGAGAAATGGGGAACAGTTTGATACTCAGTAGATTATATGTAAAAATATGACTTTGCCTCAGTGTAATAGTATGAATCACAGAAATGTCCAGACTTTAAAGATTGGCTATTTTTTTCTAGGTGTTAAACCGCCTGACTTTTGCGTCTACTCTTTCTCACCTGCGTCGTTTAAATTCTCCTATTGGTAGAGACGGCAAGCTAGCAAAACCAAGACAGTTGCATAATACGTTGTGGGGAATGGTGTGTCCTGCCGAGACCCCAGAGGTAATACATTAGAATTTACATTCAGGACAAAAAGTCAGTGGGTAATTATGTAGGGCATAATTACTTTTAGAAATAGATGTTTGAAAAATTATGCAGAGTGGTTTAGAAATAAGTTTTTTTTATAATTGTATTCTTAGAAAGTAAGAATAAATCTTGAAATCACATTGAAGGAAAAATGTTTATGGAAAAGAAGTTTGATAGGCATGTAAAATCAGAATGACTAATACTTGGTTTATTTTTTAGGGCCATGCTGTAGGACTTGTGAAGAATTTAGCCTTGATGGCGTATATTTCAGTTGGATCTCAACCATCTCCAATTCTGGAATTTTTAGAAGAATGGAGTATGGAAAATTTAGAAGAAATTTCTCCTGCAGCTATTGCTGAGTGTGTATAGATGGAATTAGTTTTTTAAACTATAGTTAATCTTTAGTTGTTGCTTAGTATAGAATTGTTAAGTGTAAAATGCTTTTGCTTTTTCATTGTAGTGCAACCAAGATTTTTGTTAATGGCTGCTGGGTTGGAATACATAAAGATCCCGAACAACTTATGAACACCCTAAGGAAATTGAGACGTCAGATGGACATCATTGTGTCTGAAGTAAGAATCTTTAGTTAAGAGGGTGTGGACTGTGAGATTTTTAAACAAGGCATAGGACTAGTGAAAGTTATCTTTGCATTGGCATCTTTTCTTTGAACTTTATTCCCTTGAACTGTAAAGTGTAAATTTAATTATAAGTTATTGCTAGGCCGGGTGCAGTGGCTCATGCCTGTAATCCCAGCACTTTGGGAGGCCGAGGCGCAGATCACCTGAGGTCAGGAGTTCAAGCGCAGCCTGGCCAATATGGCGAAACCCCATCTCTACTAAAAATACAACAATTAGCCAGGCACGGTGGCATGGGCCTGTAATCGCAGCTACTCGGGAGGCTGAGACAGGAGAATCACTTGAACCCGGGAGGCGGGGGTTATGGTGAGGTGAGATTGCACCTCTGCACTCCAGCCTGGGTGACAGAGTGGGTCTCTGTCTCAAAAAATAAAAAAAAGCCTGGGCATGGTGGCTCACGCCTGTAATCCCAGCACTTTGGGAGGCTAAGGCAGGCGGATCACAAGGTCAAGAGATTGAGACCATCCTGGCCAACATGGTGAAACCCTGTCTCTACTAAAAATACAAAAATTAGCTGGGCGTGGTGGCGCGCGCCTGTAGTCCCAGCTACTCAGGAAGCTGAAGCAGGAGAATTGCTTGAACCCAGGAGGCGGAGGTTGCAGTGAGCCAAGATCACACCACTGCACTCCAGCCTGGCGACAGAGCGAGACTCCATCTCAAAAAAAGAAGTTATTGCTTGCCTTAATCTTTCGATGCATGCTTCCAAAAATTTTGGCACATTTTAAATTATTAAATTATATTTTAGAACTCAAATTACATTTTAAAGTAAAAATTCTTTTGGGAATCTTTTTATAAAGCTGAGAATACTTTTTAAAAGGGAATAACCATCTGGGATTTATCCTTTGAATCCAGAGATTCATTAATAAAATGTGATATACCACTAATAGATTCTTTTATATTTTGGAGGATATTGAAGTGCTTTGGGATTAGGATGGGTTTTAAAAAAATCATTACAATAAGGCCGGGCCTGGTGGCTCATGCCTGTAATCCCAGCACTTTGGGAAGTTGAGGCAGGCGGATCACTTGAGGTCAGGAGTTTGAGACCAGCCTGGCCAACATGGCAAAACCCTGTCTCTACTAAAAATAAAAAAATCAGCTGGGCATGGTAGCATGTGCCTGTAGTCCCAGCTACTCGGGAAGCTGAGGCATGAGAATTGCTTAAATCCGGGAGGCAGAGGTTGCAATGAGCAGAGATTGCACCATTGTACTCCAGCCTGGGTGACAGAGTGAGACTCTGTCTCCAAAAATTTATTAAAAAAAAAAAAAATCATTACAATATATTGTGAACTTTATTACTCTCCCAAGTAAGGGTTTTAGTATACTGTTTGCGGAATGTAGTTCAGGCTTTTAATTTTCCCAAATCTATACCTTGGGTGAAAGTGGTTTTTGAGAGAAACTGAACACGCTTAGCCAGTAGCTGGTCTTTGTACCTAAAACAGCAGAGAAGAGAGTTTGGTTGTTCTGGGCCTTTTCCAGCAGCAGACCCTGAGTGTTTTTTTGTTATTGTTGTTGGGGGGCAGGGACAGAGTCTGGCTTTGTTGCCCAGGCTGGAGTAGAGTGTTGCTATCTTAGCTCACTGCAACCTCTGTCTCCCAGGTTCAAGAAATTCTCATGCCTCAGCCTCCTGAGTAGCTGGGATTACAGATGTGTACCACCATGCCCGGCTAATTTTTGTATTTCTATTTTTATTTTTTTGAGGTGGAGTCTCACTCTCTTGCTCAGGCTGGAGTGCAGTGGCATGATCTCGGCTCACTGCAACGTCTGCCTCCCGGGTTCAAGCAATTCTCCTGCTTCAGCCTCCTGAGTAGCTGGGATTACAGGTGCCTGCCACCATGCCTGGCTAATTTTTGTATTTTTAGTAGAGACTGGGTTTCTCCATGTTGGCCAGCCTGGTCTCGAACTCCTGACCTCAGGTGATCCACCTGCCTCAGCCTCCCAAAGTGCTGGGATTATAGACGTGAGCCACTGCACCTGGCCAATTTTTGTATTTTTGGTAGAGATGGGGTTTTGCCATAGTTGGCCAGGCTGGTCTTGAAGTCCTGGGCTCAAGCCATCTGCCTGCCTTGGCCTTCCAAAGTACTGGGATAACAGGTGTGAGCCACTGAGCCCAGCCTGGCCCTGGGTTTTGACCCAGGCTTATTTACAGCTTGAAGTCAGGAAGAGAGTGATTCACTTGAGGGCAGGCAAGGCTAAGAGAAAGCTCAAAAAAATGTCTCTCTCTGTCTCTCTATCTCTCTATCTCTGTATTTTTTAATAGAGAGATTAAAAAATCTGGGCACTATGTTGCCCAGTTGGTCTTGAACTCCTGGGCTCAAGCAGTCCTTCCTGCCTTGGCTTCCCAAAGTGTTGGGAGCTATGCAGTAGGTTGGCTGTATTTTTTTTTCTTTTTTTTTTGAGAGGATGTCTCTCTGTCACCCAGGCTGGAATGCAGTGGCACAATCATGGTTCACTGCAGCCTCTACCTCCTGGGCCCCAACGATCCTCCCACCTCAGGCTCCTAAGTGGCTGAGACCACAAGGTGTGTGCCACCACACCCAGGTTTTGTTCATCACACAGTGTGTATTATGTATTTAGCTCTGCTGTTGTAATGAGAACCAATCGTAGATAATACATAAACTGATAAAACTGTGTTTACAAAAACAGCTGGTGGGTGAGGTAGAGTGGTCGGGTGTGGTGGCTCATGCCTGTAATGGCATAACTTGGGCTGGCTGAGGTGGGAGGATCGCTTAAAGCTAGGAATTTAGGACCAACCACCCTGGGCAACATATCAAGACCATGTTTATATTAAAAAAAAAAAAAAAAGAGAAAAAGACCCATAGAGCTGTATTCTGTTAGGAATGTTAGTTTTCTAAGAACTTAAGGCAGTGCATTTGAAAGAAGAATCTTTCTTGGACTTTAGAATACTACTCATGATATTTTTGCTCACAGTGTTCCTCCTTAAATTACTTTCTAAGGACAGGCAGTAGACTAGGAACTTGGAACATTTTTCTCTTTCTTGTCTTTTGACTCATTTTAGAGAAAAACTTGATGTTTTGTTGTTTTGTTTTTTGAGACAGGGTCTTACTCTATTGCCCAGGCTGGAGTGCAGTGGCATGATCTTGGCTCACTGCAACCTCTGCCTCCCGGGTTCAAGTGATTCTTTACCTCAGCCTCCTGAGGGGCTGGGATTACAGGCGCACACCACCACGCCCAGATAATTTTTGTATTTTTAGTAGAGACAGGGTTTCACCATGTTTGCCAGGCTGGTCTCAAACTCCTGACCTCAAGGTGATCTGCCCACCTTTGCCTCACAAAGTGTTGGGATTACTGGCATGAGCCACCGTGCCTGGTCTTTTTTTTTCTTTTTTTTTTTTTTTTGAGACGGAGTCTTGCTCTGTTGCCCAGGCTGGAGTGCAGTGGCGTGATCTAGGCTCACTGCAAGCTCTGCCTCCCGGGTTCATGCCATTCTCCTGCCTTAGCCTCCTGAGTAGCCGGGACTACAGGCACCTGCCACCACACCTGGCTAATTTTTTTTGTATTTTTAGTAGAGATGGGGTTTCACCGTGTTAGCTAGGATGGTCTCGATCTCCTGACCTCGTGATCCATCCACCTCGGCCTCCCAGAGTGCGGGATTACAGGCTTGAGCCACCGTGCCTGGTCTTTAATAGCATATTTTATTTGACTTGATACATCCCAAAGTATTACATCAACATTCTATTAATATAAAAATTATTAGTAAACTATTTTACGTTCTTTTTTTTCTGGTTTGGTGCTGTCTTTCAAATGCATTATGTAGTTTATACTTACAACACATCTCAGTTCAGAATCGCCACGTTTCAAGTGCTCAGTCACATGTGGCTATCCCCTGTATTAGATAGCTAGACTATAAGCCATTTGTCTGAGGGTGGGTGTGAGCAGTCAGGCTTACGTCTGATAGGTGGGTGTGAGAAGTCAGGCTAATGACTGGGAAAGTATGGTCAAAGCAAAGTGATATAGGGCTGGTTTTTGAAAGGTTACAGGGTGAGATATATGTCATCAGCAAAGAACCAAAATAAGAAATTGTCACATACTAGTGTTTGTGGTATTGAAAAAATATTTCCTACGTTAACTTGCATGACATTATTACCAGATAGTATTGTACAGGTTTATAATTGCCAAGGTTAGATTTTTCATTCATAAAATTTTAAATTATACCTAAGTTTTTAATATGTTAAACAATGGTAAACTAAGATTTGCACATTTTACTTGATAAATTGGTTGCTCCAGAAATTTAGTAGGATTTGTATTGTATTTTTAACTAAGCCTAATAATAAAGAGAAAATAAAAATTTGTGGAACTGTTTTTTCTTTTTATATGTAGGTTTCTATGATCAGAGATATTCGAGAGAGGGAGATTCGGATCTATACGGATGCAGGCCGTATTTGTAGACCACTTCTGATTGTGGAAAAACAAAAGCTACTTTTGAAGAAGAGGCATATTGACCAATTGAAAGAGAGAGAATATAACAACTATAGGTAAAAACATGCAGTGAGAAAAATGTGTGTATTAAAAATTGAGATAGAATTTACATACTGTAAAATTAACCTTTTTTTATTTTTTATATTTTTATTTAATTTTATTTATTTATTTATTTTTTTGACACAGCCTCAGCTGTGTCGCCCATGCTGGAGTGCAGTGATGCGATCTTGGCTCACTAACCTCCACCTCCTGGGTTCAAGCAATTCTCCTGCCTCAACCACCGTAGTAGCTGGGATTACAGGTGTGTGCCACCACACCCAGCTAATTTTTGTATTTTTGGTAGAGACAGGGTTTCGCCATGTTGGCCAGGCTGGTCTTGAACTCCTGGTCTCAGGTGATCCGCCTGCTTCAGCCTCCCAGAGTGCTGGGATTACAGGCATGAGCCACTGCGTCCGGCAAGTTAACGATTTTTAAAAAGTATACAATTAGTGGTTTTTAGTGTGTTTGCAATGTTGTGCAACCATCACCACTATCTTAATTTTAGAATACTTTCATTGCCCCGAAAAAACTCTGTATCCTTAGGAGTCACATTTGTTTTTCTTAACTTCTATTATGAAGCAAGATAATTAATAGGATTTTATTTAAGCTTAAAAGTCTTTTGATTGCCCAGGTGTAGTGGCTCATGCCTGTAATCTCAGCACTTTGGGAGGTCAAGGTGGGAGGATTGCTTGAGGCCAGGAGTTCAAGACCAGTCTGGGCAACATATTGAGACTCCCATCTCTCCAAAAAATAAAAAAATTAGTCAAGTGTGGTGGAATGCACCTGCAGTCCAGCTACTCAGGAGGCAGGAGGATCACTTGAGCCCAGGAGTAGTGAGTTTTGATTGTACCAGCCTGGGCAACAGAGCAAGACCCTGTCTCAAAAAAAAAAAGTTTTTGTGATATATTAAAATCTATTAATAGTAATAATGCGAAATAACCTATATAATCTAAATTATTACATATAATATGACAATAATATGAATAATATAATAAGAAATTTAGTAAAAAGATGAAGCTGCTTTAAATATTTATTTTTTAGCAATATGAATGTATAGTTATGTATACTAATATAAAAATCATTCAAACAATATGTATGATAAATTTAAAAAATTGCCCTCCAATGTATACTCTCTTCTTCACAAGTATATACTGGTAACAGTTAGGTGTGTATTCTTCCAGTGCTTATTCTCCAGCAGCTTACCTATTTCACTTGTCAACAATCATGTAACTATGTTGGTCAGTTATATATAATATTAAACTATATATATATATAAATATATATGTATATTTAATATATAATATTAAACTTATTTAAATATAAATATAGGAATACTTTTAAGTAGGAGGAATAGTTAGTTAAAATACTTGAGGAAGTAGAAAATTGAGTGAATTCTTTTTTAGTTGGCAGGATCTTGTGGCCAGTGGGGTAGTGGAGTATATTGATACCCTGGAAGAAGAAACAGTGATGCTTGCAATGACTCCAGATGATTTACAGGAGAAAGAAGTAGCTTATTGTTCCACATATACACACTGTGAGATTCATCCCTCAATGATCCTTGGTGTCTGTGCATCTATTATTCCCTTTCCTGATCATAACCAGGTTGGTATCACTTTTTGTCTTCTGGTGTGAGGAATTGGGAGAAGTAATAAAAATTGAAAGTAACTCTGTAGTCTTATCTGGAGGGAAAAAGCCTTTTAATGAAAAGGCTATTAACTCCTACGGAATCAGTATTTGATATAATTGCTGTTGTGTTTCATGGTTAAGAGCCGTAATTGATTATTCCAAATGGTTATTACTTACTGTTTTTGAAAAAAATCAGGAGTTTTACCAATCATATTTCTTTTGATTTATTGTCAGAGTCTTTTCCATTAGTGATAGTAACTTTTTGTTGTTTCTGCTTTTCATTTTTACGTTTAGTCCCCTAGAAACACATACCAGTCTGCTATGGGTAAGCAGGCTATGGGAGTTTACATCACCAACTTCCATGTTCGCATGGACACATTGGCCCATGTTCTCTATTATCCTCAAAAGCCACTTGTGACTACACGGTCTATGGAATATCTACGATTTAGAGAGCTGCCAGCAGGTATGGTCAGTTTTGCTCTACGTTATTTAAGATCCTTCTGTGCTTAAGGCACTTTTCTGGGTGCTTGGGAGGATTAAAAAATAAATATGACATAGTGCCTGTTCTCACGGAATTTATAATATGGTGGGAAACATGAACATAATAAAAAGGTAGGTATGTGGAAAGTGTTTTGGTGGAGGTACAAAGTCCTTTGGAAGCACAGACTGATGGAAGCAATTAATTCCTGTTGGAAGTCTAGATCCAGTTTCATGGAGAAGGTGGCATTTTAGATTGGAGCAAAATTGATGAAGGGGTATTTGCATTTGAGAGGTGGTTTAAGCAAGGGCCCAGATGGACGAAGACATGCAAAATGTACGGTACAGTTAGTCATGTCAGCTTAGTGGGAGTGGAGTGTAAATATATGGAAGTGAAAGCTTGGTCTCAGTGTGGAGAGAGCTTGAACAGGTTGAATTTTATTTTGAAAATGGAGACCCATCCAACCTTTTGGATCAGGGAAGTAATACAATTAGAAATTTGTTTTAGGAATACCATTCTGACAGCGGCATAAAGAGTAGATTACAATCAGGTACTGTATTAACAGGGAGCTAATTTAGGGGTTTTTGCAGTAGTATAAATGTGAAATGGCAAGGTCCTAAAGAAATGAAAAAGAATGATGGGTAAGATACCTTTTGAAATACACTTGATAGGACTTGATGACTGGTTGAGTGTGGAGCAATGAAGAGAGGAATTGGAAATACTGTTGGTGTTTGTGGCTTGGGTGATTAAAGAGAGGTGCTTTGAATAGGTTGGGGGAAAAATAAGATTGGGAACATGTTAGAAGGGGAAAGAGGTTTTAGAGGTAAGACAATAATTTTGTTTTGGATATGTTGATTTAGTGTCTTAGTGTCAGAACACTAAGACGTGAACTTCCAACAGTGAGTTGCAAACATGATTTGAAAGACGGTCAAGTCTAGAGATGTAAAATTTTTAATTTATTAATGATAATTATAGATTACTATGAAATTGCCTAAGGAGAATTTAGAATGAGAAAAAGGCCAGAGGCAGACAATTTTAGACACCAGGAAGAGAAATTAAGAGAGAAGATTTGAGAAGTAGCTGATAAGGAGGGGAATTCCAGGTTTGTAGGAGATTCTCAGGGAGACTGGATGGTGGGTAAAATGGTGAAGAGAAATCTGAAGGGTATGAGTGTTGACTATTAAAGGAGACAGTAGAGTTCTTTGGCACTGTTATCTTTTGTATTAACAGACTTTTGGCTTTGAATGTGGGTAACATTTGTTATTTGTTAGTAAAGTTTATCTTTAGTGTATTGTAATGGGGCTCTACCATTTTGATAGCAAATTCTCATAGGTTAAAATTACTTATTTTCAAAATCCTCCACAAGGGGTTCCTCTTGTCTAGAAAAGCAAAATCTGTTAGGTTGTCTACACAGTATGCATGTATCTTTGGGCTGTGCTTGCAGTGCTGTGTTTTCTCCAACATTTAGATAATACAGTTTCTTTATGGCTAGAGAGGAAAATAAATATACAGAAGGACTAGGTTTGAAAGCAAATGTTCCTTTGGTACTGGTGTGAAGTGGAGAGTCATGGCTGGCAGGGACTGCAGTTCTGTTATTCCTGACTTCATCATGGCATCTTTATTTTGAAATTCTTTTTTTTTTTGTAGAGATAGGGTCTACTTTGTTGCCCAGGCTGGTCTCAAACTTCTGGGCTCAAGTGATTTTCCCACCTCAGCCTCCCAAAGTGCCGGGATTACAGATGTAAGCCACTACGGCCAGCCCATCGTACCATTTTTAAAAAAACTTTTAACATTTTACCACATTTGCTCTATTATTCTCTCCCTTTTTATTTCTCCTCCTGAACCACATGAGAGTAAGTTGCAGGCATGAAGCCATATCATTCTTTAATTCTTCAGTATGTGTTTCCTAAGAACAAGGACATTCTCTGCAGTGTAGCCATCAAAATCAGGGTAACATTGATATCCATATAGTCAGCAGTCCTCAATTCAAATTTTGCCAGTTGTCCTAATGATGTCTTTTTTTTTTTTTTTTTTTTTTGAGAAAGCAACTGTTATTGTATTCAAACCTAACGATGTCTTTAATGGGTCTAGGAGCTAATCCAGGATTGTGCATTGCATTTAATTGCATGGTTCTTTAGTTTCCTTAATCTAGAACAGTTTCTCAGTCTTTCCTTGTCTTTCATGACCTTGACATTTGTGAAGAGTTCAGGAAAGTTATTTTTGCATTGTGTCTCAATTTAGGTTTGACTATTGTTTCCTCATGATGATATCCAGGTTATGAATATCAAGTTATTTTATTTTATTTTTTTGAGACGGATTCTCGCTCTGCCACCAGGCTGGAGTGCAGTGGCACGATCTTGGTTCGCTGCAACCTCTGCCTCCTGGGTTTAAGCGATTCTTCTGTCTCAGCCTCCTGAGTAGCTGGGACTGCAGGCGCGTGCCACCACGCCCAGCTAGTTTTTGTATTTTTATTAGAGGTGGGGTTTCACCATGTTGGCCAGGATGGTCTCAATCGCTTGACCTTGTGATCCACCTGCCTCGGCCTCCCAAAGTGCTGGGATTACAGGCGTGAGCCACCATGCCCGACCTAAATATCAAGTTATTTTATGGGCTCATCAAACAAAGTGTTTTGGCAGCAGCAACTAAGAATTTCATTGTGGTGGGAAAGATATGATATTTTCTTGGTGGCAGAAGGAGAGGGGAATGGGGTAGTATCAGTTTCAAACCTAAAAGCTGGGGCTTGAGTCTATTGCTTATTAATTTTGGGATCATGGGTAGATTATTAATTCACTCCTCTGATTCATGAGAATAATAATGCTTATCTTGTTTATGGCACAGAGTTGCTGTGAGGATCAGGAAACTTGGTTTGGGGAGGCACTTCCTAAGTAGGAGGTGACTCATGTGTAATCACTTACTATAAGAATGGATACATTGGGAGTGACTAGTCCTAGGATTTGCTTGTGGGAGATATTTAGCCATCAGAGTAGTTGCCTCACAGATTGCTATTCCAGGAGGAATAGACTTTGGCAGTTACCATGATAACAAACACCCAAGCATTTATGGCAAATATGATGTAATTAAAGTTGATTTAAAGAAAGGGCAGTTTTTCTGTTTTCCAGGTGATGTTTTAATGTATGCTCTTAAATTCACTGCAGGCATCAACTCAATTGTGGCCATTGCATCATACACTGGATATAATCAGGAAGACTCTGTTATCATGAATCGTTCAGCTGTAGACCGCGGCTTCTTCAGGTTAGTATTTTGTAAATTTGTCAAAACACAGATACAGTGGAAACACTAATTTTTTATGCAAAAAAAGTTCTTAAAATACAGTTTAACTACGCCGCACTCCAGAAAGTGGAAGGACTGGTTGATGGTCACAAACAGCTGAAGATACTACTTGTATCTCTCAGGATTTTCAAATGCTAGTATTTTGAGCCTTTCTTTTGGTAAGGAAATATACAGTTGCATTTAGATAATATAGAAATGTCCAAAGAAGAAATAAAAATAACTTAGAATCCATAGATAACTATTGTTAAAATTATAGTGTGTTTTCTTTTCGCTCTTTTTTTCCATTATGTTTCAGTTTGATTGTCGACAAACAGACCTCAAATTCAAGGCATATAAAGATTGTTTTAAAAACTGGGAATTTAGTAGAGGGGATGGATTTTCCTTTGTCTGTGTAGTTTCAAAGGGTAGCACTAGAACTCAGAGGACAGATACTATGGCTTAATGTAAAAACTTTTTTTTTTTTTTTTTTTTTGAGACAGAGTCTTTCTGTTGCCAAGACTGGAATGCAGTGGTGCAATCTTGGCTCACTTGCAATCTCTGCCTCCCAGGTTTCAAGAGATTCTCCTACCTCAGCTTCCCAAGTACCTGGGATTACAGGCACGCACCACCATGCCAGAGTTTTTTTTTGTTGTTGTTTGGTATTTTTAGTAGAGACGGGGTTTCACCATGTTGGCCAGGCTGTCTCAAACTCCTGACTTCAGCTGATCCACCCATCTCGGCTTCCCAAAGTGCTAGGATTACAGGCGTGAGCCACCATGCTCAGCCAATGTTAAAACTTCTCACTGGAAGTGTTTGAGTAGAACCTAGGTGACCATCTTTCAGGGTTATTATGTAATGGATTCTTAAATGTGTCGGAGGTTGGATTCATTGACCCCTGGGTCTCTTCCATTTTGACATATAATACTAGGTGGTTAAGGTTATGGGTCAGATGCTACATATGTATAACTCATGTGATAACATTTAGAGTTTAACTCAGATCCTTAATGCAGTTACTCTTGTCCCAGATTCGTAGTTTAAATTGTCTCCCAAATTTCAAGTAAATGAGAAATTGTTGGTATAGTCTCAGCCCTTTTGTTAAAAGAAAATAGACTTTACCTTTAGAACCATGTGTTTTTAGGTCTGTTTTCTATCGCTCATACAAAGAACAGGAGTCTAAAAAAGGATTTGATCAAGAAGAAGTTTTTGAGAAGCCTACACGTGAAACATGCCAGGGTAAGTGACACTAACATTTAAATGATGGAATCCAAAGTTAACTTACTGTGGTTTTCCTAAGTGATTTTGATGGGTTGTGTCACCCTGTGCCTGCCCCTGTCCTCCTCTCCCTTTTTTTGTGCAATGAAAGTGTGTTTTCATGTTATTCTTAGAGTTCACATCTAAGAAAACATGTGTATTTGATAAAAGTCTTTGCACCTAGGAGTGAGCTTGCTATAGACCTTCCTTCCTGGTAGGTCCTGCATTGAGGAGGGAGTTTAGGAAATCAGAGAGGTCATGCAATTTCTGGGGACACACTTCACACCTGTCCCCCTTCCTTTCTAAATTATGGTGTGATCATAATATTTGTTCAGCCACATTGTTTGTAAACATTTAAAAAATAACCAGTGAGAAGAGGATACCTAGCATTTGTTGTTTCTTCTAGAAAACTCAAACTTACTTTCTAGTTATTTATTTTGACAGACACTTAAAACCTGCTTATGCAGTGGGATGGATGGGATGTTCCAGGGAAATGCAATATCTCTGCTACAGTGTTGACTCTGAATAGCATTGCATGAAGTAAAATGTATTTTGTTTCCTTTGCCATCTTCCTGTTACTCCCCTTCCATTGGGTGGCTCTGTGTAGTAGTGAATTGATGTCCAGTGGAGTTAAGATTGAGTTAAGATGAAATCCACAATTTCTGTGGGAGGATGTGTACAGAGGGCATCCATAGATACTCTCTTTTTAATTTAAAAAAATTTTTCTCCTGTACCCACTGATGGCAGAGATATTCTTTCTCTTGTAATATAGAAATCAGAAGATGACAAAAAACATATCCAAAGTCACTCGATAAATGTCTGTCATGGAAGAATCTGCTTTCCCAGTGCTGATTCCAATGTTCTTTTCCTTCATAGACTTTTTTTTTTGTTTTCTGTGTGGGCTGTAGTATTAGAGTTCAGAATAGTTTGTAATATTTGGAATAAGGGTGTGATTCATGGTATAGAGACTCCTGTGGCCTTCTCTCTGACTTGGAACTGATTCATGTATGTGGTTTTTAATCTTTGTTGGGGATTATGTGACATTCCGTGTCTATTTCCTCACAGGCATGAGGCATGCCATTTACGACAAGCTGGATGATGATGGTTTGATAGCTCCAGGGGTTCGTGTATCAGGAGATGATGTTATTATAGGCAAAACAGTCACCTTGCCTGAAAATGAAGATGAATTGGAGAGCACCAATAGACGCTATACCAAGAGAGACTGTAGCACTTTTCTCAGAACTAGCGAGACGGGCATTGTGGATCAGGTTATGGTAACTCTCAATCAGGAAGGATATAAATTTTGTAAAATAAGGGTGAGTACAACTTTGTTCATGTAGCTAGTTTTAGAAAGTAAACCAAATCCACTTAACTAACTTATTTTTATATGAATTTAGGTA
Organism: Homo sapiens; assembly: GCF_000001405.40. Taxonomy (NCBI): domain Eukaryota; kingdom Metazoa; phylum Chordata; class Mammalia; order Primates; family Hominidae; genus Homo; species Homo sapiens. The sequence continues at coordinate 57,023,665 of NC_000004.12, forward strand.
CGCTCTGTTAGGATTCCACAGATTGGAGACAAATTTGCTAGTCGACATGGTCAAAAGGGTACTTGTGGTATTCAGTATAGACAAGAGGTAGGTATCTTTGATCTCCCTCATGCCCAAACCAGTTTTGTTAAATATTTTTTTTTTAATCAAAATTTGCTTTAACTTAAGAGCTCAAAGATGATACAGGTTGAACTTTTTGATTTTATTGTTGAATAAGTATATGAACATACCATGTTTAAACAGAATTTGGGACATACAGTAATTCAGTTGGGAGAACTGAAATGTCAGTTCTAGTTTAGTATATGTATCTTTGAGTCCCTTTTAAAATTTTTCTTTGTAGGATATGCCTTTCACCTGTGAAGGTATCACCCCTGATATCATCATCAATCCCCATGCCATCCCCTCTCGTATGACTATTGGTCACTTAATTGAATGCCTTCAAGGGAAGGTAAGAGATGTTCTTCAAAAATATAGATTCTAAGCTGATGCTTCTTCTAAAACTCTGATAGGTGATTGCTCTCACATTTGAGCCAGGGTACTTTGTAAAAAGCTAGTGTGAGACTTACTTTTCTGCTTTCAAATTGCTTATGATTCTGCCATTTTTTTTGGCAATTTGCAAAGTTATGGACAAGTCAGAATTTTTGTGAGATATACTACATTCAACTAATACATATGTGATTTTCCTTTTGACTAGTTCTTTTCTGTAGATGAACAGTTAATTTGTTGATGGAGAGTTCAATGTGAACTTAATAATTTTATAGTTCTATTATCAGCTCTGCATACATCTTTTGGTGGAGGTTTTCTATTTTTAAGTATTCTTTTAAGGTAAAGTGGTAATAGTCTAACATATGGATGGCTTGGTTTTAGGGCATTAAAATGTCATTTTCCTTTGAGCCATCTGAAGTACTTAGGAGTCTCACTCTTTTTGTACCTGATCCCATGGATCGACTTCTATTTGAATACTTATAATTGAGTTTTTCTTTTTTAAGCAAGTTTATTTGTTCTAAATGTTTTGTGTAAGGTTATAAAATGAACCTTATATATCACAGCTTTCCATAACATAGATTTTGAGTTCAAAATCTTTGAATTTTAAAATACTTAAAATAATACTTTCAAATTTTAAAAGTATTTAAAAATTTTTTGAATGCATTTTTATTGATATGACTTTTAGGGGGAGACAGACTGAAGCAACATTTTAAAGAGTACTTTTTTTTTTAAAAGGTATCGGCTAACAAGGGTGAAATTGGTGATGCCACTCCATTTAATGATGCTGTTAACGTGCAGAAGATTTCTAATCTTTTATCTGATTATGGCTATCATCTCAGAGGAAATGAGGTATATTTGCTCTTATAGTAGTAATTTGCCACTTGTTTTTTTTTGTATGTGTGTAGTTTTATTCTGAAACAATGTAACCTTTTATTGAAGTATCATATGTGCACATATAGAAATGTACAGCTTGATGAATTTTCACAAAGTAAACACAGCTGCATGACTAACACCAAGATCTAAAAATGTGAAGGTAGCGACTGAACCTTTTTTAGTCGCTACCTTTCCACTCCCACCCCAAGCTAATTACTCTCTTAATTGCTAACATTATAGATTAGTTCTGTGCTTTAATTTTTATATAAATGGAGTAACACAATATATACACATATCTTCTTTGACGTTGTTTAATTTTTAGGTCTACACTTCAAAATCTGTGTTTGTTGCAGGTCCTGTACAATGGGTTCACTGGTCGAAAAATCACATCACAAATATTTATTGGCCCCACTTATTACCAGCGTTTGAAGCATATGGTGGATGATAAGATTCACTCTCGTGCTAGGGGACCTATTCAGATCCTCAATAGACAGCCCATGGAGGGTAGATCTCGGTAAGAACTGTATCATCATCATTATTATTAATTAACCTTATATTATGAAAAATGTCAACACACCAAAATGGAGATAGTGGTATAGTGAATGCCTGTGTGCCTGTTACCCCCATTTCAACAATTATCGACTGATGGCCAGTCTTGTTGCATTCATCTCTGTCCTTCTAACCTTTGATATTATCATCATGTTTTAAAGGCAGAGTCTCACTCTGTCACCCAGGCTGGAGTGCAGTGGCATGCCCACAGCTCCCTGCAGCCTTGAACTGGGCACAAGCAATCCTACCTTAGCCTCCCAAGTAGCTAAATTAATATTGTCTCTTAAGTCCTTTTTTGAATTTATTGGTTGTCCTCCAACCTTTTTTTTAACTACAGGCATGTGCCACTACACCTTTAAAAAAAAAATTTTTTTTTTGTAGAGGCTAGGCGCAATGGCTCATGTCTGCAATCCCAGCACTTTGGGAGGCCAAGACGGGTAGATCACCTGAGGTCAGGAGTCCAAGACCAGCCTGGTCAACATGGCAAAACACCGTCTCTACTAAAAATACAAAAAATTAGTCGGGCATGGTGGCACACACCTGTAATCCCAGCTACTCGGGAGGCTGAGGCATGAGAATCACTTGAACCTGGGAGGCGGAGGTTGCAGTGAGCCGAGATCACACCCCTGTGCTCCAGCCTGGGTGACAGAGTGAGACTTCATCTCAAAACAAAAAACAAAAAATTTTGTAGAGACGGGGGTCTCACTATGTTGCCCAGGCTGGACTTGAACTCATGGCCACAATCCTCTAGCCTCAGCCTTCCAAAGTGTTGGAATTACAGGCGTGAACCACTGCACCCAGCCCTCTTGATTATTTTTAAGCAAAGCCCAGACATCATATAATTTCTCCTATAAATTTTTCAGTGTATATCTTTAAAACAATGGTTCTCAAATGTCTTGATCCCGGGAACCCAAAATGCTTTTGTTTTATGTGAGTTGTATTTATTGATATTTATCATATTAGAAGTTAAAGCTGAGATTTTAAATTTATTGTTTTAAAAATGCTAATAAGCTCATTACGTGTTAACATAAATAACATGTTTTGGCTGGGCGTGGTGGCTCACACCTGTAATCCCAGCTACTCGGGAGCCTGAGGGAAGAATTGCTTGAACCCAGGAGGTGGAGGTTGCAGTGAGCCAAGATCGTGCCACTGCACTCCAGCCTGGGCGACAGAGTGAGACTCTGTCTCGATAACAAAACAAAACAAAACAAAAAACCATGTTTAATGAAAAATATATCTATTTTCCAGATGAATTTAGTGACAAGAATAACATTGGTTTACATTTTTGCGAATCTCTCTAATGACCTGGCTTAATAGAAACAGCTGGATTCTTACATCTACTTCTGCATTCATTCCATTGTAGTATTTTATTTTTTATATTTAAGTATATGAGGAAGTTCTAATTTCATGCAAATAAGTGGTTGGAAAGAGAGGAATATTTTGGCTTTTTTTTTGTGAGACAGTCTCACTCTGTCACCCAGGCTGGAGTGCAGTGGTGCGATCTCGGCTCACGGCAACCTCCGCCTCCCGGATTCAAGCAATTCTCGTGCCTCGGCCTCCCAAGTAGCTGGGATTACAGGTGTGCGCCACCAAGCCCAGCTAATTTTTGTATTTTTTGTAGAGCCAGGGTTTCACCATTTTGCCCAGGCTGGTCTCAAATGGTTGGCCTCAAGTGATCCGCCTGCCTTGGCCTTCCAAATTGCTGGGATTACAGGCAAGAGCCACCACGCCCAGCCCACCCCTTCCCTTTTTTTGAGACAGTTTCATCCCTGTTGCCTAGGCTGGAGTGTGGTGGCACAATCACAGCTCACTGCAGCCTCTACTTTCCAGGCTCAGGTGATCCTCCCATCTCAGCCTCAAGTAGCTGGGACTACAGGCATGCACCACCAAGCCCAGCTAATTTTTTATATTTTTTAGTAGAGACAGGGTTTTGCCATGTTTCCCAGCTGGTCTCAAACTCCTGAGCTTAAGTGATCCACCTGTCTGCCTTGGCCTCCCAAAGTGCTGGGATTACAGGCATGAGCCAAGGCGCCTGGCCTGTGGATATTTTTTTGATACTACACCAAAACGGTAAGTTGTAGTTTCTCAAAGGTTGGTTTTGATGTAGAAACTGAAACCATATGAATGAACCTTCTGTATTTATGTTTGAAGTTCATTGGTTTGTCTTGTACTTCAGATGTATCTTTTACACATGCATATTTTGTAGCATCCTAATTGGTCATTTGGAAAATATTGGTTTGCTGAGTTACGTAGATTTTCAAATGTTAACACACTTCATTATAATAAAAAAATTGCATTTGTTAATATGACTACTGATGTCATTAGAAAAGCCTTTAAATATATCAGGAAGCTATCAAGCCCATAGTGGTGCATAGAAGTTTCCTAAAATTCTGATTTTTGCTTGAAGCTCACAATTTTCATCATTTTCAACAAATACTTAAAATTATTTTCCTCAAAGACTTACTTTTTTCGTTTGCTTTCATTTCTTTTTGTTCATTTCTTTGTCTGCCAAATATCTACAACATCGTCAACTTAATTCTAAGTCTGAATTAACATCATGGGTGTTAACATGTTGATGAGTTAACATAGTTGGTGTCAGCTGGCTATTTGAGTAAAAAAGATACTCCATGTTAAAAGGGACTAGTTCAGAATCATGCAAGTGCTTTTGTTCAAGACAGTCATCTTCACTATGCAGTAGAAGTGCTTATGAAGTGTTCCATTTTATTTTACTTTATTTTTTATATAGAGACTGGGTCTTACTGTGTTGCTCTGGCTGGTCTTGAACTCCTGGGCTCAATCCAGCCTCTCACCTTGGCCTCCCAAAGTGCTGGGATTATAGGTGTGAGTCATCGTGCCTGGTTGAGGACTTTCATTTTTTTAAAAGTCACAGGATATGAAAGAGATGTATACTCAAGGGTTAAGGTTTAATAAAACTATTTATTTTCACTGCTTCATTAAGGACATTTTTAAGTAAAACTGGCTTTTCTCCCCTTCACTTGAATGGAGAATATGACTGCTAGTAATGTTTGGTTCTGCTACCCTGAGTTCTGCTAAGGTGTCAGCAGTTTTATTCATGTTTCCACCATCAGTGCAAATGTAAACACAGTGAAAGAAGCAAATATATGTTGTTAGTATTACTATTAAAAATAGCTTTGACTCTCAGGCGGTCCATGAACCACACTCTGAGAACCTCTGCTCTAAAAGATTAGGACACTAAACCTAACCACAGTACCTCCTTAGTATTAAATATCCAGATTTACATTTCCCTGATTATCACATAAGTTTTTTAAAGGTTTGTTGGTTTTAATCAGTATACAGATAAGGTCCATGCTTTGCAATTGATTGATAGTGTCTCATAAGTCCTTTTTTGAATTTATTGGTTGCCTTCCAACCTTTTTTTTCCCCTTGTAATTTGTTTGTTGAACAACCTGGACTGTTTGTCCAGGGCTTGAGACTGAATTTTGCTGCTTGCATCCCAAATGCTGTGCATTGCTGTTTTTTGTTTGTTTGTTTGTTTTTTGTTTTTTGTAAATAGATCTTGAGGCTTGAGATTTAGCGTTTGAGTTTTTTGGCAGTAATACTTTATAGGTGGTATTCTATACTTCCAGTATCTGGTTGCCTTTCTTTTTATGATTTTAGCAGCTATTACTAAAGACCTTAATTAAATGGCGATTTCCAACTGATACCATTCTATTTTTTCTCAGTCCTTCTTCAGTTTTTAGCCAGACTACTTCTAAAACTTTGTTTCCTCAACTGTTTGGTTACCTAGTGATGTAGTTCTTATAGTAAGGGCAGGAATAAATGCTTGATTCTCTTTTTTTATTTACCAGTTTTCAAAATAGTGAGCTGGTTGTCTAATGATCCAGATCAGTGGTCCAAAGTCGACCAATGATTTTTTTGTTTTGGTGGAATATCATTATAAACCCATTGGTTTTATTTTGTATATTTTGGATATTAAGTATGTTAAGGAAGCCATCACCATCTATTTGCCTGGCCATCTGAATAATGCATTTATTTCACTTCTTATGTTGGGGAAACCTATTATCATTTACCTGTTCTTTCCATTACTTCAGCCAACATGTATTTATGATTTCAAGGTTGATTGCCTGGGACAGTCATTCCATTGACAAGCTGCCTTATTTAGATTGTCTTTTTCATTATTCATTTTTTTAGTATAGAGTTGAATTCTAGAAAGTTAAATGATAGCATGATGAACCTCCACTCTATGCTTTATTGTGTCTTATGAGGAAAATTAAATGCTCTACTTAAGAATCTAATGTATCCACTCCATTTGGGGACCTTCTGTTTTTATTTTTATTTGTTAAAAAATAGAGATGGGGTCTCGCCATGTTGCCCAGGCTCCTGAGCTCAAGAGATCCACCCAGTCCACTTCCCAAAGTGCTGGGATTACAGGGGTGAGCCACTTTGCTTAGCCCATTTGGGGACTTTCTAATGCACGTCAAATAGTTGGTAGACTTCTCCTCTCCCCACCAATAGAGAGAATGCTAGGGTATAAAAATTAGAGCCTAGTTATCCGTCTTTGCAAATATTATTCTCCACCTTTGCCATTATTCAAGGCGGTGTTTATAATAAAAAATAAGTACAAAGTAATAATTTTTTTCTCTTAACAGTGATGGTGGCCTGCGTTTTGGAGAAATGGAACGAGATTGTCAGATTGCCCATGGAGCAGCCCAGTTTTTAAGGGAAAGATTGTTTGAGGCATCAGATCCATATCAGGTTCATGTTTGCAATCTTTGTGGAATAATGGCGATTGCCAACACCAGGACCCATACATATGAATGCAGGGGCTGCCGCAATAAAACCCAGGTGTGTATAGACTTTACTGGCAGTTGATATTTGTTTAGAGGAAACTGTGTTGGTCTGATTATCCAGGCAGAATTAGTGTGGCAGAACAGATTGGCATTTTCACAATTTTGATAGCATGCTTCTGTGAGATTCCGAGTTCTAAATAAGGAAAAGATAATTTGATTTTTCTAAAAACCAGTTTAGGTTTTAGTGTGGTAATTTCTCTAAGCTATTCATCTTTTGGAAATAATAAGACTTTGTACAAGGGATTTTAAACAATGAGTTTTTGAAAACCTTTTAGTTGAGGTGGGTGAATATAAATTATGTCTGGCAGAATGGGTAAAATACCAAAGCCTACTAGGAGAAAGAACCACCATAAGCTGAGGTAGCAGAATGTGTGTTCTCAGCTCCACTCATTTATTCATTATCTACAGTACCAGATCTTTGTCTTTTTCTGGGGTAGAGAAGTGGGGTCACTTCAATACAATTCTGCTAATTACCATTTGTTTTTTCTTTTCAGATTTCTTTGGTGCGAATGCCTTACGCATGCAAACTATTGTTTCAGGAACTTATGTCTATGAGTATTGCACCGCGAATGATGAGTGTTTAGCTATTTTACAGGAGTCAACAAGATAATTAAATATCTTGGTGTCTTGTTTCTATTGTGTGGCTTTTTAAAAATGACAAATATGTACTGTGTTGTGATAAAAAGTATTTTATTTGTTTAATGATATGCATGCTTTTCTTCTGTAAATATATAATAAATTTTTGTAGATAGTCTTGATGTGTGATCTTTATTTTGTATTTCTCTGTGTAAAACCAGTGAATATAACTAAAGTGTTAGTGGATTGGATTAAAAGAAACTTATTAGGCAAGAACAGGTAATGTAGTTATCCATGACTACTTTTAACCATGCAGACTAATAATATTCTGGAGGTTTATAGCTCGGCACCTTCACCTGTTTAAAAAAAAAAAAAGATAAAAATTAGTTACATATGGGGATGTGGTTGACTTTTGAATTGGCAGGTAGTTGAGTGTTTCCAAATAAATGAAGATGTTAAAATATGGGGATAAAGGATATATGAGTAATTGTATAAATGATATGCTGGAGTGCTCTGTGGAACTCAAGTTACATGATTTTAGCTATGAAAGGCAATTTTGCTGTATTGGTTGATGCATCAAAGGTACATCTTATTATAGAACTGGAAGAGCACATTTCACAATGAGATTCAGAGAGGTTAAAGACCTTTCCTTTGTAGTCCGGATCTCCTTCAAAAGGTAAAGTGGAGGAATAATTAGTAGCAGAGCTGAGACTCAAACGCATGGCTTGACTCTTAGCTACTGTTCTGTTTCATTGCCTGACATTACACATTATGGCTGAAGAGAATCTGACCAAATACTTCTTTACTTAATATTTCTTTTCATATCACAGCTGAGTGATCTGCACAGTGGAATGGTTTGACACATGGTGACGGTAAATTTTGTTCTTTTGTCTAAGGGAAAGCCAATTCAGACATCAGTTTCATAGAACTATATAAATGTAAAGTAGCACTGCTATGACACAGGATGGGTTCTTCAGAGGAAGCTTTTTGGCAGTGAAGGAAGGGGAGGCAGAACAGAACTGGGTATTTGCCAATATACTCTCCTTTGTGGCCTTTTCTTTTAAAAGCAAAAGTGAAGGGCGAGAATTGCCCACAATCATTTTCTTTTAAATAGGAATTTAATAGTCACAACACAAAGGGAAAATGCCAAGTAGATAGGTAGAAAGCTATGGGAAATAGAAGCCATTCCAGGCAAGTTTGATTTTGACTCTTACATGTTAGATAAGGTAAAAGCATCTAAGTCATAATAACGATGTTCAGTCACCCATCCAGATAATCTTTTGGAGTCTCATGCTGTACATTTTAATGGCATACTTAATGCCCTTATGGGTTGCTAACTACAGAATTTCATCAATAGCTACGTCTGATACTTTCATACTTAGTTCTGTTCTTTTTAAAGCAAATGTACTAGTCATTTTTAAATGGCTGTGAGATTTATTGTGTACCTTTTTTCACTGGTATTTCATGTAAGGCATCAACCACTGTAATTTTTGCTGATGCTGAAGCCTGTCCTTGGGAATTGGATGCATGGCACTCATATTCTCCAGCATCTTCCTTACTTAGAGGAGATACCTGTGAAAGAAAAAAGATCTAGTATTCCTCTGTGGTGGTCTTCTCTTTTGTCAGTGGTTCCAGTGAGGTCATTATTTCATAAATTTCCTAAGATGACCAGGGGATTCATAGCAAAGGTACTGCTAGAAGCAGTGCAAGTCCTGTGATAGGAGACTTCGATAACTACCATATTTGGTTTGCTGAGGATTCATATGAGGAAATGTCATGGACAACTTTTGATCATACTGCATAGGTTAAAAACTGGATAGGTACACATTATCGGTTTAAGGGCAACCTTGATAAGGGTATATGATCAAAGTATTCTCCATGAATATCCAGGGTCAAGTAAAATAAGGTATTTATTAATCGATAATCAGTTAAAACAATGCTTGGGCCACGCAGCTCCGTGTGAGGATTTTGCTTTGAACTCTTAGGAAAATACTAGTTCTTGTTAATTCATTGGTTGTTTTCAAAACATGCAATAAAGCACTTTTCCTTTAGTTTCTCTGAAAGAGGAGCAGCGACTCCATGGTAAGGCTATTCCAAACAGATGTGGAAGAGCAAGCACCTTTAGGCTGGCGGTACATCAGGCACCTTTGCCAGGTCTGCTTATGTCTAATGCTAAGAATGAAACTCTTGCCAGCTCTTGGTACTGGTACTCACCAGCACCCAGCCAGTTACTTCATGCTTTTCTGGGCCACCCCGGGTCTGAATGGCCAGGTTGTCCCGGTCACCAGGCAGGAGTTCTGTCCTTTGAACTCCATAGTGACCCCTTTTTACCTGCAAAAACAAAAGGAGAGTAATACTGAGTTTTGTACACCAGATCATCTACTTGGAAGTGGCCACATCCCTACAATTGCACATAGTGTATGTCAGACTTTCTAACAGAGTAAACCCAGCATTTCACTGAACTATTTCCCTTTCCTAAATACTTTTAAAATATAGATCCTCTTTTATTTCTTCCTGCCAGTTTCCTGCTAAGCGTACATGTTTTAAACTAATGTATTTTTCTGCATGCCTGGGGAATATACATGGTCATAATTTCCTGCCACTGGTCACCATCATTCATTCACTCATGCTCTTGGAAATTCTGCTTCTCAGTTCCAGGCCTTTTGCCTGTCATGCCATGTTCAACTGATGAACTGTCACCCAGCACTAGGTTTGATGCTTGGGACCTTGGGGCTCTTCCTGCAACAGCTTCATCAATGGAAAATAGGCTGAGACCAAAGCCAATACCATTACTTTATTCTGAGGGCTAAGAATTAATCAAATGATTTACTGAACACCTAAGATAAAAAACACCTATCAAAGGAGTTCGAGACCAGACTGACCAACATGACAAAACCCTGTCTCTAGTAAAAACACAAAAATTAGCCGATTGTGTTGGCGAGCACCCGTAGTCCCAGCTACTCTGGAGGCTAAGGTGGGAGAATTGCTTGAACCTGGAGGCGGAGGTTGCAGTGAGCTGAGATCGCGCCACTGCACTGCAGCCTGGGCAACAGAGTGAGACTCCATCTCAAAAAAAAAAAAAAAAAAACAGCTGTCAAATACATGTGCTGTCATTGTTCTTTTATGACAAAACTTGCTGACTGTTTCTGTGTATGTCATGTCAAGATTCAGAAGAAACTCAGTTTCTTTGGTGCAAGGCCAATACTGAATAGTATCCTTTTTGCCCTCATTTTAAAAGGCAAAATGTTTTATTATATAAACTCTGGAAAATATACAAAAGAATGAAATTCACTTGTAGCTCCTCGATACATATACATTTAGCAGCTGAGTTACAGAGTACAAATATTTTAAGCCTTGTGATAATGGTGAGTTTTAAAAAAAAAAGGATATACGAATTGTTTGTTCATTCCATCCCAGATCTCCTTTAAGAGCCAACCTGACATTTATTGATATTACCTTTGTAATTAGAAAGGATTTACAACCTCAAATAGCTAGTTTCCTTTTCATTTTCTTCTATAATAAAGCAAATCTTAATAAAGACCAGATAATAGTGTGTATATATAGACACCGTATGTATAAATATAATAAATATATAAATAAATATATACACTTTATTAACTTCCATCTCAGTGTTGCTTTTCCCATGTGGATCCCACTCCTACCATGTGTTTTTTGGTACTCTGCTGTTGTGTCGGCTTCAAACCTACACTGTATTTTCTCAGCTTTATGATGCCAGGACTGGGATTCAGCAAACCACATGTGATCTAGGCCAATTCCTGCTCTAGAAAAAATATCTTGCATGATTTGGAAAGCCTGGCTTTTTGCATTTTTTTTCTGGAATTTTCCCACATTGCCACTATTAGTGAGAGAAAACCACGTAACTTAATGTCTTTCTCATAAATGCTGTGAAGACAAACATACTCAATAGGTACCTTTTCCCTTAGTTTCCCAAGTAGCTGGCAGAAACGGTTTATGCTAATACAGCTTTTGAAATAGTTACTTAAAAATGGGTTGTAAGAATATTTTGGTAGAAGTATTAATTTGATCCAAGGTCTCAAGTAATATGACTCTGACCTTTATTTACTGAATTTCAGAATCATATGAGTTTTATGTGTGACCAAAGCAAGAAAATAAACACTGCAGCACTGAAATACTGAATCTCAGCAACTAAGCCTCAAATCCCATAGCTCTTAGTAACAGCATTTTATGCTAATTAACCTGATCCACTATGGAAAGGGAAATGTATCTTGTTAAATATAATATTTAACATAAATCACAATATAGATATACTTTATTTTTCCCTTCTTTTCACAAGTGTTGGCATGGCGTATTTTAATTAATGTTACGTAATTATAAAAGGTTATACATCATGTAGAAAACATAGAAAAAAGTGCCAAGAATTTTCATATGACAAATTTTTATATGTCAAACTCTCCCTTATTCGTGTAAGGGGATTCTAAGTGTTGTTAAGTATGTGTTTTCTTTTTTTTTTGAGACAGAGTCTCGCTCTGTCACCCAGGGTGGAGTGCAGTGGTGCGATCTCAGCTCACTGCAACCTCTGCCTCCGCCTCCGGGATTCCAGTGATTCTCCTGCCTCAGCTTCCCGAGTAGCTGGGATTACAGGCATGTGCCACCACGCCTGGCTAATTTTTATAGTTTTAGTAGAGACGGGGTTTTGCCATATTGGCCAGGGTGGTCTCGAACTCCTGACCTTAAGTGATCCACTTGCCTTGGCCTCCCAAAGTGCTGGGATTACAGGCATGAGCCACTGTGCCTGGCCAATAAATATGTGTTTTCTAGTTAAAATTGGAATTAAAACTAAAAAAGAGAGGTTAATATTCAGTGCTAGTAAAGATGCAGAGAAATGGCACTTCTCCATTTCTGGTGGGAGTGTGAATTACTACAATCTATTTAGAAAGTAATCTGACAATGTCTGTTAACACTGAAACAAATATTTTGACTTAGGTAACTGTTGGGGAATCTATCTTATAGCAATACAATCACTAGTATGTATGATATGTGTACTTTGATGCTTAAAGTAGGTTTTTTAAGTTAACAAAAATTTGGAAACAACAGAAAAAATACAGAACTGATTTAATAAATTACAGTATTCATACTTGGAATATTACGTAGCTGTTGAGAAGCAGACTTGGACGGATGTCCATGAAGTATTTGTTGAGAAAAGCGAGTTTCAGAATAATTTACTGGCACACTATATTCTCATTTCACCGTAGGGATATATGTTTGAATATGCTTGGATATGAAAAAGAGTGTGGAAAGATACAAACCAGGGCAGTTCACATTGGTTACCTCAGGCAGGAGGAGGAGGTGGGGGGAGATTCTCAACTCTTTCTTTATACGTCTTTGGATAATTTCTGCTTATTACTATTACCTTAGAGGTCACTATTTTTGATTAAAAAATATTCTTAGAGGTCAAGGAAGCCCTAATCTGAAGAAATATTCAGGCAAGAAAAGAATTAAACAGAGAGCCTCTCCGTCTCAGAAACAAATATTGGGAAGGTGTTTTGCTTTCGCTGTGAGCATCATCTTTGATTTAAAAGGGTTAAGTCAAATATGGCTATTTCAGTTCACGTTCCCATTTCAAAATATTGCCCTTCGAATCTTTCTAGGCTAGGAGTTTGCTGAAAGGTATGGGGCTTGTTAAAGCCAGCTTTCCTTACTACCAGTAAGGAAAGTAAAGACCACTCGCCAGGCTGTGCCAACCGTAAGAATTGCCACCGTAGTCTCAAGTGTCATGGAGAAAAGGCTTGTACCATTAATTCTGCTGTTGCTAAGAATCCTTGAGCAAGAAGGACATGCTGTCTTTATTTGAGCCTCAGTTTCTCTTGTTTTACAAGTGAGGATTCTAATAATCTATCCAAAAAGGTGTTCTACTCTTAAATTGGATTTGAAACACACATGATAGTAAATATGTTTGTATTCTTAACAGTCTGGTTACAAGGACAGCGATGAGAAAACAAATACCCTGTTTAATTATTTAGGTCAGTGACTTCCCAAGTTTCCTTAGTTTTGACATGGACCAAACTATCGTATATCTGGAATATACAAAAGTTTTAGGAAATGACACCTTCATAAGTGGTAAGTGTGATGCCTTAACATAGGTTCTGTTCTATTTTTTATTTTTTATAAGAACATGGTGGTTGTGATCGCTACATTAGTTCCAGGAGTCACTGATGGGTCATGGTCTGCAGTGTAAGAAACATTGCTTTGGGTCATGCATGTGGCAAATTACATTATGAAGGTAGAGGAAAACCGGCAGAGCATCACAGTTGGGTTTTGCTTGTTCTGGAAAGTCTGCAGAAAAAATTGTTTCTCTCCTACTTCCTCTTCACTTCTTTACTTCAGCACCCATCTCGTTGACTGACATAGTGGGTTTTTTGGTTTTTTTTTTCAGAGACAGGATCTTGCTCTGTTGCCCAGGCTGGAGTGCAGTGGTGCCATCATAGCTCACTGCAGCCCCACCTTTTGAGCTCAAGCGATCCTCCCACCTCAGCCTCCCGAGTGGCTAGGGACTACAGGTGCGAGCCACCACACCAGCCTCAACTGCCTTGGTGTTTCTGACTAGCCCTGAGGACAAGCACTCAGGGAGGCCTTGTCTATTGGGATCTGCCCTGTACAGTCCTAAAAGGGAAAAGATTCCCGAGGCAGACGTATTCCTCTGGTATGTGAATACTGTAGCTGGGATTGGGTAGAGCAAGGACTGAAGAAATTATTCTTTGCCAAGATTTGCCAATAAGGTCACATGCCCCAGGACGCTTGGGTGACCCTCGCTTCTCATTGTGTAAGTATCCCTAGAAAACTGTAGAGAACTGCAACGGAGCTTTTCATGGGTATTCCTCGGAACATTATTTCTCCACCTCCCCACACCCTGAGCAAACCAGCAATCTCCAAATTAGCAGTGAGGAACGCCTGCAGTTCTTGCAGTAAGGATGGAGGGGAACCCATCCACGGACTGCATTTCTGCTCTTACTCTTGCTCCGCCTTCCTCTTAAAAACATAACTGATCGGGGTGAAATTTTATTGCTCCTTTAAGAGAAGCTTCACTGTAAAGGATGGTATAGTAGTGTTGCCTCTGCCATCACCCCCACCTCAGGCATTTTCTGGTACCTGTTCCCAGATTTTACACAAACCAGGCGGATTCACGCCGGTGCCAATGTCAGTGGCCGCATCCCTCCGGCCGCATGGGGGAGCCAGAGCTTAGCAGGTGACCCGACCTGGGCTTGAGCCCTTCGTGGGATTTTCACAATGCAGCAGGGAGAAGGGAAGCCCTTTCTTTCCTCTGGGGTCTTTAAGCTGTAATAAAAATGTGAGTGGAGTTGATATCTCCCACTGCATAGGAAGCTTTCTGAAGCAGAAGAAAATGAGACTAGTATATTGAGAGCAAAGAGTCAAGAGTTAGAGTTCTGATGGCGTGTGTACCTGGATGCAGGGGCCCTTGAGGCTGGATCCCGCCCCGCTTTTTGTTTTGCCTAGGCTGGTTTCAAATGGGCTGGTAGAACTTGCAACAGAAAGAGCTCCGACTGCGGGAGCCACAGTCCTCCTGGAGTTCTAGAAGTTGCTTCTCCGGTCACACAGAGAGCAAACAAAATAGTCAAGGGAGACTATCATCCACCTTAGAGCTTGCTGGAGAAGTAAGGCAGCTTAAAATGGATGTCTGGTTATGCCCTTTTACTTAAACTAAGTTCCTTTTTTGGTAGCATGAGTTTGATAATTTTTTAATTTTTATTTTTCGTAGGATAGTTGTGAGGCTCAGCAATTCAAAATGTATAAAAAGGACAAAAACGACCAGGCGCGGTGGCTCACACCTGTAATCCTAGCACTTTGGGAGGGCAAGGTGGGCGTATCACCTGAGGTCGGGAGTTCGAGACCAGCCTGACCAACATGGAGAAACCCTGTCTCTACTGAAAATACAAAGTTAGCCAGGCGTGGTGGCGGGTGCCTGTAATCCCAACTACTTGAGAGACTGAGGCAGAAGAATCACTTGAACCCGGGAGGCGAGGTTGCGGTGAGCCGAGATGGTGCCATTGCACTCCAGCCTGGGCAATAAGAGTGAAACTATGTCTCAAAAAAAAAAAAAAAAAAAAAAAGACAAAAACGTAAGTGTATGGTATAATTGTGAGGTGTTAGTTGATGGCAAATAAGTGTTTTCTTTTCCCTTCTCCATACATGCTGAGATGATGTTGTCCTTCAAATATGAAGATAATTATACAAGATAATGCCACTTGAAGGGAAAAATTTCCAGGAACAGTAGCTAATGTCTACTGAGTGCTAACTATGTATCAAGTAATTTTTACTTGCATTACTTTATTTCATCTTTATGATAATTACATGCTACTTTTATAAGGTAGAGAACAGAGTTGAGGCTAACAGCAGTGGTTTTCAGTCCAGGGCAATTCCCCAGCTCCACACCCTTAGGGGACATTTGGCAATGTCTGAAGATGCTTTTAATTCTCACGACAGGGGGGATGGGGGAATGCTACTGTTATATAGTGGGTAGAGGCTGGGGATACTGCTAAACATCTTCCAAAGCACAGGCAGCCCGCACAACAAATAATTATCTGGCCCCAAATGTCAATAGTGCTGAGGCTGAGAAACCCTGACTTGCAGAGAACTCAGCCACCCTGGCTAAGGAATTCACACTCTTTTTTTTTTTTTTTTTTTTGAGACAGGCTAGAGTGCAGTGGGGCAATCACAGCTCACTGCAGCCTCAATCTCCTGGCTCAAGGGGTTCTTCCACCTTAGTCTCCTGAGTAGCTGGGGCCACAGGCATGCCTCACCATGCCCAGCTAATTAAAAAAATTATTTGTAAGAAGGAAGTCTCACTGTGTTGGTCAGGCTGGTCTCAAACTCCAGGACTCAAGTGATCCTCCTGCCTCAGCCTCCCAAAGTGCTGGGATTACAGGCATGTGCTACTGCACCCAGCCTCACACTTTTTTTTTTCTTTTTTTCCATTTGGGAAGTCATTTCAAAGCTGATTTATTAAAAGAATATCATGCTTTTTCCACTTGGGGCTGGGGCCAGCATTTAGCAAAATTCAGAAAGGAGACATTTTTTTCTTTGCTATTCCTCCTCTTGTTCCTTTTTAATGCTCTGTTCTGGAGTGGTCTCCTCTGTCCCTAACTTATGGTTCTACAGCCTTGGTACTTAGGAGAATAGATCCCACCTCATTCCTTCTATCCTACTTCCAAGTGCCCTTAAAATGTACTCATCCATCTCCCAGCACTTAGGGAATCTGAAAAAATAATCCATGCTCCCAGGAGAAGGCTACAGGGCTTTGTGTCCTTTTACCTTCTTAGCCGAGCCTCCCAGTAAAATAATAATAATGCCTCCAAGCAGACAGGATCTAAATTATCAGCTAAATGTTCAGTCTTAAATGAGGAGACTGATGCCATCACAAACAGCTTGGTGGGGGCTTGGAGGTGGTATTTTGGGACAGAAAGAGAGAAACGTACGCTTTTAACCCCTATGCTATACTGTCTCCACTGAGGGCGCAAACACAGACACACACACTTTCACTCGCACCCACATATGCACACACATACACACACCACAGGTGCACACACACCCTGAAGGTGGGTTCAGGTGTTCAGCATTATTGTTCTTCCAGTTTCTCAGATTCTAGGATGCTGCTAACAAAAGCATGGCAGGGACTGGTTTTTGTTCCATGAATCCAGGGGAGGGGCCTGTATGACTGCCCTAAGGCTTCACCTTGCGGGAGCCGCAGTCAACAAAGCAGGCTGAGGATTTAACGTTTTACCATCCTTGTGCAGTGCAAGAGAAGCTTGTCAGCCTAGGATGTCTCTTAAAGTCTGTGCCACAGACCTTGTTCCAGATGAGGACAGGTGTCGGGATTCCGATGACCTCACAGCTCAAGTACACCTGGGCACCAGTGACATTCCAGATGTCCTTGGGGGGCGTCACTATGGAAGGACCTGCAGGAGAGGGCACAAAGCCAAAGTCATCTTTTAAACAGTCCTTCACATGAGTCAGCATCTTAGGGAGAAAATAATAATTTTGTTTATGAGGCCATCCCCTTGATGGATTATCTGAAGCAAATTTCAAAGACCACACTGGCTTCCTCCTGCCACCAACATGATTTTAAGGTCCACTTTGGGAATGCATAAATCTAAACAAACAAAAACAATTAGGAAGAAAAATGTGTTATTAAAATTTTCTTCTTCCCCAGACCATGCTTAAATGAGTGCTAATTTACCAGCTGTTTTTTTATTATCTGGGACTTTTCCAGTAGTAATAAAATTTTAGTTCCAAAATGTTCAATGTTTTTCTTCTTTTGTTTACCACTATTTCTATTTTGGGTTGGAAAGGCAACAAGCAACCGCTCCATGGGTAATGAAGAAAAAAAATCTAAGAGAATATTTGAAAATGTGCTAAGCACCCAGACAAGATGGAAGTCTCTGCCTCAAGAAGCTTAGGATCTAAGGTTGAAAAGGGTGATGAGGCAGGGAAGAAAAGAAACATGTGGAGTGCTGTGTGCGTCAGGGGATTGGAAGGGACATCTTTATTTTTAATTTAATTTTATTATTATTTTTTTGATACAGAATCTCATTCTGCCACCCAGGCTGGAGCGCAGTGGCTTGATCATAGCTCACTGCAGCCTCAAACTCCTGGTCTCCAGCGATCCTCCCACCCCAGCCTCCCGAGTAGCTGGGACTATAGGCGTGCACCACCATGTCAGTTAATTTTTATTTTTTATTTTTGTAGAGACGGGGTCTTGCTATGTTGCCCAGGCTGGTCCCGAATTCCTGGCTTCAAGTAATTCTCCTGCCTCAGCCTCCCCAACTGCTGGGATTACAGGTGTGAGCCACCATGCCTGGCCAGGAGGCACCTTTGAACAGAAGAGGCCCGGGTGTCGAGGAAGGTGGTACAGGGGTCCTTCTTCCAGTGTGCTCAGGAGAGGCAGCTGGTAAGAAGGAAGAAGAGTGACTGATCTATTGGGTGTGACCAGGGTCCCCAAGGAGAGGGCCCTTTCCCAGCGTTCTCAGTGTCCAGGTCCCTGGCAGGAGGCATTGGCAAGTGGGGGGCACCCTCAAGCCACGGCCTAAATAGAGTCAGCAGGTATGGGGCCACTGAGAGAGGCCAGAATGATGCTTCTCCATTCCCCCAATTAGGGAACACACCCCCCACCTTCTGTATCATGGCACCCTCTGGAGAAGTTCCCTACTCAGAGTCAACACAAACCATGTGTATCCTTTTTGCTATGAAAGTGGTATGACTCTCTGGTCCTGGGTTAGCTAACTATGGCCTGTGGGCCAAATCTGGCCTGCCATCTGTTTTTGCATGGCTTATGAGCTAAGAATGGTGTTTGGATTTTTGTTTTTTTAAATTAAGAAAAATTTTATTTTTTTGAGACAGAACCTTACTCTGTTGCTCAGGCTGGAGTGCAGTGGCATGATCTTGGCTCACGGCAACCTCCGCCTCCCGGGTTCAAGCTCAAGCAATTCCCATGACTCAGTCTCCCAAGTAGCTAGGACTACAAGTGCATGCCCAGCTAATTTTTGTGTTTTCAGTAGAAACAGCATTTTGCCACGTTGGCCAGGCTGGTCTCGAACCCCTGAGCTCAAGCGATCCCCCCACCTTGGCCTCCCAAAGTGTTGGGATTACAGGCGTGAGCCACTATGCCCGGCCTGCAGTTTCAAATGGTTGAAAAAAAATTAAAAGATGGATATTTCATGACGTGTGAAAATTGTAAAGGAAATGTCCATAAAATAAAGTTCTGTTGGAACACAGCCACACTTATTTGTTTCCTGTGGTCTCTGGCTGCTAGAGCAGTTGTGGCTGAGACTGTATGGCTAAAATAGTCACTGTCACTGGCCTTTTATAAAGAAATTTGCTGATTCCTGCTCTAATCAACTGAGGGAGACTGATGCCTAAATAAGACATTATGGGAAAGTCTCAGGACTTCAATCCTTTACACATTTTCCAGAGCTGATGCAAGTAACCCCCTGGGTGATTTCTGGTTTGGCTCTGAAACACAAAACTGTGGAAGCCAACAGATACCGAGAGAGCGGGTGCTTGCTGACTGCGCCTGTCCCCTGACGGCCTGGCTTCCCGGCATCTGCAATAGAGATGTGAACACCAACTTTTTAGTTACTGGTAATTAGTATGTCACTTCTGCTAATTCTGAATGCCAGGGTTCAATCACCAGGGGCCTTCAGAAAGACTTGGGACCGTCCGCAGAGGAGGGTCATGGAGCTGGCAGTCTGGGATCCTCATGTGGGGCAGTGTGAGACTCCAGAACCTAACCTGGCTCTTATTCCATGCTTAGCATGGTTTCTTGAATGAATAAATTAATGATCCCTTCTGAATTTTAAATCTCTGCTGACTTGGGTCTCCTATCCTAGCAAAGTACAAACTGCAGGGTCATCTTGCATCAGAGTCCTGGGAAAGGGACAACCTCCCCTTTAGGACTGGAAAGTTTTCTGGCATAATCAGCATTCAAAGGACATAAAGTCTCCCCTTCTGCAACAGGCTATTTCCAGCACAATATTAATTTCTTGAAACAGAAAGGAAATGACCCCAGTGTGCAAGATTTTCCCACTCATCTAAAGCATTAGAAGCTGATTTTTTTTAATCTCATGGGATATTTTTATTTTTGTAGGAATGTGCAAAACAATCAAAAGTTTGGAAAGCTCTAAATACATTTCATGCTTCCTTCCCTCCAAACCATAGGTCTGAATAGGAAGCATATATCCTGGCCAGGGGGCTTGGCTCTTCTGCTGCAAACATGAATGTGGTGAGCACAGTGGTGCAGTATTTACGTTTCTGGCTCTGTCTCAGACATTTCCTAGTCTGGATGCAGCAATACAGAACCCTGCAAAGGGCTGGGCCTCACCCTATCCCGGGCTTCCTCTAGGGCTATGGGACCCCAAGGGTTTGGACACCACAGAGCCGGATCTGGCTGGGCTTTGAACTGCCTTCGCCCACCTCTCTGATGGCCCTCATGCTGCTCTGTTCTCCTTCCCACACACAGACTTGGCAGGAGGACTTCAAAGCTCAGGGGATCTCAAAGGATTGTTCTGAGAAGAGCATACCAGTTTTCAGAGATTTGAGGGGGAGCTCGGGAACAAAGCTGCTTCTCTCATATCCAAACCACACAAGGAATGCAAGACAATTTTATTGTGAGGATCTGAGGGCCTCAGCCCTGCCAAAACCTACTTACTTTAACCTGTGTCCATCTCCCTATTGCCAATACAGGTAGCAGGGTCATCGGTCTTGGGCAGGGGGCAGATTCTGGAGTGCTAATGGGCAAGTTCCAGCCTGATTTTCTGCCAGAGATCTTGAAGACATGCTATGGATTTTTCCCATGGGATTTTAAAACAGATGTTCTTAGTTTTAGTATAGTCCAATTTATCAAGTTTTCTTTTCTGTGGTTAGTGCTTTTCGTGTCCTGTTTAAGAAAATTTTTGCCTAGCCCAAGGCTATGAAGATCTCCTGTTTTCTTCTACAAGCTTTATGGTTTTACTTTTCACATTTAAGTTTTTGCTCCATCTTGAATTAATTTTTGTGTGTGCTATGAGGCAGAGGTCAAGTTTCATTTTTCCTCCCCTAAAAGGACATCCAATTGCTTCAGCACCATTTGTTGAAAAGACCATCTTTTTCCTAATGAATCATAATAATGCCTTTGTGGAAATCTGTAAGACCCACTGTATATGTGTGCGTCTATTTCTGGACTCTCTGTTCTTTTCCACTGGTCTATGTGTCTATCTTTGCACCAATAACTATGGCATAATTTAGAAATTAATTGTACTAAAGTTGAAGCACTAAATAGAGGGCAGATCTAATATATCTGTTCCCCCCCAATCATCTTACTATTCCAAGAAGCAGAACACTCTAGGACAAGTAAGAATTCTTTTTTTATTTTTATTTTTGTAGAGACAGAGTCTTGCTATGTTGACTAGGCTGGTCTCAAACTCGTGGGCTCAAGTAATCCTCTTACTTCAGCCTCCCAAAGTACTGGGATTATGGGTGTTAGCAACAGTGCCCAGCCATGAATTCTTTAAAAATACCTGAACCCAGGAATACTTTGAATGACAGCCATCGTCAGGGGATTCAATATTAGGACAAATCATATCATGGGTTCCTATTTCTCTCTCCCAATGCTTGGAATACCTTAGGTAAACAGGCTGAGTCAACATTTGGATTATTCTAAGAATGTAAATGATTTTGTCAATCCTGCCACCAGGCTATTTCTAGAATTCTACAAGACTTCCATACCACAAAAATCTATAATATCCACTGACTCCTGCTGGGGTGATGTAGTGGAAGGGCAGAGGAGGGGCTGTTAGGACCAGTTTGCTGCACAACATTTACAAAAACCTTTGACTATTTCAAATATCCTTGAACAAATGCTGGGTTTACTAACACAATGAAAAGTTTAACAAACAATACGTAAACTGGAAAGTGCTAAGAAATAAGGCTACAGAACGGCCTTTTGGTTTTGAGATGCAGTCTCTTGCAAAGGAAAGTCACATCAATAAATTATTAGTGTAATATTCAAGGGACCAAACAGACCTCTTAGAGTACATGGAGGCGGGTTGGCCTCCACGTGACTTCCTGTGTTGGAAGAATCTGTAGGGATTCAACATTCTTTCCAGTACTTTCTTCAGAGCTGATACCCAGTAGGATACCTATTTACTAAGCTCTGATTGGTTCTTTACCACTTACCTGGTCTGGAAATTCCCCCAGAATATGCAGAGGGAATGGAAAAACTCCTTTTTTTTTTTTTTAGATGGAGTTTTGCACTTGTTGCCCAGGGTGCAATGGTGTGATCTCGGCTCACTGCAACCTCTGCCTCGTGGGTTCAAGCGATCCTCCTGCCTCAGCCTCCCAAGTAGCTGGAATTACAGGTGCTCGCCACCATGCCTGGCTAATTTTTGTATTTTTAGTAGAGATGGGGTTTCACCATGTTGGCCAGGCTGGTCTTGAACCCCTGACCTCAGGTGATCTGCCCACCTCAGTCTCCCAAAGTGCTGGGATTACAGGTGTGAGCCACTGCACGCGACCAAAATCTCTTGATAAAAGCAAATTACAGAAGTTTTAGAGAAAGGTAAATGAAGATACATGGTGAGAAAGAATAAGCAAGCGACTTAATGGTGACCCACAGGGACACCAAGAGGACAAGTCTTGTATAGAAGAGAAGAGATGCTGAAAATGTTTTCGGTGGATACAATGCCAGCCCCAACAATGCTGCACTCTCCTCCCCGACTCTCAAGAACTATCATCCCACACATTCCATTGATCAGCAATTTCACTGCCAACAATCATCTTGAATTGCAGGTCTGTCCTGCAATTCAATCCCTGACAGTTCTGTTCTACCTCAGGAGAGCACTGTACTCAATGACTCTGTACCAAATAACTTCTAACTCTTTCCACTCTACCTTTCTTCCAAGAAGGGCAAGGCAGATCGAGAATTTATTTCTGTTTTTAAGAATAAAGAAATTTTTAGGTCACTCTGAGCTAATTTTCTCATACAGAAAGCTCAAAATCAGTCCTCAAGGCCAGGTCAAGGGTAATAACAACATTATCATCTAACTCATACTCAGTGTTTGGATTCCGTTTAAAACAGGTCACAGAATTCTTAAATGTATAGGGACAAACATCAGGATAGGTCCAATTATTTATTTATCCTTGCCCTTGTTCCATTAAGAGCTCCAGACTGCTCAAACATCTGTCTAGCAAACATCCTGTTCATAGAATAAATGACTGTGCGCTGCCTCCCTCTGCCTTGTACCCACCCTCGGCAACTCCAGAAAGCAACCAAGTCATCTGCAGTGCTGCCTGATGTAAAGAGATGTCCACCCAAGGTGGACTACCTACATTTTTCTATCCAGATGACTGTACCCAAACCAGGCTACCCCACTTTCCTTTTACCTTACACACTCAATTAATTCTCATTCAATCTCTTTAGATCCTTCTCAACCCTCTAAATTCATTTTCTTGCCTTCCCTATTTTTTATAACTCTCGCTCAGTAACTTTAGAGTGTCTCTTCCTTTTGATCATTCCTTAGAGGGTCTCTTCTTTTTGAACATTCCTTGAAGGGAAAGAAGGGAGAGAGGATGATATGGTTTGACTGTGTCCCCACCCAAATCTCAAATTGTAGCTCCCATAATTCCCATGTGTCATGGGTTGGGGGGTACGCGGTGGAAGGTAATTGAATCATGGGGACAGGTTTTTCCTGTGCTGTTCTCGTAATAGCGACTAAGTCTCATGAGATCTGATGGTTTCATAAAGGGCAGTTCCCCTGCACATGCTGTCCTGCCTGCTGCCATGTAAGATGTGACTTTGCTCCTCCTTCGCCTTCCACCATGATTGTGAGGCCTCCCCAGCCTCATGGAGCTGTGAGTCCATTAACCATCTTTTTCTTATAAGTTACTCAGTCTCGGGTATGTATTTATTAGCAGCATAAGAACAGTCTAATACAGAGGAGGTGAAGGAGAAGGAGAAGAAAGAAAAAATGAAGAAAGATAGCCAGATCCTGAAGGAAGTTATAGCAAGGAAGAAGAAAGTTCTAACCTTGGAAGAAAACAAAAATTCACTACTATGAAATACATCCTTGGAACAAAATTACATTTGTACTCCATAAGTTTATGCAAATAAAAAATAAACATTAAAAATAAAGTAAATTAAAATTCAATTTAATGAATCATATCACCTTAAAAGTACTTAGAAGTCTCCTGCAGAATCTCCACCTAAGTCTGCATACTCCTCCTTTGCTACATTTTTTCTTTTTAGAGACTGGGTCTTCTCTGTCACTCAGGCTGGAGCACAGTGGTGCGAACATGGCTCACTGCAGCCTCAATCTCCTGGGCCCAAACAATCCTCCCACCTCAGCTTCCCAAATAGCTAGGACTGCAGGTGTGTGCCACCACGCCTGGCTAAATTTTGTATTTTTTTAGATATGGGGTCTTGCCATGTTGGCCAGGCTGGTCTTGAACTCCTGAGCTCAGGCAACCTGCCTGCCTCGGCCTCTCAAAGTGCTGGGATTATAGGTGTAAGTCACCATGCCTGGCTTCTCCTTTGCCCCCCTCCGCCCCCCTTTTTTTTTTTGAGACGGAGTCTTGCTCTGTCGCCCAGTGTGGAGTGCAGTGGTGCCATCTCGGCTCACTGCAAGCTCCACATCCTGGGCTCACGCCATTCTCCTGCCTCAGCCTCCCAAGTAGCTGGGACTACAGGCATCCACCACCACTCCCGGCTAACTTTTTGTATTTTTAGTAGAGACGGGGTGACCGTGTTACCCAGGATGGTCTCGATCTCCTGACCTCGTGATCCACCTGCCTCGGCCTCCCAAAGTACTGGGATTACAGGAGTGAGCAACAGCACCCGGCCTCCTTTGCCACTTTTAATTAAGTTCTAGACAAAGGACTCACAGACTACCAGATTATTTTAAGAATATTTGATTATAATCTAGAAATAGGTATGTTCTGAAAAAGTACTACTGATACAGAAAAGGTAGTTTTATAGATGGATGGATTTAAATTTGGAGTATTATGAGTTGGTTCAGAAGAATTTAAGAAAGGCAGTTCTCACAAAACACACAAATATCATGAGGAAAAGACTTTGACATGAAATTAATTTTGAATTTGACCAGCAATTCATTCCAGCTGATTTTATATAAAGTCTTGGTAGTGAGGACAGAGTTAAAATGTGTTATCCTATAAAAAGCACAGCAGGAACAATATTGAAGAAGTATGTGAACAATTTCCTAGTCCCTTACAGAGCACAAAGCACTCCCCAGCCATGACCTGAGATGTCCTCATGATGTTACTATTTAAAAAAAAGAGACAAAAGCATTCTTGGGGACAGAACACTTGGCTCTGAATCCTTGTCTACAATTTATAGCCAAAAGACCTTGGACAAGCCACTTAACCACTTTTACAAGATGAAGAAACTAGGAAGTGTCTAAGAATATCCTCTTTGGGTTTGGAAGTAAGTGAACCTATCATGAATGTGTCCTAGAGCTGGGACATAGATGTCAAAGATGCTTTGACATTTATGAAGTTCTGAAGTCTCACTGTCTGGGTCTGGAGCTCTCATTCTCTGCAAATCAGTTCAATGCATTTCCTCACCTACCTAAACACGATGTATGTGACTCATAACATGGTTCACTTCCTCAGGGATTAAAAAAATAGAGCTTATAAAGGTATCACCCTTTACCCAGTTAGCCAATTTTTTTTTCATCTGAAAGAGCTGTGTAGAAGATATTAGGAGAAGTCATGTTTGAAAGCTAAATATACTTGAATTAAGCCTGGGAAATGGTCAAAAGTCAAATTACCCCCAATAATCATTTCTGTCCTCCAATATCATATTGTACTATATATTTTTTGCTTCGTTGCTTTCTCATTTGCCCATCATCTCTTCCATTTTTACCAATTCACTCTTCTATGTCATTTCTACCCAAACTCACTGTCTGCTCCCAGCAGTCCTGCTCACCCACCATTACATGTTCATTACCCCTTCCAGCACCTTTGCTTATGCTGATGCCCTTACCTACTTGGAATATCTTCCCTCCTCTTATTTCTTATCACACTTTATTTGACATTCTAAGACTGAAGTTTCATTTCTCTTTGACATTTTTTGCGGCCTGACAGCTTCAGGCTCCCCCTTATTTCTTCTCTAAAATCCTGTTGGTTTCGGTAAGTTCCACAGAGTGTAGTGCATCACTGTTTTCTAATGCTTTCCTTAGCTGGCCTAATTGAGGATGCCAGCATCCTGTCGGAATCAGAACAGAACCAGGAACTACGGAATCAAAAGATCTTCATGTTCATTGGAAGGAGACAGAGCTCAGGCTGTGTGAAGTGGGTATAGGGCAGCAGTAACTTCAGAACAACATAACATGATTAGCCAAACAGAAGTGAAAAGATAGCCACTGTCTTGAAAATGCACCAGTGTACACATGGCCAAAAGCGTACACCTCACCAAAGTGGTGTTATAACTATCTTATTTATCAGCTGGCAGATTATTAATCATGATTTTCTTTAATCTTTCACTTGACTTTCTCTTGCCATAAGCAGTGTTTCTTGGCTACTAACCACTCACCAACCAATTAGTATATGACCAGGAGATGCAAATTAATTTGAATATACATCACTTGAAGCAAATCCCACCGAGATGGGTAGGTCTGCTGGAAGAAAATGATTATCAATTATCCTCACACCAAAATCATGCTGGGTTATACTATTCACATTATGGTTCTCACTGAACATTTATTTTATTTTTATTTAAGTTTTTTTTTTTTTTTTTGAGACAGAGTTTCGCTCTTTCGCTCAGGCAGGAGTGAAGTTGTGCAATCTCGGCTCACTGCAACCTCTGCCCTGTGGGTTCAAGCGATTCTCCTGCCTCATCCTCCTGAGTAGCTGGGATTACAGGCAGCCATCACCATGCCCGGCTGATTTTTGTATTTTTAGTAGAGATGGGGTTTCACCATGTTGGCCAGGCTGGTCTCGAACTCCTGACCTCAGGTGATCCACCTGCCTCAGCCTCCCAAAGAGCTAGGATTAAAGGCATAAGCCACTGCACCTGGCTTTTCAAAAGTTTTTATAGACAGAGTCTTGCTCTGTCACTCAGGCAGGAGTGCAATGGTGCTACGATCATAGCTCACTGCAGACTCCAAACTCCTAGTCTCATGGGTCCTTCTGCCTCAGCCTCCCAAGGAGCTAGGACTACAGGCAAGTGCAACCATGCCCGGCTAATTAAAAAAGAATTTTTTTTTTTTTTTTGTAGAGACAGGGTCTTGCTTTGTTGCCCAGGCTGGTCTCGAACCCTTGGCTTCAAGTGATCCTCCCTCCTCGGCCTCTCAAAGTGCTGGGGTTACAGGCATGAGCCACTGTTCATGGCCTCTTGCTGAGTACATGCTAACATGGCTAAGACATTTGAGTATGGGGACTTCTCCGAGTTATGATAGATTTGCAAACAACACTCACCTTGACTCTTGATGCTGGGTCCTGAAAATAGTGTGTGCATTAATACCAAATAAGGGGAAAATCAGGGTTTAAGAAGGACCTCAGATACCACATATGGAGATAGAGAGTTCAGACAACTTGGCAAAAATCCCTAGATTGAGATGAGATTCTGATAACACATTAAAGGGAACAGGAGCACACAAAAGTACAAAACGGGAAAAGAATAGTAGGAAGGCACTATGGCCAAGATGGGGAAGGGGATGAAACAAGTGGAAGCTTCCTGATATTAAATAAGGGGAAGCAGTAACTGTATGGCTAATTAAAGAGCAGAGCCATCTGCCAAGGCAAGTCATTTAGGGAACTTCCAGAGGCGGGATGATGTAGCAGCTGAACCCTGGTATGGGAATCTAGCACACGGTCTCAGGGGTACTGGCTGAGGACAGCAGGGGAGGAGAAGAAAGTACAACAGCTTAAGCAGCATAGGCCAGATTTAATCTCAGGCTTTTAGTTTAAGGCAAATTCATCTAGTTATGGAAGCTACTGTTAGTCATTTCCACTTTAGTGTGAATGAAGAACCAATAGTTTATAATAATGGGACCCTGCCAAACACTGTTTAGGGCAAAAGTGTGTAAGAACTGCTTCCTCTTCTCTAAATATAATCTGTTGGGGTGGTGTTGGGGAGGCTTAGCGCATTAAGAGTAAGAACAAAATGCTGGGAGGTAATAGACTATAGTGACTTTGGAGCGTGGACTTGGAATCAGGAATTCTGCTCTACCACTCCTGAGTTATGCAACATTGCACAAGTTATTTCACTTCCCCTGCTTTATTCATCTGTGAAATGGAATGATAGTATCCCAGTCATTAGACCATCAAAAGGATCAAACAAGATACAGCCATTAGCACAGTACCTGGCATGGGGTAAACATTCAGTAAGTATGAGCTGTTGCTTTTCATTTCAGAAATTAGACTTTCATCAAGGAAGGTGAAAGACAGGGACCTGCCTGAGGAGAGGCAGGAAAACGCTGGCCTGCCTTGAATAGTGAGCATGCGGGCCAGCTCGGGAAGAGGATTCGTGTGTGGTGTAGGGCACAGCAGAAAGCAGATGAGGTGGGGCCTCACCCTCCAATGTGTCTCTGAAAGTGGGAGTGTCATGATTCAAGTGGCATTTCCCAAGATGATTTTGGAGGTCTCCGCATCAGGATGGGACATGGCGGGGATTAAGGCTCTAACTCAAGGTCGCAGCAATGAGAAGACAGAGAAAAGGGGAAGACTTGGGGGATTATTCAGGAAGAACTAACACTACCCAGTAACTGACTGGATGTAGGAAAGAGAGGCATGATTTAAAGGCTGTGAGCCTCAAAGGTTCCAGGAGGCTGCCGCACCATGAACAGAAGCAGGGGTGTCAGTCTGAGGAAGGTGCTGGATTGAAGAAGGGGAAAGGGTGGACTTGGGTTTAAATTTGCTGAATTTCAGGTATCACCTGGGCCATGAGGAGGCACTGAACCCCAGTGGGGAGACCAGAAGTGCCAAGGCAAGCACTGTCTAGCTGACATTTTAGCCCTGGGAAGGCTATGTGGGGTCCTTTGGGTGGAAGGAAGACAGATTTGGCACTCCCTCTCACTAGTTTCTCCAGAGGGAGTTCCATCAGCTCACTGCTGACCACCTGGCCCGTCCCCACCCCACCCCAGGTAAAGCAGATAAGTGAATAGCACGGCCTTGCTTAGCTTCCAGGCACGTATTTGCAGGGCCAGTCCATCTAAGAGCAGACCATTCAATACAATGCTGCCCTGGTGACCGCGTGCCCAGGTCTTGTGAGTTGAGTTCCTGGCTGATTGCTAGTTACCTCTGGATTAATAAGACACCTCGTTTTGGGTCCAATCTTTGATGCTGAGAATCTTCGTAGGGAGCATGAAGTCTGTTTTTCTCAAGTGGACATAGTACTCAAATATCTCACTACGATGACTGTCAATCTTGTGATATCTCACAATTATCACTGTAATTTTGAATTGACCACAGAACATGCACAGAAAGTTGCTTCTTGCAATGTGTTGGTTGCTTGCAAACAAATCTCTTATTTGATGATGCTTTCTTTTCTATCTTTTTTTTTTTTTTTGAAATGAAGTCTTACTCTGTCGCCCAGGCTGGAGTGCAGTGGTACAATCTCGGCTCACTGCAGCCCCTGCCTCCCAGGTTCAAGCAGTTCTCCTGCCTCAGCCTCCAGAGTAGCTGATACTACAGGCACACACCATCACACCTGGCTAATTTTTGTAATTTTAGCAGTGATGGAGTTTCACCATGTTGATCAGGCTGATCTCGAACTCCTGACCTCAGGTGATCTGCCCGCTTCGGGCTCCCAGGGTGCTGGGATTATAGGCGTGAGCCACCGCACCTGGCCCTTGATGATGTTTTCTTATTCTTGTCCCCTTCCTTGTATGGGTCTAGCATTAAAAAAAAGTGGGGTACTGACAAAGAGTCTGACTCCAGGGTGTGGTTCTTGCCCATGGTGGTTCTGGTACATGTGGTCTGGTGTCATTCTTGAAGGGACCCTGCTACTGCCATGAAGCAAATCCATGAAGGACTTGAAACCATGTTCAGGTGTGCAAGATGGTGAGCTCGCTCTGGTAACCATGTGATAGATGAGGTAACATGGGGCTGTGCCAACAACATTGCCCAGGGATGAGCTAACGTATTCAGCAGAGCTCCCCTAGGAAGCTGGAATACCTACACTATCATCCTAATACCAGACTGGCTGAGGTCCACACAAGTTGAATCAGCAGGCTAGGTTTTGAATTGGTTTGAGGACCTGGAAGAACTGACTTTATAGAGAGTGCTTTCCCGAGACGAAACTCCCTAGTGATGTTAACATAGCCTTGGAAACACATTTTTTCCACATCTCATGGGCCTGTCCTGTCTGGACTATGACTCACCTTAAATACAAGATATTAAATGTTTTTGCTAGCGCTTTCTTATTCTGCAAGCACTGAATTGGGTGGGAAGTTCCCATAGGAAACTTATTGCTAACCACGTGGATGGTCACACCTGATTCTGGGATTCCTAGAAGCCTAGATAGTGAGTTTCCCTAGGAAATTTCTCCTTCTTTTCTTGGGATGAGATCTTGTTACATTGCCCAGGTTGGTCTTGGACTCCCAGGAGTCCAAGCTCAAGCCATCCTCCTGCCTCAGCCTCCTGAGTGGCTGAGACTACAGGTGAGCAACCACCAAGCCTGGCTAGGACACTTCATCTTGGAGTCCCTGCCCACTCTCAGGCCCCTACATACTAACCCAGTGCCTGGTATCCTCAGACATCAGGAAGGGTTTCTTGAACTACCTGTAAGGGAGGCTCACCCATCTTTAAAGCTTAGTCTCTATCCGTAGGCCCTGCGCTGACTAACAAGAATTCTAAGCAATCTGCTTAGAAATAGATGTGCTTGGCTGGGCACGGGGTGGCTCATGCCCGTAATCCCAGCACTTTGGGAGGCCAAGGTGGGCAGATCACGAGGTCAGGAGATCGAGACCATCCTGGCTAACATGGTGAAAACCCGTCTCTACTAAAAATACAAAAAATTAGTCAGGCTAATTTTGGTAGCACGTGCCTGTAGTCCCAGCTACTTGGAAGGCTGAGGCAGAAGAATTGTTTGAACCTGGGAGGCGGAGGTTGCAGTGCACCAAGATCACACCACGGCACTCCAGCCTGGCGACAGAGCGAGGCTCTCTCTCACAAAAAAAAAAAAAAAAAAAAAAAAAAGAAGAAGAAATAGATGTGCCCCTGGGGAAGAGGATGTAAGAGATTCCCAAGTGATCTTCTACTTCAGGAGAGCTGGACTTGCTAAACCTCCTCCTGAAAACATTTTGCGACGCTGAAGGCCAAGGCCTGAACTCCCTGGGAGGATGCTACAATGGGGCCAGTTCTGCTGTTCCCTGTACACTCGGACAACCAAGGAGGACCAGGAGACTTAACACCTTGGGTCTTCAGTAGAAGACTAAAGTTCTTCAGCTCCCTGAGAACCAGACACGTGTTTAGCACCACTCTGCCCAAGGAAAAGATTCACACTTTAGAAATCCCAGCAAATCCTTCAGGCGAGGCTGACGGCACTGGAAAGTGCCTGTGGGGTCCGACAGTGCAGTATAGGGTGACCCTCTTAGACCAGGAGCTACCAAGCAGAGGTTTATTCAGTCTCCAGAAGGCTATGCAGGTTGGAAAAGATTTCATAGCGGGGCATCTGCAGAAATAGGCAGCAGACACGCAGAGCCTCAGCCACCGGGTACTGGCCTCTAGGAAGGATTCTGTCCTGCAGGATCTTATCCAGTGGTTGCCAATCCTGGCTGCACACTGGACTCATCTGGGTGTGTCGAAAAAAATGCCCATTCCTGGGCTGCACTCCTAGTTTCTCACTGGTCTGGGCGTGGAGTCTGGTACAGGTATCTTAAAAAAAACTCCCTAGGTAGAAGTACTCAATTAAAACATTGTTTTTGAGTAGGAGATACTCAGATGATTAGGAAGACAGGAAGGTGGAAAGTTAGAAAGGAGGAGAGGGGGACAGATTAGAAGAAATTATGTTCGTAGGTCTTTTTGGGGAGTGAGAGGCCAAGTACTACTTGGGAGGTGCCAGTATTCACGGAGAATTGAGAAAATCCAGTGGGCTGGTTCTGGGTGAAGGGTACAGACACCTGATAACACCAGCACCGCCACCACTTCAATCACGCGGGGGTGGACAGGGTCATCGCGGTTCTCCTGGACTGCTTTCCATTTTCATAAAATAGGGCAGTCATCTCCCACCTGCACCCTGTCCCTCTTCTGCCCTCCTCATTCCTGCCCTTGACTGTTCTGTATGGAGATGGGGCTCTGTGTCTGGAGTGCATGGGTCTTATCTAAAATCCCTCGAACTTGGGAGCCGCCCTTTGCTCATTTCTGGTCCGATTGCCTCTCTGTTAAGACATTCGGTTTGGCTTTAAGCGGGCAAGGAGGAGGTTGAATAAAGGGATCTCTGTGTGCGAATAGCCCCCTTCAGACTTCCATGGAGCAGAGCGCAGGGCGTGATGGCTGCTTGGCGGGCGTCTGGCGTTTGTACTTGCGTATGTTTTTACCCTCCAGGCCCCGGACTCCCATTGTCACAGCCCAGCCACCGTGACTCCCTGGCAGACAACCCCAGACGTTAGCCAGCCGCGCATAACTGAGCTCCTCCTGCTCTTTCTCAGTGTTTTCCTCTTCTCCAGCTTGGCCCCTCTGGTCATTTTCTGAGCCGTTTTGTGATGTCTAGAGACTGAAAAGCTGTCTGTTATCTATCCCATCCTTTGCTCATGCATTCTTTGCTGAGTGTTCTCAGATTTTCTCTCAGCTTCCTAGCAGGATTTCGTGTTTCTTCTCCCATTTTTGGTATTTTCTCTAGTGTCGTCCCTAAGGCTGAACCTGGAATAGAATGCTCCTCTTACGCTAGTGTAGGGCTAGTTCTTCTCGTGTGTGTGTCTTGGGTACTTAGGATAAGTATTACTGTGTGTTTGAGTTCAGCTACAAGACAATTTTTCTGAGTGCTAAGAGGAATTGAGAAGGTGCTAGATGTGGGTGCAGTAAACAGTCTGGGCCAGGAACAGCCAGACTGTTCAAGTGAGGCTCAAAAGTGCCAAATAGCACTGCTCTGAAATCAGGGAAATGGGGATGTCTCTCTGATCACAGGAGAGGAGGACCTGCCTGGTGAGAACTGGAAGGCTTTGCATAAGGAATTTACCATTTAGCAAGGCAAGTCACCCTTGCTTTTATCAGGCTGGGGGACAGAGGAGTCCATCTGGCTGGGTGTGAGCTGTGAGAAATGGGAACAAGGTGAAGCAAAGCTATGCCAATGCACGTGGGACATGTTACCTCACAGAAGGAGATTGCAGTGGCATGGAAATACTCTTTTCTGCTCTTATTGGCATTTTTCACATCAGAAATCTCTGCATTGGCACTTTGGCTAATTTTAGGCAGTGATTATTTTTCTTTAATTAATGGTGCTTTCTTTTTTTGAGTTTTGTTTTTTATTTCACTTGAATTATTAGTTCCCTAACAGTGCAGGGAGACACAGAAAGGAGTTTTTCATGATTTCTATAGTAGATTTTTTTTTCTTTTTTTGAGACAGGCTCTCACTCTGTTATCCAGGATGGAGTATAGTAGCACGATCATGGCTCACTGCAGCTTCGTCCTTTAGGGCTCAAGAGATCCTCCCAACTCAGCCTTCCAAGTAGCTGGGACTACAGGCACATACCACCATCCCTGGCTAAGTTTTTAAAATTTGTTTTGTAGAGACAGGGTCTCCCTGTGTTGCCCAGGCTGGTCTCGAACTCCTGGGCTCAAGTGATCCCCCTGCCTTGGCCTCCCAAAGCGTTGGGATTACATGTGTGAGCCAGTGCACCCATCCGTAGATTGGGTTTTAAAGGTGAGGACATTATGCCTTTACAAGGACTGGGAGAAACTACATGCAAAGTATCCTAACGGTCACGTGAACCTGGGGCTTATTGTAGAACTTCCAAAGGCATTTCTTCTAGAGCAACCATCAGTTCTGGCCTTGGAGATTTTATTCTTTTGTTTATGTAAATGAAAATAATTTCCTCATAAAACAGGGGATTTCAGATTTGGCGCCTCTTCAGAGCAACCATACATAAAAGTAGGAAACTCATTCTTTAGAGGCACGAGGAAGAAAATGTTCTCAGTACTCCCGAAATTGGCCTTGGAGCTGCTGTTTATGCCTCCCTCATCCTTGCTTTTTGGGTATGTTCTCAGGGAGTCTCTTTAACAACATGTGTGACCCTTTTAGGAAGCTGGGCACTTCAAAGATAATGAATGGATCTCTGAACTTGGCTAAGGCAGCAGACTTCAAGCACTAAGACAATGCTTTTTCACAAACACCAGCTGCTTGTCAACAAAGGGGAAGAGGTAGAAAGTAATCCAGGTTTACCTAGTCCTTGGGAAAGGGTTATGGTCTGAGCCAGTACATCAGCTGAACTGACACTTGAAGAGAAGAAAGCTCAAAGTAAACTCAAATAGAGAAAATAAGAACAAGACTCTTGGGATACATATGACTTTGACCTGTCTCCAAATTTCCACCCCATATCCATGGGAGCTTGGCCTCTGTGGAGAACAGGGAGTCATGGTCTGTGGAACAGAGAGAGAGAAGATTAATCCCATTCACAAAAAAGTCGTGGGTAATTTTTTTTAATCAGCAAGGAGCATTTTAACTTACAAAAAAATAAGGAATAATAATTCCATAAATATTTCATAAGGTTAGCACTAGCTAGCTTTCCTCAATGGCTTGTAATGTGCTCAGAAGATGATTAAAGAACAGATCTTTCTGGAACATACTGATCATCATATGTTAAATCAGGCTGGACAGAAGTTCAATTCCTAATAATTAGGGAACATAAAAAAATGTCAGAGGCATCACGTTACTTGACTTCAGACTATACTATTAGGGCTACAGTAACCAAAACAGCATGGTACTGGTACAAAAACAAACATCTAGATCAATGGAATAGAGAGCCCAGAAATAAGCCTGCACGCCTACAACCATCTGATCTTCAACAAAGCTAACAAAAACAAGCAATGGGGAAAAGACTCCCTATTCAATAAATGGTGCTGGGATAACTGGCTAGCAATATGCAGAAGATTGAGGCTGAACCCCTTCCTTACACCATATGAAAAAATTAACTCAAGATGGATTAAAGATGTAAATGTAAAACCCCAAACTATAAAAGCCCTGGAAGACAACCTAGGCAATACCATTCTGGACATAGGAACAGGTAAATATTTCATGACAAAGACACCAAAAGCAATTGCAACAGAAGCAAAAATTGACAAATGGGACCTAATTAAACTTAAGAGCTTCTGCACAGCAAAAGAAACTATCAACAGGGTATACAGACAACCTACAGAATAGGAGAAAATATTTGCAAACTATGCATCTGACAAAGGTCTAATATCCAGCATCTGTAAGGAACTTAAACAAATTTACAAGAAAAAACCAACCCCATTAAAAAGTGGGCAAAGGACATGAATGGACACTTTTCTAAAGAAGACACACATGTGGCCAATAAGCATATGAAAAAAAGCTCAACATCACTGATCATTAGAGAAATGCAGATCAAAACCACAATGAGATACCATCTTACACCAGTCAGAATTGCTATTATTAAATAGTCAAAAAACAACAGATGCTGGCAAGGTTGCGGAGAAAAGGGAACACTTATACTCTGTTGGTAGGGGTGTAAATTAGCTCAACCATTGTGGAAAGCAGTATGGCGACTCCTCAAAGAGCTAAAAACAGAACTACCATTTGATGCAGCAATTCTATTGCTGGATATATACCCAGAGGGACATAAATCATTCTACCATAAAGACACATGAACAGGAATGTTCATTGCAGCACTATTCACCATAGCAAAGACATGGGATCAACGTAAATGCCCATCAATGACAGATCGAATAAAGAAAATGTGGTACATATACACCATGGAATACTATGCAGCCATAAAAAAGAATGAGATCATGTCTTTTGCAGGAACACGGAGGGAGTTGGAGGCCATTATCCTCAGCAAACTAACACAGGAACAGAAAACCAAATACCACATGTTCTCACTTACAAGCGGGAACTAAATGATGAGAACTCATGAACGCAAAGAGGGGAACAACAGACACTGGGTCTACTTGAGGGTGGAGGGTGGGAGAAGGGAGAGGAGCAGAAAGGGCAACTATTGGGTACTAGGCCTAACACCTGGGTGATAAAATATGCTGTACAACAAACCTCCATGACACGAGTTTACCTATGTAACAAACCTGCACATGTACCCCCAAACCTAAAATAAACTTTTTTTAAAAAAGAATATTTAAAACAAAAAAAAGAAAAATGTCATCTAATCATCATCAACTTTAATATCTATCCCTATATCTAGAGCACTAACTTGTACTACTGCTTCGTTGAATTAATTCCTTAAGGGGAAATTCCTATGGAAAATGGTTTAAAAGGTGAGAAAGGACTACAATAATAACTAACTAAATCACATTTCAGCATTGTATAGCATTAAGCAGGTGAAAACATGGAATGGATTAATTTGTCCCAGTCCATCATGAACTAAGTGATGTGCTGGGTCACATGAGGAATAGAAAGATGTTAGGGTTGGACTCCTGTCCCATAGGGATTTACAATCAGGAAGTGAAGACAACTATACATGCAATTATAAAACAGGCGAAGTGCAACTGGTCCTACGATAGAAATACAAATATAAAAAATAATCTCCTGGGCTGTAATCCCAGAGTTCCCAGACAAATGAGGTCTGGCTGCTTGTTCTCGAGTCCAATAACAAGATGCAGACAGACTGGGAAAGGAGGGAGTTTATTTTTGCAACCAGTTACAGGAAGAAGGTCAGAGTAACTCACCAGATCAACTCAAAGTTACAAGTTTTCCTTTAGCTTATATACACAATTCAAGCTCTATGTCTACTTGTGGGAGTGTTTCTTAATCTAATTTTAACTATGGGTCTGTGGGTAGGAAAGTTTCTTAAGTGGGTCTTGGTGCACGCTTTGATCCCTCAATCAGGTTTGAGGTTGAGGAAGTCCAGGTAAGGTTTTAATAGGTTTGTTTTTGCATTCGAGCTTTCTTACTCAGGCACCAGTTACCCCAGTTCGTTATCCATTGTTTTCTACTTCTGCTTTAATGTTTAACTTATACATTCCTCATTACAGCAAAGGGTTTATGGAGATCCAGCCTGCTACACCAGCACTTTGGGAGGCTGAGGTGGGAGGATCACTTGAGCCCAGGAGTTTGACACCAGCCTGGGAGCCTGGGCAATATAGTGAGACCTCATCTCTAAAAAATAAAATATAAATTAGCCAGGCGTGGTGGTGTGCACCTGTAGTCCCAGCTACTCAAGAGGCTGAGGCAGGAGGATTGCTTGACCCTGGGAGGTCAAGGCTACAGTGAGCTATGATTGCGCCACTGCTCTCCAGCCTGAGTGACGGGGCAAAAAAGTTTTTTTTCCTGTAGTCCCAGCTACTCGAGAGGCTGAGGCAGGAGGATTGCTTAAACCCAGGAGTTTGAGGCTGTAGTGCCTGTGATTGTGCCTGTGAATAGCCACTGGATTGCAGCCTGGGGCAACAGCGAGATTTCGTCTCTGAAAAACAAAAAAAATTCTTACTGAGTAGGTCAGAACTAAATTCATGAAAGAGGAAATGGGCTTTCAGGCAAGGGGATCAGTATGTTCAAGATGTGGGAAAACTGTGTGTCGTTTGCAGGAAAAATAAAAATACAATAGTCCACCCTTATCCCTTCAGGGGATACTTTCTAAAACCCCCAGTGGATGCCTGAAACTGTGGATAGTACCGAACTTTATACAGTATATATTAATAGTATATATTAATACTATGTTTTTTCCAATATTTTCCTATATATACATACCTCTGATAAAATCTGTTTTGTAAATTAGGCACGGTAAGAGATTAACAACAGCAACTAATAGTAAAATAGAACAACTATAACAATAAACCAAATTTATTATTCTTGCGCTTTGGGGCCATTATTAAGTAAAATAAGGGTTTCTTGGAACACAAGCACTGTGATACCATGACAGTCAATCTGACAGCTGAGACAGCTACTGACTGACTAATGAGTGGGTGGTGTTGACAGCGTGGATACCCACACAAAGGAAAAAATTCACATCCCAGCCTGGACAGAGCTGGATGGGGTGAGATTTCATCACGCTACTCAGGACTGTGTGGAATGTAAAACCAGAAAGTGTTTGTTTTTGGAATTTCCCATGTAATATTTTCGGACCAAAACTGACTGCATATAACTGAAACTGGAAAGCAAAACCATGGATGAGGGCGGACTCCTATACTTTACATTAATAATGGGCTTTACACCTCCCAGATAAATTTTATTTTTATTTTTACTTTTTTAAAAATAATGAGATAGGGTCTTGCTACGTTGCCAGGCTGGTCTCAAACTTCTGGGCTCAAGTGATCCTCCTGCCTCGGCCTCCCAAAGTGCTGGGATTACAGCTGTGAACCACAGCACCTAGCCTCACAGCAAGTTTTTATAGCCATTACTTCATTTTGTTTTTCCTAGCAATCTTGTGAGAGAAGCCAGTCATTTTACAGATAAAGAAATTGAGGTTCAGTGGGACTAAGTGTCTTGTGCGAGGTCACACAGACTGGAAATGGGGTGGGCAGGACATGAATTTAGGTTTTCTGAGTCCAAACCCAGGGCCTCCCCGATGCTACCGTGATACCTGTCTACATAATCCGTATGGCTGGAGTGTTGTGTCTCATTTTGCTTTGTTGGAGAGTGAGGTGTTTGCGGAGAAGAAAACAGAATCTTAAGAACTGTAGGCCAAACTAGATTACAGAGGTTTTCAATGTCAAGCCAAGGAGATTAGTTATGTCTACAAGCTACCAAGATAGAAAGAAAAACAAGAAAGTAAAAGCATTAATATATTTTGGAGAAAAGGTCACATATTGCTGGAATCATAAACCGGTGTCATGGCTTTACTATTTGCACCCGGTCTGAAATGTTTCTGAGGTGTTATCTGAGTGGTTCTGGATAAGTAGCTTAGACTTGCAACCCCAAATAGGTGGGAATCATCCTCCTTTTACTGAATTCTGGGTGGATGATAACCCCATCGTGGCCAAATGGCTGAAGTCCTACCCATATCTTAGAATAAAGTGATCTGGGAACCCGAGCCCTTTTTATTGGATTTTAATGTTTTCAATCAGTGTTTAATGTGAAAATCAGTATTTGAAAATATGCTTTGTGTTTCGTCTTGCAAATCATTAAAAAGATGCCATATGCATAGAATTACCTTGTATGGCAGGAATCCTAGGAAAACTTTAAAAGTCAATGTTAACACTTAGTAAACACTCCTGGGTAGAGTCCAGCAATCCTTCTATTAGAGAAAATGTTTTCTCTCTGGGATTTGAAATGTTTTAGATTTACATCTTCCTCTTGAGAAAAACTTTCTAACTACCAGAAAGAAGATAATGGTCCTGAATGAATACATTTACTAAACTGTAAAATCCAGAATAGATAAGATCTGGCTCTGGGTAGCTTTTCCCAGCCTCATTTCTTGCCACATCCCTCCTGAACCCTGAGCTCCAGCCATAATGAACTTGCTGTGGCTCCTCAAGCATGTCTTGCCCTCCCTAGCCCCTAGCCTTTGCACATGCCATTTTTTTCTAGAATATTCCCCCCATTTCCCACCCCTCCGTAGCTTTGCTTGGTTAACTCCTAGATATCCTGTATGTCTCAGATTAGTTTCCTTTTTGTTTGACAAACCTCCTTTGACCTTTCCTCACCTCTCTTCACTCCTGAATCCAACCCCTCCAACTTAGAATGTGGGCCTGGTTCTTACATGACTCTCCCTTATCATAGCATTTTCACAATGCATTGAAATTGCTGCATACCCCATTAGATCGTGGGCTCTGTGCTGCTAAGGACCAGTCAATTGATTCTCTCTAGTTCTTTCCTGTGTTCCAACGCCTGGCGTTGAGCAGGTAATCAGCAAACTGCTGAGTAGTTGAGTGAACCAATGTCACTACCAAAATACACAGTTTAGTATTTTCCTATGAAGGTTTAAATAACAAGAGTTTAGGAACCATTCCAAGAAACTGGCTTTTGTTGTTGCAGATCATTGAAAAGATTTTCAGGGGACTCTGGACTATGCTAGACATAGCTAGCTATGACTACTTTTATTCCACAGTTTGTAGAAGGGCATGGTTTAGCATTTGGAAAAGATTCAAGTGCAGAGATTTTGATTAACTGTGACCTATTTACAAATTGGTCCTCAGCTGTTTGTAGGTACAAACAGGTCAATGTTTGGGTATGCCCTTTTTATGTTTCTGACTCAGCCACTCAACTAGAGCAATAAAATGACCAGAGTTGCTGATTCTCAATTTTTACCCTTATACTAACATAGATCGTAAGTTAAATATCTATAAAACAGTAGCAATTTCATTTAAAAACTTAGATAAAACCCAGGAGATAAAAGATAAAGATTAACGCTGTAGCAACATATTCCTTTATTAGTCAATTTATAAAATTTAAAAATTGGAGGTTAAGTGGTCAGATTTTTTAGTGGGAGAAGCCCGAGTGACATTTAGAGTAACGATTGAAAACTGCAGGCCGGCATGATGGCTATCACCTGTAATCCCAGCACTTTGGGAGGCCAAGGTGGGCAGATCCCTTGAGCCTAGGAGTTTCACAGCAGCCTGGGCAACACGGTGAAACCCCATCTCTACCCCTCCAAAAAACACACAAAAAATAAAATTTAGCTGGGTGTGAAGGCATGTGCCTGTGATCCCAGCTACTTGGGAGGCTAAGGTGGTTGGATCCCTTCAGCCTAGTGATCTTCCCACCTCGGGAGGTTGCAGTGAGCTGAGATTGCACCACTGCACTCCAGCCTGGGTGACTAAAAACAAACAAACAAATAAAACTGCAGAAGTGCAAGTCTGTGTTGACAAGCAATATTTTTATATTGGGAAAATGGATTTAAAAGAAACAACCAGCAAAGCATAAGCCTCAGTTATACAAAGATGTTAAGAACATTTGTATGGTTTTAAGAGAAAAACATGAATTTAGATTCTATTTCCCAACATGAAGAAACTGCCGATTCCACAATGCAGAGGGAAATCTCTTGCTAAGGTGCAGATCCTTTCTAGTGAGCTGGGTGACAAGAGAAAGTATAGAGATTCTCCTCTTGTGATAAATAAATCCTTCCCTACTAATATTTTCATATTCCTAAATGATGGTATAGCCAATGAACTTGAGACTTAGAAGGGCCCTGAGATCCATCTTGACCAAATCTCTTATATAAGAGGCCCCAGGGGTTAAATATTTGCCTCAGCTCATTCCTAGATAACGGCAGAAAAGGAACTAGAATTACAGGAATTCAACTTCTTGCACTTTATTAATAACATAGCAAAAACATGATCTGTTCTCAATTGGCTGGCTACCATGGAAACAGTGCGAAGCTAAGAGATTAGGAAGGTGCTGAGGAAAGCCATTAAGCATCCACAGCTCCACTGCCTAGGCAGATGGTCAGCAGGCAGTTTAGTTGTGGGAGTATTTCCAATTTGCATGAATGAAACATGGACAAATAAGATAAGGCTGGCTCCAGGGAAGTAATTCCCCCAGTTCCCCTGAGCCTTGGATCTGGAAAACTGCAGCCCATCCTGGAATTAGGGAACATCACAAAACGTACTGGGGAGAACTCCCCATGTGGCCTCGGCCCACGCCAGGAGGCGGTCAAGGTCCCAGGTGCCGGCTCGCCCACAAGCTATGGCTAAGACAGAAAAACAAAGGAAAAAAAGTCCTCCCCAAACACACACATAAGCAAAACCCATCTTCCTGTGTTCTCTGCCAAGAGAGCTGGAGCAAAAGAGATGAGTTTGAGACTCTGATTCATCCATCAAGACAAATAAACTCAGTCTATGGAGGTTAGCAGGGCAATTTGTGAAGCAAACAAAAGTTGAGTTTTGGAAAGGGGCTCTGAAGAAAATGAAGATGACATCCCAGGAATTTAACTTCATGACAAGAAGAGAAAGTGACTCACTCTTGACGCGTGGAGTACTGAAAATGCCAACAGGCAAACACCCCCAAAAGGCAGCTCCAGAGACTATCCGGCCACGGCGTCGGCCCTCCTCCCAATCCGCAAAAACGTGCAGTCTGAGTTCCGAGCTAGCGTCCTGCTGAGCTGAAGGAGCATCTCCAGTGGAGAAGACGGCCCGATGGCACCGTTCCATTTCAGCAGCAGCAAAAGAAGCTCTGATTGGTATAATGCACTTCCTCCAGTGGCGCCAAGCTCCTGGGCTGGCCTGGGGCATCCACCCTTGCTCTTTGGTCAAAACCACTGTCTTTACCTGCATTCACTTCTCTGGTGGCCTCCTGGCCTCAACCTCAGGAAATCTCTAACACA
Organism: Homo sapiens; assembly: GCF_000001405.40. Taxonomy (NCBI): domain Eukaryota; kingdom Metazoa; phylum Chordata; class Mammalia; order Primates; family Hominidae; genus Homo; species Homo sapiens. The sequence goes on from NC_000004.12 coordinate 57,065,852, forward strand.
TCTTTGAGTCATTTACTCCATTCCCGTTATCTCTCTCTGCTCCACGGTCCTCACTCCCAGAGGACTCTCAGGGTTGTCTGGCCAGGTGTTCCTTTGCTCCCTACCCCCATCTCCAGCCCCAGCATGGACCATAGCTGTGAGTTTGTGCTCAGACTCCATACACTCTTTGTCCCTGAGTATCACTAGAGTATCTGGTTAAGGTCCCATCCACCCTTCTGGTGGCATGGGTCTTCCATCCCTTTATCAAATCCACCCCCCACTTTTTAGGTGGAGCTAATTCTGCTCCCCTTGAGTGTGGTCTGTACTTAGTGACTTACTCTGGTGACGCACTTGAATAAAATACAGTGGGAGGGACAGTGCATGCCTGCAGCTTCTTTCTTGCTTTTTGTGGGATCACTTGCTCTGGGAGAAGCCAGTGCTGTGCTGTTAGGATGCTCAAAGGGCACAAAGGAGAGGTCCATGTGATGAGGAACTGGGTCCTCCTGACAACGGCCATGTGAGTGAGTCAATCCAAAGCCAGAACAAAGTCCCTGCTGACATACTGACTGCAGCCTCAGGGGACACTCCAGGCCAGAACCACAAAACTAAGCTACTCCCAAGTTTTTGATCCACAGAAACTGTGTGAGATGGTAAATATTTATTATTATTTTAGGCTGCTAAGTTTTGGACTAATTTATTATGCAGTAGCAAACAAATAATATTTTCCTTTAGTTTTAAGTTTTTTTTTTTGGAGATGGAGTCTTGCTCTGTCGCCCAGGCTGGAGTGCATTGGTGTGATCTCGGCTTACTGCAACCTCCGCCTCTTGGGTTCAAGTGATTCTCCTGCCTTAGCCTCCCAAGTAGCTGAGATTACAGGTATGCGCCACCATGCCCAGTGAATTTTGTATTTTTAGTAGAGATGGGGTTTCACCATGTTGGTAGGGCTGGTTTCGAACTCCTGACCTCAGGTGATTCACCTGCCTCGGCCTCCTAAAGTGCTGGGATTACAGACATGAGCCACCATGCTTGGCTTTAATTGTTTTAAAAGAAGAAAAAAAAACTGAATAATACAACATCTTTGAACTTTCTCCATCATCAGCTAGAGTTCTTTCTTAATTAATAATCATAATCTCTTTTTGGAAGGTTTTTTTTTTTTTGGTGTGTTTTTAGTCATAAAGTCCTCTCTCCAAGAATTAGGGTAAAAAACCAAAAACAAAACAAAGTATCAATAACATATTCAAACAAAGTCCTCATGGATGGACAGTTATTTATTTGGGAACATTATGAGTTGACCCCAAGAAGATGTCTGCAATGATGATATATATTTTCAAGGGCTGTTCTTAACATGTTCTTTGTACCTGCCATCCTAGAATCTTTTATGTTACTTTCATCATTATACGAAAAAGAGCTGGAACTTATATCCTCCCAGGGACCCCAAAACGTAAGCCTTAACTGTGAGCCTCTATAACCTTAAACAGTGCATGGAAGACACAAGGGATTTTTTTTTGTTAGTCTTGTATTTACACTTTAAGAAATAATAAGTGAGATTAACTTGTCATATGCCATAACACAGATGTACCTGTAGGACATTATGCTAAAAGAAAGAAGCCAGTCCCAGAAGGGCAAATATGACATGATTCCATTTGTATGAGGTATCTAAAGTATTTAAACTTATAGAAGCAGACACAGAATGGTGGGTGCCGGGGGCTAGGGTAAGGGAGAAATGAGGAGTTGCTGTTCAATGGGTATAAAATTCTAGAGACCTGCTGTACAGCAATGTGCTTATAGTTAACAGCACTGTACTGCACACTTAAAACTTTGTGAAGAGGGCAGATTTCATATTATGTGTTTTCTATCACAAAACACATCAAGAAAAAACATAGTGAGTGAGATTAAAATGACCTTATTCCAAGATTCAAAGCAGTGATTGCTTTTTTGCAACACTTCAGGACTTCTCCAATAGACCACCGAGTATTGTATGGTCTCAAAAATTCCTCAAAACTAAAAAAAATAAAAAATAAAAAGTTTTACTTGTTTTTCATAAAAAACAAAAAATGTTGCTCTCTTCCCCCTGGAGAATAATTGATAGGGTAGCGAAAAATGTGGATATCATAAAATATCTAAACCAAACATAAGGAGAAGAGGTTGTGGTTACAAGAAATTTGGGAATCACTGATCTGGAAATAGGTTGAGGTTTCAAAAGAAGTGGGCTTTAGGCTGGGAGTGGTGGCTCATGCCGTAGTCACAGCACTTTGGGAGGCTGAGGTGGGCAGATCTCTTGAGTCCAGGAGTTCAAGACCAGCCTGGGCAACAGCCCTGTGTGGATGTGCATGCCTATAGTCCTAGATACTTGGGAGGCCGAGGTGGGAGAATCGCTTGAGCCTGGGAGGTGGAGGTTGCAGTGAGCCAAGATCGTGCCACTGTACTCTAGCCTGGGTGACAGAGACCCTGTCTCAAAAAAAAAAAAAAAAAGTGAGTTTAACAAAAAATATGTGAGCATTTGAAATGCTAACCTCCAGTCAAAGGACTGACATCATCAGTTTACTATCTAATTTCCCCTATAGCAAAGATGTGTAGACACAACACCCAAGGGAGGCGGGGGAAACGGCAGCCAGTGACAAGCGATGACAATAAGTAATGAGCTAATGCACAGATAAGATGGGCCTAGAAACACATCAGTAACGGCAGAGAAAAATAAAGGAGGCTGAGATACTTTCTATTCAGTAGTGCATGGTTGGAGTCAAAAATGAAGAACATACAAATGGCAGGATTTTGTCATATTATTTTCCACAGAAAAAATAAAAGAAAATATCAAAAGATGGGAACTGGCACATGAAAGGTTGAACTGTCACAGTGCATGTATATAATTATCACTGCCAAGCAGTAAACCAAGAATGGGATTAGTTGAAGGCACCGAGGGAAGTGAAAGGAAACCGGATATACAAGGAGAAAGGGACAGATTGTGTTTAAATTTAGAACATGGGCTCATGCCCTCAAAGTTGACTGATAGCTGGAGCATGCTTTCTCTTCAGTCATTCCTCCATTTGCTACTTTTTTTTTTACAATAAAAGCTAATTCTGTGAAGCTTTCCATGGCCACTTTTGGATGCAGGCCCCTTCTGAAGGACACGAGAGAAATGTGAAAGTGGTAAGGAAGCCTTTCTGGCCAAGATTGGAGAAATTCTCTGAGCCCCTCACCCAGCTCACCCATAAGCCTAGAGGGTCTTATGTGGGTGGTTGAATCACCAGTTTGAACCGCCAGGCTTGCCCCTCCCAGGCCTCCTTCTAGGGGTGTTTTTAGGAGGAAGGAGACCTCATGTACTTTCCTGGCATTGTTTCAAGACAGGATCTCACCAAGACATCTTGAGTTGTCCAGTAAAGAAACTCAACTTAGTGGGGAAGCTTGACTGCCCATTTGGGGTCTTGGGCCATCTGTGGGGCTGGAGGGAGCAGAAAAGAGAATCAAGACAGCAAATAGGCCTGGGGTGATGGCTCATGCCTATAATCCCAGTGCTTTGGGAGGCCGAGGTGAGAGGATTGTTGGGGCCAGATGTTCGAGACCAGCCTGGGCAACATAGTGAGGTCTGGTCTCTACAAAAAATAAAACAAAAAATAAAAAATTAGCCAGGTCTGGTGGCTGTCCAGCCTGTCCTTGTGCTGTCTTTTTAAGTTTTCCTTAGATGGTCTGTCCTTCTGTGGTGGCACCTGCCTGTAGTCACAGCTACTCGGGAGGTGGAGGTAGAAGCATTGCTTGACTCCAGGAGTTTGAGGCTTCAGTGAGCCATGATGTCACCACTGCACTCCAGCCTGGGTGACAGAGAAGGCCCTATCTCTAAAAAAACAAACAAACAAAAAAGACAGCAAATAAGCAGAGAGAAGGTGGGCAGGAGCCACACATTACAGAAACTTCTCATTATTGAGATTTCTATCTTTCTAGGCTGTTTATGGTCTCTCACAACAAAACAAAATGGGGTCAGGTGCGGTGGCTCCCTCCTGCAATCCCAGCACTTTGGGAGGCCGAGGCAGGTGAATCACTTGAGGTCAGCAGTTTCAGAACAGACTGGCCAACATGACAAAACCCTGTCTCTACTAAAAATATAAAACAGCTGGGCATGGTGGTGTACACCTGTAATCCCAGCTACTCGGGAGGCTGAGGCAGGAGAATTGCTTGAACCCCAGAGGCAGAGGTTGCAGTGAGCCGGAATCGTGCCATTGCACTCCAGCCTGGGTGGCAAAGTGAGATCCTGTCTCAAAAAAACAAAAGACAAAAAACACCGAAATGGAAGGTCCTCAGTGGGAACTATTCAGCACCAGCCCTCTGTAGGTCCTGGGAATCTTAAGTGAGTCTTTCCTCTTTCTTCTAGAAGTTCTCCCAGAGTACCATATTTTTCCCTCAAAATGACTGGAAAAATTCATTGTATAATGTCTTATTAAGAAAGTAATTTTCTAAAGAGGTTGGTTTAAATAAAAACAAAAACCACATAAATATTCAGCTTATGTTTGAGGGAGCTTTTTCTACTTCCTCTATCCCGTCCCTTCCCCACAACTAAACAAAAAATTTGATTGTCTTATTATGTTAACACAGATTCAGTTTATCTATGCATTTCCATTATGGCTAACAAATAAAAAAAGTACATGTCCTGCTGAAAATCACACTTAACAAATCCCTTTGGGGACAGAAAAAAGTGCAAACCATTTAAAAATATTAGTTTGTGGGAGGAAGAAGTCAGTTGCAAATCACTCCTCTGCATTATCCTCTAGTTAAATGAGTTGGATGCCCCAGGCCACATTTATAATGATGTAAGGCTCTCAATCTCTTACTGCAGGCCTGAACCATAACTGTTCTCAAATCAAACATGCAATGTACAACCAAAAGGTTCAATAAGAAGACCTTTGTTTTCTCTTCTGAAAGTCTAAGACAACACAAGCCAGCTCACAAACTGGCCGCAGGGGTAATGAGCATTGGATACAAGGGATGTTCAGTGCATTTTTCTACTTGATTAAAATCGATTAATTCTAAAACACAAATGTGTTCAAGCTTGTGGATCAGTGTTGAATGCTGTAACACACACATCTCAATGTATTAAATAATCTGTTCACATAAAATTGCTAATTAAAAAGGCCAATTCATTTGAAGATGGGTTCTCCCTGCACCTATTCATTGCACACTACTTCATATTTCTTCTGCTCTGAACACACCTGGCCCTGCAAGTTACTGAAGTCCCGAGGGTCCATGTGCATAAGGTGGTGGCAAAGCCTGTCTAGAAGAAGTGTGTGAATCTATATAAGGTACCGCATGAGCATATGTTGGTCAAAAGTGATGCCCATCAATGCAGTACTCCAGATCCTACTGAAAACACTGTTTTTGATATATTGGGGGGGAATGAAATACTTGGTGTTTACAAAGAATGTTCCTCCTGCTGCAGCCTCTGGAAAGCCACTTCTAGTCAACCATTCAATTCCATGCTGTCATTGAATATACATACATCTCAGCAAGTCAGAGAGGTCTGCATGCGTTAGGAGAGCAGGATCTGTCAGTAGGAGGCCTATTTGGGGCTTTTACATCTGATGTGTCTATTTCCTTTCTTTATCTGTGCTGACAACTAAGTTTGCACTCAGTCTGGTATCATAGCTGGTTCTTAATCACTTGGGGTTAGATTAAGCAACCCTGGATCTCTAACACTGGCCATGTTGCAACACACACAAGGAAATTGGGTCTCTCTTTCTTTTTCCCTGGGTGGTCACTGTGTGGGCAGTGTCCTCTAACAGCACACATGTGGCCATCAGGCTCTCCGCCCAGAATAAGGGACTGATCTCAGTTGATATCAGAATAGGTCTAAGGGAGCCACATCAGCCTTGCTGTGGCATATTTGGTCATGGAGGCTAGCAGGGTACTCCTAGGCAGGTTTCATATGGGCTGTCAAAGCTTTGGGTCTGCTTAGGAAGGTTTGTCTTGAACAGCTTTTTCTCTGAGGATTGGGAACCTTGGCTGGGGTAAGGGAGGTGATTATTAAAAATGTCCTAGGCTTGGTGCAGTGGCTCATGCCTGTAATCCCAGCACATTGGGAGGCTGAGATGGAAAGATTGCTTGAGGACAGAAGTTCGAGACCAGCCTGGGAAACATGGTGAGACCCCTATCTCTTTTTTTAAATTTAAATTTTAATAAAAAAAACCTTTTATTTTAGGTTTGGGGGTACATGTGAAGGTTTGTTACATAGGTAAATTTGTGTCACGGGGGTCTGTTGTACAGATTGTTTCATCACCCAGGTATTAAGCTCAGTACTCGATAGTTATCTTTCCTGCTCCTCTCCCTCCTCCCACCCTCCACTGTCAGGTAGACCCCAGTGTCTGTTATATCCTTTTTTGGGTTCATGAGTTCTCATCATTTAGCTCCCACTTATAAGTGAGAACACATGGTATTTGGTTTTCTGTTTCTACGTTAGTTTGCTAAGGATAATGGCCTCCAGCTCCATTCATGTTCCCACAAAAGACACGATCTCATTCTTTTTTATGGCTGCAGATACCCTATCTCTACAAAAATATATAAAATTAGCTGAGTGTGTTTGTGTGGGGTGCCCCTGTGGTCCCAGCTACTTAGGAGGCTGTGGCAGAAGGATTGCTTGAGCCCAGGAGGTTGATGATACAACGAGCTGTGTTCACGCCACTGCACTCCAGCCTGGGTTACAGAGGGAGACCCTGTCTCAAAAAAATTAAATAGTCAGTTGCAGTTGTGTTCTTTAAGTTCCTATCTTTCTGTCAGTGCCACCTAGATGGCCTGTCAAAACCTTGACCCAGCCACCACCAGCGTTGCTGCTGCCTAGCCACCACCAGCAGGGGTGCTGCCCGGTACCTTGTGGGCAAAAGGCTACAGCAGGAGTTGGTGACCTTCACAATGCCTAGTGACACAGGGATTTCTGCCTTGCCTGAATCAGGCAACCTTTTCAAATGGGTGGGGACCATCCATTGAGCAGCTGGCACAGCATATGAAGACCTGAGGTATAAGCTCTCCCTAGAGCTCCCCAGGGGCTACCCTTACAATGTACCCATGGTGAAGTTCCTCACGCCCTGCTACCACCCCAACATGGACACCCAGGGTAATATCTGCCTGGACATCCTGAAGGACAAGTGGTCTGCCCTGTATGATGTCAGGACCATCCTGCTCTCCATCCACAGCCTTCGAGGCAAACCCAACATTGATAGCTCGTTGAACAGGCATGCTGCCAAGCTCTGGAAACCCCCCACAGCTTTTAAGAAGCACCTGCAAGAAACCTACTTAAAGCAGGTCACCAGCCAGGAGCCCTGACCCAGGCTGCCCAGCCTGTCCTTGTGTCGTCTTTTTAAGTTTTCCTTAGATGGTCTGTCCTTTCTGTGATTTTTGTATAGCACTCTGTATCTTGAGCTGTGGTATTATTATTATTATTATTATTAGTCTTTTAAGCCTCCAGTTGAGTGCTTGTGATGTATATTAAATAAATGCATTTTGGGTTGGGCATGGTGGTGCAGTTCTGTGATCCCAGCACTTTGGGAGGCTGAGAGGGGAGGATTGCTTGAGTTCAGGAGTTCAAGACCAGCCCGGACAACATAGCAAAACCCTGTCTCCATAAAAAATGTAAAAATTAGCTGGGCATGGTGGTGTGTGCCTGTAGTTCCAGCTACTCAGGGGACTGAGGTGGGAGGATTGCTCAAGCCAGAGAAGTTGAGGTTGAAATAAGCTGAGATTCCTGCCAGTGCACTCCAGCATGGGTGACAGAGTGACCCTGACTCAAAAAAAAAAAAATTAAATAAATAAATAAATAACAACAAAATGCCCCAGAACTGCCCAAGATTACTAGTGTCTCTGGCTCATGAGGTCAGACTAGGAGGGGCCTCTTCAAACAGCCCCCTAAGCTTCCACAACTACAGTTACAGGCCAGGCTACAAGCCAACCCAGATGCCAATTCCACTGTCACCACCACCACATCCACGGCCACAGCCCATTTGTGGTGAGCCTTCTAAAGCGTGTTCTCTTTATCTGATCCTCAGGACAGTCCTGTGGAGTTGATCGGGAGTGATCATAATCTCTATCGCACAAAGGTGAGGAAAAAGGGAAGAGGAAAGATGGGAGGACCTAGCGACTTTCCCAAGGGCAGCAGCTCACCCAGCCACTGTCCTGGCACCAGCAAGCGAGCTTCCAAACTCTGCCCATCGTACTTTCCTCTTTGGAAAATGCATCTCTCTCTCTCTCTCTCTCTCTCTCTCTTTTTTCTTTTGAGACACAGTCTCGCTGTGTCACCCAGGCTGGAGTGCAGTGGAGCAATCCCAGCTCACTACAACCTCCACCTCCCAAGTTCAAGCGATTCTCCTGTCTCAGCCTCCCGAGTAGCTGGGATTACAGGTTCGTGCCACCACGCCTGGCTAATTTTGGTATTTTTAGTGGAGACGGGGTCTTGCCATGTTGGCCAGTCTTGTCTTGAACTCCTGGCCTCAAGTGATCTGCTTGCCTCTGCCTCCCAAAGTGCTGGGATTACAGGCGTGAGCCACCTCGTCCGGCCTGAAAATTTACCTCTAATCCCAAATAAAAACATTCCCCCCACCCACCATTTTCTCCTGCCTCTGAAGGTGTTAAAAAGTTAAAAAGAAGCTGCAACTGGCATCTGGCCTCTACTTCCCATTCAGGGGAGTGTGAAAGTACTATAGGCTTCACCCATTTCTCTCCTCACATGAGACACAAAAGAGTCTCCAGCCTGACTTCAGGGGCTTACGTCACTTTTGCCCAGACTCTCCCATTTCTTTCCTCTACCTCTTAAAGTTGGAGGAAGGCCCTTTTTCCATAGCATCCTCTGCCTCTGTCCTATTTATACCATTTGAAAACCAAGCTCTTTTAAACACTTTTTCAGACAGCTTGCTTCTTTTAAGTCTTTCAATTAAAAGAAAGAAAGAAAAGATACAGCACCCAACTAAAACACAGCCACAAGCACCCAAGGACTGTCATGCTTCAGGAATTTAAATTGTACTTCATTTGGCATAATCTGTGTTAAAACAATATAGCATTATCTGCTTTGAATGCACTAGGCACCCTCAGGGTGGAGTTGCATTTTGTATGAGTTATTAAATCTGGTTGGAACTCAACAAGAAACAGTGCCATGTGGGGAAATCCGTGCTGATTGGACCCTTGACTGATCACACGTCAAAGCCTCGTGCTTTGCTAAAGGGCATCTTCCTTTAAAAATAAGCAATCCTATTACTCAGAGCCTTCTCTGCACACCGTGTCTTTGAAGGAATTTGATAGTTTGCAAATTCAAAGTTGGAAATTAAAATCCCACAAATAAGACTTGAATCCATTTATTCATGCTAAAATGAGTATAGCTTTGGAAAGTCTTTCCTTATTAGGATCATTTCAGTATAATCTGTGATCTGGTGTGAGGTTGCTTAACTAACCTCCTGCCCACTAAAGGAGACATATTTTCTAAGATAAGCTCTGCCTTCAAAGGACTCAGGAGATCCCATAGAATAATATTAACTGAAGTGCATTTCTTTTAAAATAATGTTTCATTGTTTCCTTAATCTGTGTTATTTTTATTTTGCCAGGCTTAGGATATCTTCTCCTCCCCTAAAATGCATTAAAATAAATCCTGGCCCCTGCAGGAGTGATCAAAGCTCTACCATTCACAGAGGAATGTCTATTCCTCCAAGCTTGGGGAGGTTTCCTAACTAATGAACTAGAACATTGTCAGATGTCTCATTGCCAAGTAATATATTAAAGTGCTTTTCTAATGAGATTTCTGCAAGGTAACCATAAAACCATAAAAAGCACACTAAGCTTCAGTGAAGCAAAAACATTAAAAAAATAACCAAATGCCTTTTAGAGATAGAAGAGGTCAACACAACAGCTAAAAAAAGCTAAAGAGAATTTGACAAGTAGAAAAATAAAGTCCAGATAATTTTCACATTTGAAAAAAAAGGTAGACACAAGGCAGAGGAATGTGGTGGGTAGACAGGTCATCAAGGAGCTACCTGAATATCTGTGTATGACTGAAGTACCTGCCTTTCCACTCATCCTTGTCCACTTGGAACATGGATCTGTTATATATAACTATATATGGGCCCTATGAACATCTCTTTATTTTCAGAACTTTCGAGAATTCAGGAATACGATATAAAAATCTCGAATACCAAGGCTCTTGTCTCAGTCGGCCTGGGCTGCTATAACAAATACCATGGACTTGGTGGCTTAAGCATCTGAAGTGTATTGAATGGGAAGTCCAAGATCAGGGTGCGAGCATGGTAGGGTTCTGGGGAGGCCCACTTCTTGGCTTGTAGATGGCTGCCTTCTTGCTGTAGCCTCACATGGTGGAAAGAGAGATCATCTTTCTTTGTCTCTTCTTATAGCACACTAATCCCATTCACCTCTCGAAGGCCTCACCTGTGAATACCATCACACTGGGGGTTAAAGCTTCCACAGAGAAATTTTCTGGGGGACACCAATATTCAGACCATAGCTGATCTCTTTACTAGAACCAACGTACCAAGGAATTCTTGCTCAAAGCACAAACAACAGGAATGCCATGAAGCCTCTACCATGGATCACTTGGAAACAGTCCTTGGATGTCCCTCTCTTGGCTCTTGCTTGTCACTCCTCCTTCATTATTTAACCATGCAACCTCCCTGACATCAGTGAAGCCAGAAAGCTAAGAAGCCAGCCATTTTGGTCACCTTCGTGTAAGCGTATGGCTCCAGCCTGCTCTGTACAGATCCGACAGTCTTGCAGCACTGGCTCCCTTCCAAGAGGTGAAGAGTAGAACCGACAGATTAAAGGATCTTGTGGGGTCTGAAAACCAGCTTAGAAGGTGACGTGGGTGTTTAGCTTAAGGAAGAGAAGCCTGGGGTGGGGACACACCTGTGAAATATCCTCTACATTTGAAGGGAAGCCATGTCAGAGAATGAGCAGTCTTGATTTTAGTTACTTCAGAGGGAAGCACTAAGATCAAAGAATCATTACCTATTTAAGGTCAAGGTAACGAAGGTCTGTCAGCAGTAAAGGATATCCAACAATAAAGAGACTTCCTGAAAACGCAGTCATGTGTATCTGAGCAATAGTTGAAAGTTGTCAGGGATGTATCCTTCATCTTACTCATAATTTCAATCATATCCAATCAAATGATGGCTTGATTCCAAAGGAAAATTTTTTATGAATAAATATTATTTATTTTAAACGCTAACCTCACTAGTACTGAAACATGATTTACTCAAAATTAATAGTATTAAAGTATTTTTCAAAATATGTACTCTGTATGTCAGTATAGTGTGGAAACAGAAAAACAAAAAACAAAATATGGTGCTCTGCGTTTATATGAAAGAGACAAAGCAGAATAAGGCATGCATTCATGGATGTTATACATTCACTTCTATGAGACCACAGAACGCATCCAAACAGTCCTCCTTTTATAGCAGTTCTTCAAGAAAGGCATATTTATTTATTTATTGAGACAGAGTCTCACTCTGTCTGTCGCCCAGGCTGGGATGTAGTGATGTGATCTCGGCTCACTGCAACCTCCATCTCCCGGGTTCAAGCGATTCTCCTGCCTCAGCCTCCTGAGTAGCTGAGATTACAAGCACATGCCACCATACCCGGCTAATTTTTGTATTTTTAGTAGAAACGGGGTTTGACCATGTTGGCCAGGCTGGTCTCAAACTCCTGACTTCAAGTGATCTGCCTGCCTCAGCATCCCAAAGTGCTAGGGTTACAGTCGTGAGCCACCACAGCTGACCAAAAGAAGGCATATTTTAAAAGGTCAAATAATTGACAGAACATATTACTCTGGCACTCCAAGGCCAATGCAAATGCTGGAATGCAGCCTTCAGTTGAATCTTGTACTGAAGCATCATCAGTCTTCAGGAATGTAACAGGAAATGAAATGCAAAGGGAACAGAACTGCCGCGTCACTCACAGAATCTCTGCATTCACACAGGTCTGCATTCCGATCCAGGTGATGCTGGCTAAATGACTTAACGGTTTGAGCCTCAGTTTTCTCATCTACAGAATGGGGTAATAACAGCACTCAGGCCTCGTGGAGTGTTGTGATGCAGGCGCAGGGCTTCCCATGCTGTCTGGCACACAGAGCACTCAATCAATAAATCGGCACTATTACTTACAATTTCAAAACAATTATTTTAAAATGCAATAGGATTTGTTTCCTTGGTTAAGGGGGAGCTGGACCGGATGACTTTCATGGTTCCTGTCAACAACCACATTCTATTATCCTGTTTCATGTTACTCTTTTCCCCCCTCAACTCATTCCTGCCACGCACCACCCACCCCACCCAACTGTGGCCACGGTAACAAAATCAACAGCAATACCTGTTCACTGACTGCTCACTATGGGCATTCATATGTGTAAATAATTTAACCCTCACGACAGCCCTGTGAGGTTCGTACTGTCTCCTATTTTACAGAGGAGGAAACTGAGACACAGAAAGGTCGAGTAACTTGCCCAGTGCTACAAGGCTCATAAATGATAGAGCTGGGATTAAAAAGCTAGACACCTCCTAACCACTATTCCATATTACCTCATAGGTAACCTAAAATTCTGCCTCAACAAATTAATTAGCCACTGCACAAGTAAACTACTTGGTGTAGCTGATGGGAAAGCGGTAAAACTCGATTTCAAACTTGTCTAAAAAAAAAAAAGAAAAATGGTAAAAGATCCACTGTTTGCCTTCAGTCTCCTCTTAGTCTTCAATGCAGTTCTTCCAGCTCTTAATCTGAAGAGCTTCGCTCCTGCTTAATGATTTCTCTTCCTCCCCTCTCACAGAACACCCTTACCCTTGATGGGCCAGTGATATAAATATGCATTTCCCATTCACTTGTGAGTTTAGGATTTTTTTTTTTTAAAGAGCTCTACCATGTTCCTTTGATCTTTGCTTTTTATGCAGACGGGGTCCACAGAGAACCAGCTAATCCAGAGCCTACAGAGCCCGGAGCACAGTCAGGCATTTCAGAAATGCACATGGATGGTAACTAGGAGATTTCTTGAACAATAGAAAGTTCCCAACAAAGCTGTTAGGGCTCAAGAGGACCAGCTCCACCACCCACCCCTGCTGATCTGGGAGCTGCTACCTGGGCTGAGCTGGCTCCCGTCCACAGGGCCCCCAGTTCTCTGGCTCAATTCAATACCTCCTGCTGCGGTGGCTTGTTTCTTCTTGTCCTGAATGTTGTTCTTCAGAGCTGATGATTAATGCCTTCCATTTAGGGTGAGAAAAATGACCTTGCTGTCTATGCAAGTGAGGATCATTTATTCCATCTACAAAAGCAGCACACATCTACTTGGCTCAACTCAGAGTATTTCTCTTTGCTGTCTTCTTGTTAAACACGATCGTTTCTTCAAGCGAGGTTTATGTTGTCTTGTGATTTCCCTTTTTTGGTGTGTGTGTGTGTGTTTTAAAAAAACAAATTGCAGGTGATACGTGGCATTTTGCATTGCTAAAATTCACATCCCACTGTACTTCATTAGTAAAAGCCATTTATCCCCCACCTTTCAACACTGCTGGCTGAGACGCAAATAGAACCATTTCAGTTTTCCAGTTGAACAGCCATGGGAAAAAAAAAAGAGCAGAGCCTTGCTTATCTCTGTGTTACACATTAACACGGTCCTCCTTTGCAGAGGTTCTTCAAGGTAGACAGACTTTAAAAAGTCAAATAATTGACAGAATAATTACCCTGGCACTCCAAGGCCAATGCAAATGCTGGGATGTAGCCTTCAGCTAAATTCTACACTGAAGTTTCAGTCTTCAGGAAAGTAATAGAAAATGAAATGCAAAGGAAAGGGAATTTCCCAATTTCTCCACTAAGATTTTTTTTAAACCTCAAGTGAAAAAAATCTAGTAAGTCAAATTCTATATGAAATCTTCCCAGTTATCTTCTGTCCAACATCTAACAGCGCTTTTCCTATCACTCTCATGCTATTTGTCTCATTAATAATTGTTAATAATAAAAGTTACTACTGTCCTTACCATTGCCTCTATTATCATTTACTGAGTTTACTGTATGCCAGGCACAGTGCAGGCTCATCCATATATTATCTCAGGTAATCCTCACAGAAATCTAGTTAAGTGGCTATGCTTATTACCCCATTGTAGAGATGAGGAATTGGAGGCTTTGAGAGGTTAAATAACTTGCCCAGAATCACAGAGCACATGGGAAGCAGAGCCAGGATTCAGGGTAGGTTTGACTCTAGAACTTCCATCCTGACCACGATTCCCACGGTTTTCTGAGTGATGGCCTATTGACATGGCCCTTTAGCCCAACACAGGGTCTCCCACAGGGCTTGGTGGGTACCTGAATGAATGAATGACTACAAGAATGAATGAACCAATGACAAAGTGAATGAGATTTCTGAAGACTGGATTTTCAAAATAACATACTTTATCTCAGTAAGAAAAGCAAGAAATGTCTAAAACTGAGTATGGGAATACTTAGGACTTTAAAATGAGATAATTTCTCTACCTGTCTAAGATTCAAAGGAGGGAAATTGACACTGCTGCATTCTACTCACATTGCCCGAGTGCTCCAGCCTACAGGGGTTATAGCTGAAACAACGGAAGCTGATATATTCAAAAGAATATTGATTGCAGACACACGAAGGGTTTTCCTAAAGTTGGTATCAGAACCTTTCTTCCAATACTGAGTCCCCATCTTCCCATTTAGAGGAAGATTTTGAGTGAAATTTATTTTATTTTTTGAGACAGGATCTCACTTTTCACCCAGGGTGGAGTGCAGTAGCATGATCATGGCTCACTGCAGCCTCTAACTCATAGGCTCAAGTGATCCTCCCACTCCAGCCTCCTAAGTGGCTGGGACTACAGATGTGCACCACCACACCTGGCTGACATTTTCTTTTCTTACTTTTTATTTAGAACTGACCAGAGAGAATACTAGTCTTACTCACTCACCCTATGCCTACCGTGCACACCGATCCAGGAAATGTCAGGAGACAAACCAAACAGCCAATGAAAAGGAAAATGCTAAAAGACATTAGCTGGATCAGCACCACCAATGAAAGTGTGTTGGGTCACAAAAACGACCTGCAGCTTTCCTTTCCACTGCCAAGGGGATATCTCTGTTGGCTTCCGCTCATCAATCTCTCCTCCTTGGCCCTGGCCAATGTTCTCAGAATGTCTCCGGTGGGCTGAGGATGCTGACAGATGCCATCTGGTCCTTCTCACCTTTCCTTTCCTGGAAGTCAACACCCATTTCCTCTATGGAGCTTCCCCCTTTTGTCAGCAGGGGAAGTGAAGATCCCAACCTGGGTACTTAAAATGGGCCTTGAGTGATACTTTCTGGAACATTCTTAGCTTCAGGGCAGGGCCCAGGGAAAGTGCCTCTAATGATCCTAATGTTAGTTTTAAACTTGCTTGGTAATCACTTTGGAATTGCCCATTTTTTTTTCACAGAGCTTTCTGGCCCATACTCAGCTATGGGTTCTAAGTCTGAAAGCCTGTTAGGGCATTAAAAATGACAGCTGTTAAAATGCTTAAGAATTATGAAGGGAGGAAGCTAATGCTTAGATTTACCCCCCACCAGCCCCTCCCACTCACACCATAGACCACATATTTTCCCCTCAGAAAGGAAAACATTCCTGACCTCTGTTTAAATGTTTATCAGAAGTTGTCTGGACTTGTAAATTCTCTGAAGTCACACTCTTTATTAGTCACATCCTTCTTGGTGTGTGGTGTGACCCTTCTATCAGGGCAGGGGGAATGTCGGGCCTTGTGCAGAAATCATTTGGTGCGGGAAACATCAACCACCACCCAGAGATTTTCATGTAGCCCAAACACAAGCAGAAGCTGAGCAAGGACCTTGAGCTTCCCCATGGTGGCAGGGCTTCCGTTTTGAATATGTGTGAAAAAAATTCCTTAGTTCTGAGTCCGCTGGGGCCTTGATTTTAAAACAAAGCCCCAGCATGAAGTCTGGCTCCAGAGAAAGAAAAGTGGAAGTTCTAGGTCCTCAGCACAAAATAAAGGACTATTCAGAGTTCTATTCTGGCTCCAAAGTGCTGCTGCTTTGGGTTTGCAATTGAATCACCCTGCCTTCCTGGTCCTTTGACGTTGATAACTTAGCTTCTACTTGGGATTCTGTGTAAACAGTTTGCATCCAACAGACTTTGGCTTACCAGGTGAAAGGCACTGTTGTAGAACCGACTCGGGGATGCTGGTGTGTGAGAAAGAAAGGTACTACTAGAGCAACAGAAAATGCACTGATTAGCAAGTAGGGGAAGTGGGTTTTGGTACCATTTCTCCCCACATTTTACTTAGTCCTCAGTTTTTTCATCTGTAAAATGGAAAGGTTGAAGCAATGATCTAGGAGGTCCTTTGGGGTCAAGAATCCTCTTTGTCTCTACATCAGAAGTGGAGGAACAGGTGTGAGTTTCAGCCCAAGGAATATCAGTTATAATAAGAAAGACTTTCCTGAGAGAAGGCTGAGTTTACAAAGGATGCTCTGTGATTTTCCTCTTTTGACCAGTGTGGGTCCCAAATCGCGGTCTCAGAGAGCTCTTCTGGGACCTGCGTCTTTGGAGTTGCCATGTTTGAAATCTCTTAGACTAAGATGATACAGGGAAGTGGTTAGGGAAAGGTTAATGATGAACTGAAATATCACCCCAGAATCATTCTAGATCTATGAGTGTATAGTTTTAAATTTGAATCAAGTTTTTGGTAATTAGAAGAAGGAAAGAAAAGAACCTTCGAAATTTAGTTATGAGGAATATCAATGATGTAGTGGTTCAGTATTCTTTTAAAATATTTTGTTGCTATTTAAAAAATGCAAAAGTGCATGCTCACTGTAACAATTCAAATATACAAATATATAAAGAAGCAGCAAGTTGTCTACTTTTACCTCCTGATAATCCTAACCCCCCAACAACTTATATAAACTGTTTATACATATAGTTTTTATTTTTTTAATGAAAATTTCATACCTATTAACATGCAAGCTGCTTTAAATTTTTTTTAAAGTTTTATTTTAAGACACAGGGTTTGTCTATGTTGCCTAGGCTTATCTTGAACTCCTGGCCTCAAGCTTCCTGAGTAGCTGGGTCTACAGGTGTACACCACCACACCTGGCTTAAACTGCCTTTTTTTCAGTGAACAATCCATGTATTATGTATTAGCTTTATTAGTTCAATACACATAAATCAAATTCATTCTTTCCAATAGCTGCAAAATGTCCCCAAACATGGGCATAATTCTTTAAGAATATTCCAGATGTTCCAAATTCTTCTATATACAAACTATGATACAATAAATATTCTTAATACTTATGTCCCTATGCGTTAGCACTTTTGTTTCTGTAGGAGAGGTTTCCAGAAATAAGATTGCTGGGTCAAAGGGTATGAGAATGTTTAATTTTAATAAATACTCCTAGATTACTTTTGAAAAGCTTGTTAGGAATTCTGGTCTTGGCAATAGTGCAGGAAGGTCCCCATTTCCCTGCACATTTCCCAGCAGTGGGAGTGAGAAATTTTCAAAAAATTTGGCTAAGCTGAACGGGGAAACATTGTAGGTTATTGTTGTTCTAATTGCATTTCAGGACTTGTTGTGAAGTTGAGCAACTCTTCACATGTTTAATGGCCACTTGCAGTTGTTCCTTTTAATTCACTATTTATTACTTTTCTCTTTTTCCTGTTGCTTTATCGATCAACTTACATGAGCTCTTGTTTACTACAGATATTTAGTTTGCTTATCAAATATTTTGCAAATAACTTCTCCAGGCTATTACTGTCTTCCTGTTTTGTTTATGGTTTTGGTTGCCATACAGCATGCCACAAGGGCAGTGATGCTGGCTGTTTAGTACATTGCTGTGCCCTCAGCAGCAGGAATGGTGCGTGGCACATAGTATGTTCTCAATAAAAACAATTATCTCATGAATGGGTGAATGAATAAGTAATAAATTTGAAATTTTAATGCAGCTAATCTGTTAATCCTTTCTCTTATGGTTTCTGGGTTACCAGAATAGTTCTATTTTATTAGTTTTATTTTTCTTGAAATTAATCCTTTTATCCATCTTGAATAGTTTTTTATTAAGAATTTTTCTTTTCTATTTGGAGTCCTAATCCATCTTAAATTTGTTCTGCATGTGGTATGAAGCAGGGCAAACTGACCCTAAAGTTTGGCCATTACTTTGTGTGAAAAGCATTACATGAAATGCAAATTATTTTTAGAATTTATCTGAAGGTGTCCTATACAGTAAAATACAAATATACCCTACCACTCATTTTATGTGTTGTTAAAATATCTAAAGTTAACTAAAAAATAAAGACTGGATAATGCTTTTCTGACAGCTAATTTTGTTCGCATTTTTGCTTGATTATATATGATTAATTTTGTCTCAATTATCAATGAATGCAGATTATCAGGGAGTATCACAAAATTTAAGTATGTGGCTTATCATCTCTAATGAAGTCACTGAATTGTATACAATTTATTTAATAGGAGCATATGCTGGATTAACAGAATCAATTACTCAAATTTCAGTATTAAAAAAAATTCCTTTAGCCAAAAATGAAGTGCCTTTTCTAAAAATCATGAAGAAAAAACATGGACATGAAATGGTGTGCAATGAATTCAACATTATACAGACTTGAACATTTTGAGAGTAAGTCACATGTTTATGCATTATACTATTCTGATGTCGGCAGTTTAAACATTTTCCAAGATTTCTTTAAGATGCAATCATTCCACCTCCTCCATGAAGCCCTCCTAGGTGGAAGTCATGGCTACTTCCTCTGAACACGTGCAGCAATTCTTGCTTCCACCACTTATAAGGCACTGCCCAAAAATGGCTTGCAAGGAAACCTGAATTGCCTCTATTATTCAATGGCTTCTAGTTTCTGTGGTAAAATCAGGGGCTGTCAAATGATCTGATGATAATGTAATCTTTTCCCTTATAAGTCATTTAATCTTTTTACTCAGATGTTTAAAAAAGGTTTTTTTTTTTTTTTTTTTTGGGACAAGGTCTCACTGTGTTGCCCAGGCTGGATTATAGTCATGTGATCACAGCTCACTGCAACCTCAGACTCCTGGGCTCAGTTTGTCCTACCACCTCAGCCTCCCAAGTAGCTGGAACTACAGGTGTGTGACATCATGCCTGGATAATTTTTTTTAAAAATGGATACAGGGTCTCACTATGTTGCCTGGGCTGGTCTCGAACTCCTGGGATCAAGCGATCCACCCACCTTGGATTCCCAAAGTGCTGGGATTACAGATGTGAGCCACTGCACCTGGCCTAGATCCTTTTTTCTTTTTCTTTAAAGTGCAGTATTGTTTTCACTAGAATATCAATAGGTATTTGTCATTCTAGATCCATATTCTCAGGTATACTGTCTGGTCTTCCAAAATGTAGTTCTACATTTTTCTTGTATTTCAGTGAAGTTTTTTGGAGTTATAATTTTTAGTGTTGGCTTGCTTTCTTGCTTTGGTTTCCTTCTTCAGTGACTCCTGTTATCCGTATGCTAGATCTGCTCTGCATATCTTCAGTGGTTGCTGCTTTTGATCATTCCTCCTTTCTTTTTAATTTAATAATTTTCCTCCTTTTAACCTCCTAGTCTTTTAAGGGATTCTCTATTGTTCTTATTCGCTATTGTGTTTCTTTTGGTTTCATTTCTGAAATAACAACTGAGATCTTCACCACATTTTCGAGTTATTCTAATTTTGGCTTGTTACTCTTTATTTGTATTATTTAAAAAATGTCTTTTAGCTCATGTTATTCAGATAGTCAGTTGTATGTAGTTTTCACCTGTTTGCAGACGTGCTTTCATTGCAGGTAGGGATGTTATTCCCTTTCTCTCTCTCACTCTTCTCTTATATAAAATTTCTTTCTAGTATGGGGTTTGGCCTTAATCTTTCTCTGTGCTTTTTTAAAATGTAAAATTGGTTTTCCACAGCCTTACAAGGAGACATTGTCCAAAATACCTTTTTGCAACTCCTCAGAACTCCATTTTGTGTTGTTTTCATTTAGTGTTAAAAACAGTAACTTGCTTTCTGTGATTTTCTGGGTTTGTTTCCCTCCTTCACTTTTATTTGGTCTTTTGTTTCATTCATCTCTATTGTTTCTGTCCTGCTCAATTTTGATTCTATTCCTAGTAGTTTTTCTTTGGTGAAGGGCCCTGTCCTGGAAGGGAGCTGTATTAGTCCATTTTCACACTGCTGTGAAGACATACCTGAGACTGGGTAATTTATAAAGTAAAGAGGTTTAATGGACTCACAGTTTCACATGGCTTGGGAGGCCTCACAATCATGGTGGAAGGCAAAGGAGGAGCAAAGGTACATCTTACATGGTGTCAGGCAAGAGAGCATGCAGAGGGGAACTGCCCTTTATAAAACCATCAGATCTCGTGAGACTTACTCACTGTCATGAGAACAGCATGGGAAAAACCTGCCTCCATGATTCAATGACCTTCCACCAGGTCTCTCCCATGACACTTGGAGATTATGGAGTTACAATTCAATGTGAGATTTGGGTGGGAACACAGCCAAACCATATCAGGAGCCCCGGCTGGGGGTTTTGAGAGTTCACGGGACCCAGGCTACTCAAGCCCCTTCCACCCTTTGGGTCCCTTGCACTCACCCACTAATGGACTTTCCAGTGAAAACCTGTTGGCTATGTTGAGATTTACCTATTATTGGATCTGTCATCACCTCATTACTGCCCTCTGTGTCTTTCCACCTAGCTGCTGACAGCCTGCAGGCTTGGTGGCATAGGTGGCTTGTTCCAACCCACTTATATTTTGGCATTTGTGGGGATAGCTTGTCACCTTTTTGTGGTAAATGTTTTCCATGGGGCTTGGGTTTTGGTATCTAGAGGATTTACGTTTTTGTTTTCTAATTTTAAAAAATTGTAGTAAAATACACATACAAATTTTACCATCTTATTTTTTATTTTTATTTTTGATTCCGAGTTTCGCTCTTGTTGCCCAGGCTGGAGTGTAGTGGCGCGATCTCAGCTCACTGCAACCTCCGCCTCCCAAGTTCAAGCGATTCTCCTGCCTCAGCCTTCTGAGCAGCTGGGATTACAGGCACATACCACCACGCTCAGCTAATTTTTGTATTTTTAGGAGAGACTGGGTTTCACCATGTTGGCCAAGCTGGTCTCGAACTCCTGACCTCAGGTGATCCACCTGTCTCGGCCTCCCAAAGTGCTGGGACCACAGGCGTGAGCCACTGCTCCTGATCTAGTGGCTCAGTTATTATGAGGAGATTGAATACAGGAGACCGACACACTGTTGCTGCTTCAGCCCCATTTAACGGTAACCCCCTGGAAACTGGAGTCTGTGTTCTGTGCCCCACAGCACCAGGATGGCACCTGACACATAGAAAACACTCACACATTTAAGTGATAAATGAGTCATTCTTAATTCCTCTGTCTTTTGGCAGGGTGATAGGATGCTTTCTTGTACTCATTAAAGTGATTGATGGATAACATAAAAGTTGCCATTGGTACCTGGACTAATACCTTTGCAGGTCAATATGCAGCATGAGCTTCTAGATGGGAAAACACTGCCAACCCTTGAGTACCCAACTAATGAAGGGCAGGAGAGGAACAGACTATCTCAAAAGGATGCCAATTTTAAAATACTTTATATTTTGCTCTGTATAAATTTGTTGTAGCAGATTCCTTACTAACTGTTTGGTTCTGGCTAATGTTATAACACAGGAGTCCCTGGGCACTACTTGCTGATAGTGATTTGAAGGGGAGGAGTGGACCAGAGGTATATAGGAAAAAAGTAAATAACTGACACAGCTATACGCAAGGTTATATCAGTTAACTGACTGGGCATATTTGAGAGTTGTTACTACAATAGTTGGTAAAGTCAGAGGGAATACAATCTTGGATTCATAAAGGCCTAACAGTTACAAAGGCTTTCAAATCTGTGACTTCGTTTATTTCCATAACCCTAACCCTAATCCTTTAATACAGGTCCTGCTTGCTCCATTTCACAGGTGAGACAACAGAGGGACAAAGAGATTAAGCAATGTGCCAATGATCACTGTTAGTCAATGTATAGTCAGGATTCAGATGCTTGGCCAGGTGTGGTGGCTTATGCCTGTAATCCCAACATTTTGGGAGGCTGAGGCAGGAGGATTCAGACTCTTTTCTTCTAAGTTTAGTACTTTATGTTTATTTTGATACAGGGCTTTGCTTTGTCACCCAGGCTGGAGTGCAGTGGCACAATCACGGCTCACTGCAGCCTCAAATTCCTAGGTTCAAGTGATCCTCCTACCTCAGCCTCCTGAGTAGCTGGGACTACAGATATGCACTACCACACCTGGCTAATCTTTTGTTTTGTTTTGTTTTGTGGAGACAGGGTCTCACTATGTTGCCCAGACTGGTCTTGAACTCCTAGTCTCAAGTGATCTTCCTGCCTCAGCCTCCCAAAGTATCGGGATTAGAGGTGTGAGCCACCATGCCCAGGCAGTTTAGTGCTTTTTACAGCACTATTGCTGTATCTGAAAAGCATGGTGATGTAAACTGCCACAAATATAATGTTAAAATAAGGTAGGCTATAAATTGTAAGTATATAAAAATATTGAGGTTCCGACCAGTTTGGGCAAGAACAGCCCTCATTTTCTCCATATAATACCATCCAATCATTCCTACCACTCTCAGTTTCTGCTTCTACCCTTCATCCCATCTCTAGTTATCCCTCCAGAAAAAGAGGGAAGAATGAAGGTAAAAGTACCATAGTATGACATTTGAGGGCTGTTTCTGAAGCATTAGCCACTACTACTAATGATAAAAGCAACGGCCAGATTGAGACCCTATTGTGTGGCAAGCACTATGCTTAGAACCTCATATGAAGTTAATACTCTCACCAACCCTTTGGGTAAGCAATATTGTCCCCACTTTAAAGATGACAAAACTGAGGTTAAGAGGAGCAACTTGCTGGCTGGGCACGGTGGCTCACGTCTGTAATCCCAGCATTTTGGGAGGTCAAGGCAGGCGGATCATCTGGAGGTCAGGAGTTCGAGACCAGCCTGGCCAACGTGCTGAAACCCCATCTCTACCAAAAAAATACAAAAATTAGCTGGGTGTGGTGTTGGGCACCTGTAATCCTAGCTACTTGGGAGGCTGAAGCAGGAGAATCGCTCAAACCTGGGAGGCAGAGGTGGCAGCGAGTGGAGATCACACCACTGCATTCCAGCCTGAGCAACAGAGTGAGACTCTGTCTCAAAAAAATAAAAAAAAAAAAAAAGAGAGGCAACTTGTCATTTAATAATCACACATTTAGTAAGTGGGGGAGTGGGGATTTGAACCCCACCCTCTCCAAAACATTAATCTCCATAACATGTATGACTTAAATAAGCTTAAAAACACTACAATAATTAGAAATTCACCTTACTTAGATCTGAGGATGAATTGAAGTTTATACAATTTATAAAAATGAAAGTAGACTTTTTTAAAGCAGTTTTACTGCATCTATCCATATACAATTATAACTTTTTCTGTTTTTGAGTTCATTTTAAAATTATCCCTTTCCACATATTAAATTAAATCAGGCAGGAACCCTCAATTCTGGTAGCCATTATTTCTGTGAAGGAAAGAGTGAAATGTCATTTCAAAATGGACTCTATGTGGTTTGACATCTTTCAGATAGGACTTCTTTCCACTGAACTTTGGGAAAGACATATTTGCTACAAAGCTTTCCATTTTTCCCCCCAGCTATGACCTATTTTATCATCTGATTTCACACTTCAGTGAAGTCTGATGGGGTCTGTGGTCTCTAAAACACTAAGCTTCTAGTCACCCTTTGAATTCACCTTCAGCAACTGTGTCTGAAATGAAAAGCTAAAAAGAACTGCTGCCCAGCTATGGCAGACAATGTAGCCGGCTGACTCAGCCCCAGTGTCCACCACCCCCTTCTCTGTCTCTTTTGACAATAGGGTGTCCCAGTGATCATTTCTGGCCAATGAGATTAGGCAGAAATTTGCTGAGTATGGGCTTCTGGGAAACATTTGCTCACCTGATATAATGGGACATGTGGCTGGCATTGTCCTTTTCTCTATTCCTTCTAAATGTCTTTAATGATGACGATGATCTGAGGTGCAGAAGCCTTCTTGCAATTATTAAGCATGTATACAAAAGCCAACATGCAAAGGATGATAGAGCAGAAAGAGTGAAAGGACCCTGGTCCTTGACAGCACTGCTGAGTGGTTAAAGCCACACCAGAAACCATCTACACCTAAACTCCCTGTTCTACAAGCAAATAAACCCCATTTTGGCCAAGCCACTAGAGCCAAGTTTTCTATTACTTGCAGCTGAACACATTCTTTACCAATAGACCAGCTATTGTCCTTCTTGGTCATCATTCTTCTCTTCCTCTTCCCCAAATCCCACCATCTCCTTATATGTTGAGGGATTGATTCAGAAAACTGCCGTCAACTGTTCCTTCACTCTTTGTTTGCGTAAGAATTTCCTGAGTCTTGCTACCATGAGAAACGTAGTATTTCCTGCTTTCTTGTCAGTGTCTGAAGTTAGGCTTTCTAGTTCTTATGATATACCCTATTGTTTTTAAGGACTTAGTGGGTCACAGTCACATCTTATTCTGTAGTGTTGAAACACACACACAAACAACAATAAAGTCTCCCCAGAGCACTCAATTTTATTCAAACTGACTGAACAGTTAATTTGTTCCTCACAAAGTTCTTAATGCTCTTCAGTGATAGAGGTTTTATTTTTAGAAAACATGTGAGAAGGCAGGGCATGGTGGCTCACACTTGTAATCCTAGCACTTTGGGAGGCTGAGGCGGGCAGATCACTTGAAGTCAGGAGTTAGAGACCAGCCTGGCCTATGTGGTGAAACCCCGTCTCTACTAAAAATACCCATACACACACAAAAATAGCCAGGTGTGGTGGTGCACGCCTGTAATCCTAGCTACTTGGGAGGCTGAGGTGGGACAATTGCTTGAACCCGGGAGGCAGAGGTTGGCAGTGAGCTGAGATTGCACCATTGCACACTCCAGCCTAGGTGACACAGCAAGACTCCATCTCAAAAAAACAAAACAAAACATGTGAGAGCAACAGTTTATTTGATCACCTTTTCTAGTTTAGTTAACATTTTTCACAGAAAATGAAATTATACATTGGTTATTTTATTCAGCAGAGCTCAGAGATCCAGGCCATGTGTATTCTTTGGGAGTTGGATCACCTGTAATTAACCACGCATATAGGAACCTGGGGGATAATTTTATCATGCTATGTTAGACAACTGCCACTGCCAACACCTGGAATTTAAGTTGCTTTAATTTACCAAAACAAAGCCTTAGAGTCTCTGGATGTGTTTCTTCAAAAACACACACACGGTTGAACAAAACAGGCAAAAGCATATGCACTTCCACATACTGGTAATGACCAGAGTAACTGGAGACTGTGGAAATGCAGAGTATTAACTATGCAGGGAATTTAATGTAGGAGATACAAGATTAGGAATGGAAGAACCATGAATGAATGAATGAGTGAGTGAAGCATATTTATGTTTAACTGCTTCTGACACTCAATTTTAGCTTCCTTTGGATTGAAATGTGGGTACATGTGTGTGTGTCCGTGTACACACCAACTCACCTGGATTCCTCATTCCAGCTTCATTCAATTCCCATTAGCAGTGGCTCTGCTTGGACACTCAAACACACTGAATCTTGGTTGCCTAATTTATTAATACAATGTGAGGATAATACTTTACCACAGGGTTATTGTGAGGATTAAAAAAGGTGATATGCATATGAACATATGTGAAAATTCTTAGAAAATGCACTGTGCTGTTACTGTTCCTATCTCCCAGTCGAATACGGGAATAATTCTGCCTGAAAATCACATGCAGCTTTTCCATTTTATACATGTATTCTCAGCACTGTTTACTGTATTAACAGGAATACCTGCCTTACAAAGGACAATTGTTGCTGAATGTGCTGGAGATTAAAGGGCTTGAGAAAAAGAGAAACAAGGCTTTGCCAGCCCTCTTAAGGACCCAAGGAGAGCTCCAAGGGCACGTGTGGTAAAAATGTTGTAAGTAAATTCTTTTCTAGTTTTAATAAGTGGAGCAGGAAACAGGCTGTCCCTCACAGGAGGAGAATAACAGCACATATCAGAAACTGAAGTGAAACAAGCGGTCAAATCATGGTCTCAGTATTATGCAGGGAAGTTGCATTTAAAGAGCTGCTGAGATTCAACCTGGAGGTATGCCATTGACTGTAGTCAAATAGAATAGTAGAGACCTTTTCTTTTCTTCTGTGAAAAAAAATCTTAAAGACAAAACCTCCAAATTTCACAAAGTTTTTCCCGTTTACATCTCAGATGGGTGGCTGCCCTTACAACAAACATTTTCAAGCTGCTCTAGTAAGAATGCGGATGCTTTTTATGAACCTCAATTCAATTATGTACAAAGGAATATTCTTTCCTTCTCCCTGTTATTTTGAAATATTTGATTGATCAAATTGAACTTAAAAAAAGAAAACTATTATAGTACACATATCCTTTCTGTTCTTGCTGGAATAACTCTTCATGATCTGAGATAGAAACCATGATTCCTGGTAATATTAGATGCAAACTAGGTAACAGGCAGGGTCCCTGGTTTTATGGCTAGTAACTGCAAATTTTATAAATAGAAACTAGGATGCAGGTACAACTCTCAATGGTCTCTATGCCATTGAAGATGAGCAGTCACAATACAAATCTAATGATAATTAACAAGTAATTTCTATTGTATTATTGAAATGTTTTGCTTTTGGGCTTTTGTTTTTAGGAGATAATGTGTCTGAATTGTTTAGAAGAGGCTGTTAAGCTGGAATCACTAATGTCAATACATAAAAATTTATATATATATATATAAATCTTCATATCATTTTATTGGTAATTCCAATTTGGGATCTATTATAAAGAAATAACTCAGAAGAAAGATCTTTGTGTCTAAAGATGTGAATTAAAAGGTTATTTATGACAGAAAAACGAGTAAATTATGGTTCATTCAAATTATTACAAATATAGATTTATAAATAAAATTTATAAAATATTTAAGTACATGGAAAATATTAGTTATAAATTTAAAATTTGCAAATATATGGACTCCACATTTGCAAATTCACCTACTTGCTAAATGAAAAACAAGATATAAATACATATGGTTAGTATGATCAAAATAATGTCATATGAGCCTAGAAAAAAACTAGAATGGAATACAAAATATTAACAATGACTGTCTTTGATTTCAATGAATTCTACAAATTTCCACTGTTAGTGTTTAATAACAAAAAAGATCTTTAGTGAAAATAAAATGAAATTAGCTTACATTCCCAGGACACACTGAAGCTGCACAGCAGCTAAAGTTTAATTAACAAGGATATGTAAGTTTAGAATTTAAAATCCAGGCTGGGCGCAGTGGCTCACGCCTATAATCCCAGCACTTTGGGAGACCGAGGCGGGCGGATCACTTGAGGTCAGGAGTTTGAAATCAGCCTGGCCAACATGGTGAAACCCTATCTCTAGTAAAAATACAAAATTAGCTGGGTGTGGTGGTAGGCACCTGTAGTCCCAGTTACTCAGGAGGCTGAGGCGGGAGAATCGCTTGAACCTGGGAGGTAGAGGTTGCAGTGAGCGGAGATCACACCTCTGCACTCCAGCCTGGGCAACAGAGCAAGACTCTGTCTCAAAAAAAAAAAAAAAGAATTTAAAATCCACTGTGGTTTGTCCAAAAAGTGAAACTTCTGACAATTGTTAGAGACTAACTGCCAAACAGTATTCTCATCAATAGGTCATTGCACCTATTAAATTTTTTTTTTACACATTTGCCAGGGAGCTAGGTAGAGTGAAGTGAATTTACTGCATATTTTTTCCTTAGCATTTACTAAGGTATTTAAATACAATCTTTAAGATTCTTTTGGATCAATATTCTCTCCTTAGCTCAAGTCTAAGCAAACATAAGATTCACTCATCTGCACTCTGGAATGTCACTTTGGGCAAAGTAATAACTAATTCATTTATGTACTACCACACCTCTAGCCATAGTTACATTATGTATAAGCTCATAGAGTCTGCAAATTATAATGTATTCACAGGCCACAGATGTAAATGTACCTTTGTTCATTTTTTCCCCTTCCAGTAGAAATTGCCCAGAAAATATGCTTCCAATAATTAAAAATGAAGGGTTGAGGGGTGTGTGTGTGCATTCTTTGTTCCTGTGCATTTTATTGGCTTGGCTTACACAGGGACTCTCTTATATTGAGTCTAACTCCCTCTTCTTTCTTCCACCAGGATGGACTGCAGGTTTCTAAGCTCCTTAGAGCAGGGGCAGTCTTTCTCCTGGGGCAAATTTCCATCTGGCACCCAGCACATCATTTACAAAAAGCAGGCACTGGATGTGAGTGATGGAATTATTATAATTTTCCACTTTCAGTGATAGTGAGGATCCAAGTAACCTTGTGTCCTGAGCTAAAAGATGGGTGCACTCCACAGAGCCAGGGACAGAGCCTACTTGCCAAGTGGAAACTGGGAGAGAGATGACAGGCGTGGTTGTGGGGAGGGTGTGGACAGGACAGTGCCTTTGAGGGTGGCTCCATGTGAAGTAAGGGCCACGTGGGATGCTCTGTAGCTGGTGGGAAGGCTGTGCAGAGAAATGGGAGGAGAAGCCTCCCACAAAACCTTCCTGCCACTCCTATGAAAACTTAATGAACTCTACACTTCTCACTAACATCTTGTAGGAGGGTGCAGGGCAAAAACAGGCTCATCATGGGATAGTCAAAACAAGGCTAGTTTACGTGTTTGTTAAACTGCATCAAGAGTCATCCAAGAATTATTTCCTAAATACTGCTCTGTGCCCTGAATGACGTTTTATGCTTTGAGGCATATAAAGGAAGCGTCACCCACACTTGGGTTCTGCCCTCGGAATCCTTGGTAGTTCTCTAATGCTTGTTGCTGAACCCTTGACCATTTCCAAACACTGTCAATCCTCACTATTTGTGGATGCCATATTTGCAAATTCACCTACTTGCTAAAGTGTAATTGCCTCCCCCAAATCAAATCATTTGCAGACATGCACAGAGCAGCAAACATTTGAGTCACGGGGTCCCCACTGAGGTGGAACAAGGCACCACTCTGGCTTCTAGTTTCAGCTGTCACACTATCAAACAAGCACCCCTCCTACAGTCTGTGTGGTGCCACTTCTTTTTGTATTTTTGTGCTTTCTGATGGTGACTCAGCTGTCTAAAATGGCCCCAAACTTTGTGCTGAAGTGCTGTCTAGTCATTCCTTATGAGCAAGCAGGCTGTGATATGCCTTATGGAAAATACGGGTGTTAGACAAGCTTCATTCTGGCTTGAGCTGCAGTGCTTGCTGTTGGCCATGAGTTCAATGTTAATGAATCGTAATTTATATTAAATAACGTGCCTTTAAACAGAATCACACATAAAACAAAATGACATATTGATCAGTTGATAAAAATGTGATTGGAGGCTTGCAGGAACCTAACTGAATTGCTCCCAGAAGCAGTGGTTCAGTATTTGCTAATTCAGTGCTTGTGGTGACTTACTAGAACAAAACTTCAGTGAATAATGAGAATGTATTGTACTTATGCCTTCCTCTGCTACTGTTTAACTGAAGGGCAAGGTAGACTAAGATTAACCTTTATTAAAGGCCAATTGTGGGCCAAACACTGTGCTAAGAACTTAAAATACATTAAGTCATGTAACTCTCACAACCGCCTTGTGAGGTCGGTAGTATCTTCACTTTACAGATGAGAAAACTGATGCTCAGAGAGGTTAAGTAGATTTCTCAAGGCTGCACAATCCCCATACCCATTGCCTGGGAAATGATTAGAGGGGAGATGATAAAATGGAACGGAACACTGCTGTCAGTCTCAGAGATTTTGTGACAATAGAGAGTAACTATAAGGGATAATTTGAGAAGATGCCCATCGGAAAGGCCTCAGCCAAGTGACAAGAGATACTCCCCTAAGCTGGGGGACCAATAAGCTGAGCAGAGCCGCCTCTCCCTATCAGAGATTCCAGATAGATGACAGAGGTGGGCTTCCATCAGTGTGAAGGTTCCCCTTTCCAACAGGGCACATAATAAATCCACTCTTAATTATGCATTCATTTTGCAACAAGAATCTATTAAGTGCCTACCGTATCCCAAGGACGGTTTAGACATTGGAGATTCAGTAGTGAACAAATAGATAAAAAGCACTGGGCTAATGGAGCGTATGTTCTAGTGAAATAATAGAAAGATTGGATCATGTGGCTTTAGGTGAATACTTTTCTGAGTGTTTTGGGATACATTTTTAAAATACCAACAAAACTGACATATTTCCGTTCTGTCTGATTCAAATAAGAGCTCTGAAATAGCCAAAAAGATAAGAAGTAGCCAAACCATTTATGCTGCCTGCACTACATTGGGTGATCATGTTTTCTAGGGCTTACACTTCCCATGGCACACTAGATCTTCTCAAAGTCCCCCGTTGCAAAACACTAGATGCTGGATAAACTGAGCAAAAACTGGCCTATTATTATTATGATTATCCCAAAGGAATGAAGCATCCCAAAAAGTGACTTGAAGTCTTTTTAGAACAATAGTTCTGAACTGGGGCTGGACATTAAGTCATCTGGAAAGTTTTAAAAAGTCCTGCTGCCCAGGTCACATCCAAACCAATTAAATGAGAATCTTGGAGTGGAACTCAGGCATCAGCATTCTGTAAAGCTCCCCAGGTGATTCTGATGTACAGCCAAGGTGAAGAACCACTGCTTTAGAAGGTGATAGAGTGCATAGTATATGGTGAGTCAGTAGTCCCAATGTTCTGCCAATTTCACTCAAGATTGCTGGCGATGGTGGATCTGAAAAGTTATCCAGCTTCTTAAACCTCTTCTTCATACCTTCATTTCTTTACTCGTCAACACACCCTGGAAGGTGGACATTATCACCTCTCAGACAGATGCAATGAATCAACCTAAGTGGGCACTTTCTGAGTCGAAATACATCTGTTTATAGTTGAATGTTTTGATTTTTAAATGATTTTTAAAAAATGAGTTCCTGCTAAGCTAAGGCTACATGTATAAGCCAAAGAAGAGACACATGAATTACAGCAATAACTTTATTATTTCCGCCAATAAGACTCTAAAAGCCAAAGATAATACTCAATATGTACATAATGGGCATTAATTGTGCTCTTTTTCTGCCAAACTCTGTGATTTTGGTTCATATTCTCTTTGGGGCCAGTACTTCAATTTTTTCCCCCATGAACCATCCAACAAAAATTATTGAATATTTCCTATGTATAAAATACTGGTAGAATATCCAGGGAGGAGAGAGTCCAGTGATTACTAAATGTGAGTGACCTCTGAATTCAAAATGATTCTATATCTAAAAGGTGCTATTAAAAATAATGTGAGTGACAATGAGCTTGAAGATGGAAATATTTTATGCTGCAAAGCAAAGCATGTCCTCTGGCCAGCATCCTGGGTGGTTCCCATTAGACTGTCTGCATTTGGACTCTGGGATCTTCCAAGAGATGGGCAGAACTCCCTGTTCTAGAATCTCTGCAGAGCAAGATGGAAGTTTCCACGAATTTTCTTTTTAAGAAAACTACCCTGTTATTTTGTTTACGCAGGTCTGAACATAGGTTTCAGATCTAACCTGGGAACACATGAGGCAGTATTGTGTTTGGACTGGTCAAAGTAGGACATCAGCAAGGCACTAATATATTAATTCATACTCAGTTCTATAATGCTAATAACAATAAACATGGAAACGAAACAGCATTTAGTGAAATCCTACTACATACCAGGTACCAATGTTTTTCATGTATTGCCTCACTTAACTTCACAAAACTCTAAGTATAATAACATCGTTATTATACCTGTCTTGCAGGTAAAAAAAAATCATGAATGAAGGAGGTTAGGGTCACACAAATAGTTAAGTGGCAGAGTGGGGATTTGACCCAGGTGGTCTGACTCCAAAGTTCATCTCCTTAACCACTCTGCTTTATTTCCCCTCGTACACCAGCCAATCTTGGCTTCTGGGTGACCCGGCACTAAGAGTTGAAAGTAACTGGTAGGGACAGCCCTGGGTGAGCACTGGAGACCTGTCAAACCCACAGTCACAACCATGGGGTTACAGCTCTCTCTCCTACCCCTTGGGCTTGTCCTAAAAAGGGAGATAGGCTTGGGGCTGATATATGGTGTGGATTATGATCCTAAGACATGTGAAAAACTTCATCCCAATGGAGTGTCAAGAACAAAAGGGCTGACCATCTCTCCTGGATGACATGGACTGAGCTGGCTGCCTTTCAGAGGTGGCATACCAAGTTTTTGCTTATTCGCTCTCTCTTGGGAGAACGTCAGGTGGCTCATAAATCTGGGGACGGAGTTAGGAGGAGTGGACCGAGCAGGACTCACCATTTATAAAGTTACTGGCCAAGCTCTGTAACTAAGAAAGGGTTGGTGGGTGAAGAAAAGAAAATCTCACTTCTTTGAGTTCAGTCAGACAAGAGAAAGGGGCAGCATGCAGTAACAGGCCAGGCTGAATGGGTGAGAAGAAAGAGGCCTCAGATGAGAGGACATGGAGAGGTGGGAAAGGGGCACGAGCTGCTCACTTTGCCACACTGCAACTGGGTCCAGAACAGGCCTGCCCTGCCCTGCCAGTTATTTTCTAGTGAACCAAAGGCCCAGCAGTGCAGAAAGAGTCAAGTCAGATCAACTTTTCCGTCCTGCTCTGAGGCTCTGATCTGAGACACAACAGAGCAGAGAGGGGCCTCTGGCTCCGAAGCCCTGGCCTGTCAAATATCTGGCAGCGTCTTGATCTCTGCCCCAGCCTGCCCTTTCCCACTGAGCTGAGCATTTCTACTAAGCAGCCACACTGCATGGGACTCTCATCTCCCCTTCTCTCACTCAGAGAGCACTGCTGCACAAGCATTTCATTCTCCATCAAACGCTCTATGGCTTCCTGAGGGGGGTCCTTTGGAAGCCAGGGGTGCAGTGTAATTGCTGCATCTGCTATTGAAATTCACTTTTGGAGTTCTGTTCCTGGAGCAGAAAGTTCTGAAAGCTCCCATGGAGAAGGAACAGGCTCTGAATCCTGCAGGCTTGGGCTACCCTAAAAAATTCTTGAAGCCTCATTTCTGTGTGGTCTCTTTCAAAACCTTCTGAATGTTCCAGGAGATCTATTTCTTGATAAATTTTTCTTTCTTGCTTGGGGTCAGGCCAGAAGAGAGCAGAACAGATGTCAGATCTAAAGCTTTCCCAATTCAACCACTTGAACACTTGCACACTAATCTGTGGTGATGTAAATGAAAATGCCTTTGAGCATTTCTCACTCAGAGAAAAAGACAAACCTCTGTAGAAGCTGGAGACTTCCCTTCAAGAAAAACAACATGAAAGAACAGGATGATTGGAGTCAGCTGCCTTTCTGCCTGTAAGAATATGAAAGCCCTCTTTTTTCTTCTCCCTCAAAAAGTCTAAAT
This sequence comes from Homo sapiens, assembly GCF_000001405.40. NCBI lineage: Eukaryota > Metazoa > Chordata > Mammalia > Primates > Hominidae > Homo > Homo sapiens. The sequence continues at coordinate 57,099,300 of NC_000004.12, forward strand.
GGATTATGCTTAATTGAGTTCTCAAACCCCTGCATGAATTTTCCTTCTGCAAGTTGTCACTTAGCTGACAAAAACATGCTTCAATTTAAAAAAATGCAAATTCCTTAGACCATAGCTTAGATATGGACTAAATATTATTACTCAAACTGGGAAAATTGATGATGGGACAGTGCTGGAGTCAGGGGTTAAGGTCAACATTCAGGGTTAAACCTCAGGTGAAAGCAAATACTTGAGCATGTTGACAGTTACCTTAGTGATTCTTTTCCTCTAGCCTACTCAGAGTTACTAGAAAGACCTGGAAAATGATCAAACAGCACACGCAAACATTATGCTCCAAGAGGTCTTTCTTGGACTAATATTCATGCCAGCAGCCCTAGCACACTCGCTGATCCTTCAAGAACCTCTGGATTGCAACTGAAAGGTTGGGCTCTAAGGTTTTCCTATTTTTTGAGACAGGGTCTCCTTCTGTCATCCAGGCTGGAGTGCAGTGGCACAATCATAGCTGACTGCAGCCTTGACCTCCTGGGCTGAAAGTGATCCTCACACCTCAGCCTCCCAAGTAGCTAGGACTACAGGCACACAACCAAGCCAAGCTAATTTTGTAATTCTTTTTTTGGTAGAGATAGGGTCTCACACTATGTTGCCAGGGTTGGTCTTGAACTCCCGGTCTCAAGGGATCCTCTGCATCAGCCTCCCAAAGCACTGAGATTATAGGCATGAGCCACTGTGCCCTGCCAGGCTCTACGTTTCTTATTTCTTTTTCTTTTCTTTCTTTTTTTTTTTTTTTTTGAGACAGCGTCTCACCTTGTCATCTAGGCTGGAGTGCAGTGGCTCCATCATAGCCTCCTGCAGCCTTGATGACTGTGCTAGAGCGACCCTCTCACTTTAGCCTCCTGAGTAGCTGGGACTACAGGTGCTTCCCACTGTGCCTGGCCAATTAACAATTTCATTTTTATTTTTAGTAGAGATGAGATCTCACTATGTTGCCCAGGCTGGTCCTGAACTCCTGAGCTCAAGAGATCCTCCCACCTTGGCCTCCCAAAGTACTGGGATTACAAACAAGAGCCACTGTGCCTGACCAGGCTCTAAGATTGCTAATCTGGCTATAGAAGGACTAATGTTAGCCACCTCAGAGACATTCATTCATTTTAAGAAACATCATCTTTCACTGAATATAATATGACATTTTTTAGAAGGCACAGCATATATGTACCATAAAGAGCCATCTCAACTCTGACATAAACTTTGTTATCATACAGCATGTTTATTTTATGCGAATGAAAGAGCTCTTTTAGATGTATTTAGACACAAATATATCATATAACCCCCTTGCTCATTCAACAGAAACAAAATATAGGCAAAATAAATTCAGGAAAGTCTTCCTAAAACTTTTTCACACCCAAGGGTTTGACTCTTCTGAATCTCTTTTGTTAGAAACTTCTTATTTTGAAATAATTCCGAGTTTATAAAAAAGAAAGATAGCACAGAGAGTCAATGTTGCTGGTCTACATACCACACTTTGAATAGCAAGCCTGTAGCAGAATATCTAAAGTAAGTACCAGAATTGCTATTTACCACCTGTGTGATGTCTGACCTGCAGTGTCTTTATTTGGAATTTGGGATAACAATTCCCCTTACCTTCCAGGGTTGTTATGAGTAGCATATGAGGAAAATCCACAGAAGTCCTTAGCAAACTGTCAAGTACTTCACAAATACCCGTTGCAGATGCATTCCTTGCCCTCAAGGCATTTACAGTCTAGTTAATAATTCTTTACAGTTATTTGGTGCAGCATAGTCCGCATAGTTTACACAGTGCTTTCATATCTGTTATGTAATTTGACCTTCTCAATAATCCTGTGAAGGTATGAAATTGTACCTTCATTTATTATATACATTCTCCTGAAGTTTTGAGGGGGTTGTTTTTTCACAGTGGCCAAGCCTGCTTTGAACCTGTCGGGTTGGCCTTGGCCTTGTCAGTGCTCTTTACTGTGGGAACTTCATATCATATGAATGGGGCTTTGTCAACACAGGGTTCCTAGGTCTGTTTCACCTGAAATGAACCTTTCTTATTTTTCAGACACAAAACTTCTCTGCAACTCTGGCCTGCTTTTGGGACCAGAGGCCCCTCCCTGGATTCCCGGGACTGCTCCTCTCCCTGGTAACCCTCTCCTGGTAGGGACATTGATGGGGGTGAGGCTTACTGTTAGCTCCAGCTGTTTCTAATTAACTTTGACTGCTCTCCTCTGTAAAACAGTAAAGGCAATTCAACACATTAGCTTTTTCAAAAGGGCCATATCATTTTGCCATTAATCCAACTTGGGATAAAACAGAGGTCAACTATTTAACACAATCAATTTTAAGTAAAAAAAATAAATAAGTAAACGTTTCCCCCCCTCCCCCCATTATCATCCTGGCTTTTTTCTTCTGATCTCATTTTCTCTCAGAGGCCTGGTGGAGGAGACGGTCTTGATTGACCTGGAAAAGCCATATATGACAGGCTGGGGGAAGCTTCCCTTGAACATTTCTAGTCCTCCACTGCTATCCCCACATAAGAGTAAAAGACTCACTGGGAAATCTTTGAAATTACCTTAAATAAGTGGGCTTATTAATTCACATATACCTAAGTCTCCTTCCATTTCAAAGCTTTCTAATTGTGCCACTCCTAAATTTCAAATAAAGGTTACACTCATATTCCCTGGCTTAAAAATTTTTTTGACGATAATTCAGGGTTCCCCAGCTGCTAAAAACAAGATGTTATTTGTCTAACAATGAAAAACACAGATGAGGTCAGATTGTTTGTGGGGTAGGGGTGGCTTGAGGTAAAGGAAGCATCATAATCTCATCCACTGTAGGGAGGAATTTTGAATCAGTGAAGGCTAGCTGGCCTTGGACTCCATCCAAGGGTGTTCTGTCACTGAACTATCCAAGAGAGCCTTATAAGGCGGTTTCTTCTAGAAGGCCAGTCTACAGTGGACCCCGAGGGCAGGCTCTAGGGACAGGATGGAAATCGTATTTCAGGATGTTAACAAATGCCTGCTCAGCTTAATCATTCCATCTCAAAGCTGTATAGTTTAAGAGATTTAAAAATTATAAAATCCTCCCCCAGATGTGGCCCCTCCCCCTCAAGTTATTTCTCAGCTCTCCTAAAGAGAGTCTCCTGACTTCTGCCTGAACACGGTATCCTATTCAATAGTTTTTACTGGAAAGTTCTTCCTGCTGTGTCATCTAAATGTGCCTTGTGGCTATTTAATTCCAGGCCTTTTAATGCTGTCCTCCTGAAGAACTGTATTAAGAGAATAATTTTTCAGGCATCTTCCATTTAATAACTAATTCCCAAACGATGAAGAAACATTAACTTGTTCTTTAGATTACTTTCCTCTGAAAGAATCCTAAGTCCTCTAAGGCCCCACTTTGTCCTTCAGTTTTTCAAATCTTTCCTAAAATGCAGTGATTGAAACTGGACAAAATGATTATAAAGAACCAGTGATTCATTCAATATTCTAGAAATTTCTGTGCTCAAGAAGGGCAGCTGAGGCCAGAAAAATTTTAAAGCATTTCTACTGGACTGGAGCAGACTCTTAGGGAAGGTGACTTTTTCTGTTTCTGATCTGAAAGCAGAGAGAAGGAGTAATAGGGACTTTAGGGGGAAGAGACTCCTGAAAGGAGCAAGTGGTGGTAATTTGGAGGCAGGACTGGCTAATAAGGCAAGCGAGGTGAAGGCACTTTATGAGCAGTCACCGAATAAGAAAAAGCTCCACAAGGGCTTTTCACTCCCAAGTAGCAAGCAGCTTGCCATGGCAGGCTGGGAACCCAGATTTGACAATGCTTCTAAGATCAGAGAGGGAAGTCTTGGGAAGGAGTGTAGGCATCTGTTGTTGTGATTACAGTAACAGCTTCCTTATGGGAGTCTCTGACTGCAGTCTCACCCCCTTCCAATCCATTCTCCCAACAGCAGCCAACAAAGCTTTTCTAAAAGCACAAATCCAGCTCCATCACTCAGCGCTCCCATTGCTCTGTGACAGCGTCTCAGCTCCTTAAGGGGTCACAGGCCCTCCCCTATCACTGGGCTCTGTCACGCAGCCAGCTGCCTCCTTCTCCCTAGGCAGTCCCACCAAACCTCATGCGAGTCCTTCTGCTGGCTATGCTCTGGTTATCTCCTTTCTCTTAAAAAATTGTTTTAACTGATAACTGAAAATTGTATATATATGGTATACAACATGATGTTCTGATGCATGTAGACATTTTGGAATGGCTAAATCAGGCTATTTAACATATGCATTACCTCATACACTTTTTTGTGTGTGTGGTAACAACATTTAAAGTCTATGATCTTAGAACTTTTCTTTTTTTTTTTTCTTTTCTTTTTTTTTTTTTTTTGAGGCAGGGTCTTGCCCTGTTACCCAGGCTGGAGTGCAGTGGTATGATCATGGCTCACTGCAGATTTGACCTCCTGGGCTCAAGTAATCCTCCCGCCTCAGCCTACCAAGTAGCTGGGACTACAGGTGTGTGCCACCACACCCAGCTAATTTTTTTATTTTTTTTATAGAGACGAGGTCTCACTATGTTGCCCAGGCTGGCAATTTTCAGGTATATAATATATTGTTATTAATTATAGTCATCATGAGGGACAATAGATCTCTTGAGCTTATGTCTCCTCTCTAACCAAACTTGTGTGTCCTTTGACCAACATCTTGCCAATCCTGTCCCCTCCTCCCAACCCCATCTCTGGTAACTGCTGTTCTATTTTCTGCTTCTATGAGTTTGACTTTTTTTAGATTCCACATATAAGTGAGATCACATAGCATTTGTCATTCTGTGCTTGGCTTTTTTTTCACTTAATATAATGCCTTCCAGGTCCCCTCATGTTGTGGCAATGACAAAGTTTCCTTCTTTTTAAAGGCTGAATAGTATTCTATTGTATATATACAGTGTTTTCTTCTCATCTCCCTTCTAACTCTACCACAACCTCTATGCTAGCTCTTCTCCACCCAATTCCTTCTTATCCCTGTCTCAGTCAGGACATCATTCTTCCACTAAGTGATTCTTGGCTTTTCCTCCACAAACCTGGGTCCCCTCCTCTGGCTCTCTGACAGTCCTCATGGTACTACTGTGTTAGTTTAGTGAAGTATTACACTGACTTGCACTCCCCCAAGATAAACCAGACAATTAACAACTTCATTTAATTTGAAACCCCTTTGTTTCAACTTTCAATGAAGTTCATACATTTACTGAAGGATAGTAGAACATGGACATTTAAATGATATATTATCAACATAAAAAATGAGTCTAATGAATCTAAAATGAGCTTCTCAAAGAATGGAGGTTTAAAACTCATCAAATAAAATGAGTACCTGAAAATCAAAATCTATACTGAAGCATTTTCCACTTACAGAACAGTTTCTATAGCTCTGGACCTAATTTTACTCGGCAAGGGGATATGGAAATGTTGGGATTTGGGGGGAAAAGTTACCATCCAATATTAGAGTTCAGGATTGCTGATGACAGAAAGGAAGGCAAATCAATGTCAGATGAATTCCCTGGCCTAGACTTTAGGAAGGCAGAAGATGCCAGGAGGAAAGAGAGCAGACAGGCAGGAGAGGGGCTTTCCTGCATTTCCAAACAGGAAGGTGCTTTCTTAAGAGGATTCCTTTGTTAATCAACAAATATTTATGATATGCCCAATTATTAGCCAGACACTGTGTTTATAAGGAGTTATAAGATGAAATCCCTCTTTTAAAATGGTTACAGTCTAGTGGGGAAGACAGACATTCAAAGAGCCCTTTTGTGGCAGTTGGGGAAGGTCTATAGTAGCCAACTTGTTCTCCACTCAGGGCCCAAGGCCTTGCTGTTCCCTTTGCTGAAATCCTCCCAAGCGTTCTTAGCATGGCTCTACTCACCTCACTTAATACTGCTCATTCATCTGGAGTCTCTAACCTATTTCTCCGATGTACACCCTTCACAGCATGTACACATTGTGTGAAAATATGTTTCCTTGTTTCTGTGTATCTTATTCAAGGCTACTTACCCTGAGATTAGGAGAGTGCCTAGCCAATTCATAGGTTGATTCATTCATTGATTCATGCATTAGACATGTGTTTAAAGAACATACTACATACCATGCACTTATCTAGGTCCTTGGGTCTGTCTATATGAGGGAGCAAAATCTCCCTTCCCACCTGGAGCTTACTTTGATGTTGAATAATGACAACAATTAATGTTCATCCACGCTTTCTATGGATAATATTCATGACATTTAATCTTCATGACAACCCTATGAGATAGATAATGGTTATAATCCCTGTCTTATAAGTGAGGAAAACCCTGGGCAGACAGGTCAAATAACTTGCTCAAGGCTATAGTTAGTAAGTGGTCAAGATTCACACCAAGGGAGTCTGGCTTGAGAGCTCCTCATCTTAACTTCTCTGCTATACTGCCTCTTATATACAGATACACAGTACACGTGGAATAAATATTAGTTGAAACAATGGCTGGATGCATAGCTCTAGAAGAACAAATACATCATTTTGGGGTGGGGGAAAGTCAGAATGCTTCTCAGAGAAACTGACAGAGCTGATCCTTGAAGGCTAGGTAACAGCCCATTTTTTAAATTTTTTTTTTTTTTTTTGAGATGGAGTCTTGCTCTTTTGCCCAGGCAGGAGTGCAGTGGTGCTATCTTGGATCACTGCAAGCTCTGCCTCCCAGGTTCACGCCATTCTCCTGCCTCAGCCTCCCGAGTAGCTGGGACTACAGGTGCCCGCCACCACGCCTGGCTAATTTTCTGTATTTTTAGTAGAGACGGTGTTTCATTGTGTTAGCCAGGATGGTCTCGATCTCCTGATCTCGTGATCCGCCCGCCTCGGCCTCCCAAAGTGCTGGGATTACAGGCGTGAGCCATGGCGCCTGGCTGCCCATTTTTAAAATTTTTATTATTATTTTTCTTTCATGTCAGACAGGTAATGTGCCAATGTCATAAAAGGTTTGGGGGCGACATACCTCACACATGTGTATGAACACTCAATCATCATGCTTATGAACTACAAAAGGATCATAGGCAAGAGTTCAAAGGATGGAAAGGAAGTGAAGGAGGGTGCAATTGTGGTGAGTGTGGAGGTGAGAGGCGTTGCAGGCAGAAGGCACAACTTCTACAGAGGCATGAAAGCATAGAGACATATGTGCTGAAGTGTGAATAGCAGACACTTACTGTGGCTAGTGCATAAAGGAGGTTGGAGAGAAGAGGTCAAAATAATAGAATGGAGTTATATTGTGAAGGGCCTGTTATGTCCTGCTAGGTAGTTTGAACTTGGTCCTAAAGGTACTAATAAGGGAGACCCTTAAGAATGACATTCTGATTCCAGAAGTGAAAATTAATTCTGAGGGAGAAAGGATGGTACCTAATGAGACCAAAGCGGCTGAAATGGGATTGCCAAAGAGCTCAGATTTAAAAGACTTTGAACAAAAGGTATAATCAGTAATTGGAATACAGAAGCATCATGTTCTCTTCCAACTATGAAATTTTATTATATATCTTAGCTTCTTTGTATCAACTTCTTTTTATTAAATGGAATCTTCAAATTCCCCCTTCTGGTTATCCATGACTTCAGGGACCTCAATACAATCTAATGGCAGTAAATTCATAATGACAGTTCCAAGATTTGAAATTATTTGCTGATTATCTTTCAGACATATTTTCAAGCAGATCGCTTTGCCTCCTACCAGAGAGGTATGGAAAACAAGCAGACCAAGATCTCTTCCCAGTTGGGTAAGTGGTGATCTTAGAAAGGAGGAAGACTGGGGCAAGCTCCAGGGCTCCAGGGCAAGTGCTCTGGGAGGTGAGTTTGTAACTTGTACAGATACTTTCTTAATCAGCAACATCAAATCTGTTTTGTACATCCCTGGTATATAGCACCTAGTACAGTGCTGACTCAAGTTAGCTGCTCAATAAATGCATGTTAAATGGAACCAAAGACCAGAGGGCAGATTGAATCACACCATTGTGGCTGAATCCCACAATGCTGCCCCTACCTGGCCCCTACTCAAGTTATACTCAAGCATAACTTAAGTTTCTTCTGAGAATAGAAGGGAACCTAGAGGTCTAGAGGAACCTAGACAATGCATTTCCTATTCTGTGCAAAGCCCCAGTATGAAATGGCACAGAAGTAAATGGCACTCTGTCCAGTTTGCTTCTATGATTGTCAAAACCCATCCAGGTGTCAGAAGAAATATTTAGGGGATGTGATAGGGATCAGTCTATTGTCTCTGCTGTGGAAAGTTTCTGCTGTGGGAAAGGCTTCCCATTCTCTTCTGCTCTCTTTGGCATTCTCCTATAAATGGTCTCTGCCATTTAGAACTCATCTCTCTCAATTTAGGATGAGAAGAAATGGCTAATTTAAGTCAAGGTTTCCAGTTTTAGATGCTGTTTTCTCTAACATTTCCCCAAATATAAAGAAAAGCCGGGCCGGAACCCTCAAAGGGTTTGCAGTCTGGAGAGGTACTGAGCTGGGTGTACATGGTAATGAGGTTATGAAACTGGTTCTATATGACTGTCAGTCTCAATATTTTATAATCAGACTGTGTGAGTGTTTGGTGATGTAAGTAGCAGGTGAGAAAAAGGAATATTAAGTATAAACTAGAAATTGACAACACTTGAACAATCACCAAGCTAACCTTCTGCTCTGATAAGGCAAGTATCTGCCATTTTGAAAAAACTATAAAGTTCCCCATTGTAATGTTTATAAGAAAATCTCAATATTTGGAATAAATTCTTAAATAACGCACATTTATCTTTTCATGATGTGACCGACAAATGAGATCCAAAGTAACAAATAACTGTTTCTATTGTAAACATATGCAGATTATTTTGGGTTGCAATTTTCTAAGTTTAAGGTGATGATACTATAAATAGTTACTAGTGAGTTACACAATTTAAGGCTTTCAATAGTGAACTCTGAAATTGATGACATACAACCTATTAGTTTGTGGACTTCTGGGAAAAGCTCTAAAGAAAGAATTTGGAAATTCTGGAGAAAGTCTGAACTGTGTTAAAGAAGCAACAGCTTCTGTAACCTCAGAACTGCCTCCTCTCCCTTTTCTACCTTGGCTAAGATCAGGAGCTGCCAACATTGAATGTCTGACTTTCCCTTGAAAATACTGCCAATGGAAAATGTTATTTCAGGCATTAGAGTTAAAATTTCTATGTGTGTGTGTATGTGCGTGTATTTGCAAGTCCAGACTTTATTTTCTTCTTTCTTTCTTTTTTTTTTGAGATGGGGTCTCTGTCTGTCACCCAGGCTGGAGTGCTGTCATGTGATCTCGGCTCACTGCAACCTCCGCCTCCCAGATTCAAGCGATTCTCCTGCCTCAGCCTCCTGAGTAGCTGTGATTACAGGCATGCACCACCATGCCCAGCTAATGTATATATATATATTTTTTATTAGAGATGGGGTTTCACCGTGTTGGTCAGGCTGATCTCGAACTCCTGACCTCGTGATCTGCCCATCTTGGCCTCCCAAAGTGCTGGGATTACAGACGTGAGCCAACCCACCCGGCCTATTTCCTTATTTCATTTACAGCAAGCTTGGACTTGTTTGGAATAAAATAAACAATCAAACATAATCTCAAAGACATTTCTGCTGAACAGTGTATCCTGGGGACAAATTATGCAAAACAATACAAATCAAAGAAATAGGAAGGAAAAACAAAATGGTCAGAAGGTTGACAACAAAGTGCATCACAAAAACAGTCTTCAAAGAGTTTGTATTTTATTTTTGCCCACAAATAATTAGCTAGTTAGATTACTGTTTGAGAACCTATAATTTTTAGAAAGTGGACTATTTTCTTCAATACTAAGAAATCAGGGCTGTGCACGGTGGTTTATGCCTGTAATCCCAGCAGGCCGGGATTACTTGAGCTCAGGAGTTCGAGACCAGCCTAGGCAACATAGTGAAACTCCGTCGCTATAAAACAAAACAAAACAAAACAAAAAACCAAAAATTGGCCAGGCGTGGTGGCACAGGCTTATAGTCCCAGCTACTTGGGAGGCTGAGGCAGGAGGATCGCTTGAGGCAGAGGTTGCAGTGGGCCAAGATCGTGCCACTGCCCTCCACCCTGGGCGACAGAGCAAGATCCTATCTTTTAAAAAAAAAAGTCTGTCTGGAAGTCCTTACTTTATATTTAATTGTCAAACTCCTTTCCCCCATCTCTTGACTTCACCTCTCTCTACATCCCCAAGCCAAGAATGATGAGAAATGGACAGATGTTAGCACGAGTTGGGTGCGCTTTGGGCATGGGGAAGTCTGAGGTCTCGGAAAATCTTTTCTACATATACACCCGGCCCTCACTTTCTGGACGCACGCAGCAAACTCTCAAAATAAAACCACCAAAAAGGAGAAGGGGGGGCGTCGCCCACCGCTCCTGGCATTCCGCGGCTGCCAACTCTTTCCCTCCCATCTGGCTCCTGGGATGCCCGCGGGGGAATCGCAGTGAGCAGCGCGGGGCGAGGCCGCCGCGGACGCCCCGTCGGATGTGCCCTTCGCTGGGCCGAGCGGCGCAGGGTTGGAGAGGGAAGCGCTCGTGCCCACCTTGCTCGCAGGTGCCCTTGCTGACCTGGGTGATGGCCTTCTCCCCGCGGCTCTCGGCCCTCTGGCTGGCGGCGCGCAGCTGGCAGCCGCTCGGGTAGGTGGTGCCGTCGCTGCCGCACACCGGGTAGCGGCTCTTGCACACGCACACGCCGCTTACACCCGGACCGCCGGCTGCTGCCCCGGCTTTACCCTTCCGCCTCTTGCGGCTCTTCACGCACTCCATGCCCGGCGCGCAGTACCCCCTGCCGGCGCCGCCACCCCCGCACGGCTCGCCCTCGCCGCGGGCGCACATAGGGCAGCAGCCGCACGCGTCGCGGGTCTCGCCCAGCAGGCAGCCCAGCGGGGGCAGGGGCGGGCAGGAGGCCGGCTCGCAGGGGCCGCAGGTGTCCGAAGAGGAGGAAGAGGAGAGGGGCAGGAGCAGGAGCAGCAGCCCAGCGGCGCCGAGGAGCAGGGCGCGCAGCGACGGCCGCTCCATGGCGGGGTGCGGTGGCAGCGGCAAGGGCGCGAGTGAGCCGTGTCGGGCCGGCCGGCGCCTTAAACCCGCCGCCCCGCCCGGCCTGTCCGCGGGAACCACACCCCGGGGCGGTGAGAGCACGGGGGCCCCGCCCGTGCCGCCCTCCCGGCCCCGCGGGGCCTGCGCGCGCGCTCCTGCTGGCGTCGGGGGGTGAGCGGGCACCCGGCGTGACCGGCCCATGGGCGCTCGGTCTCACGCCCGCTTCGCAGAGCTCACCCCGCCAGCTCCTGCTCGGTCCCCAGTCCCCTGCCCCGAGCCCTCAGGGATCGCACCGCAGTGCGAGCGGCTCTTCCACCCTCTGGTTTCTCCCCGTTTCCGGTCAATATATTTAAACTTCTTAACAACCACGGCTTCGAGACGATCCAGGGTTTCATCTATTAAATCCTCCGTGGGCCTGAGACACCTGAGTGCTCATTACTCTGTGGTTTGGGAAGCTCTCTTAAGAACAAGCTGTTAAAAACCCCCACTTGTGGACTGTGTCCCCGCTGGCCACAGGCCTGCTGTGGTCTTGGGTGTCAAGCACTAAAAGGACAAACCGTTGCCAACCACTTCCCTTTCTGGAACCTCTTAACTGCCTGCACCTCCCTCCCCGCTTTGTCTCCCAGTGGCATTCAACAAGACTCTGTGCTTTTTTTGTGCTGAGCCGTTTTCAGTGAGTACTGGAATCCGTGTGAGAGCTGTGCCCTTGTTTTGAGTTCTTGCTGAACTGCTCGCCCTCCAGCAAGCCTCTCGGGAGAACAGAGCGCAGCTGAGAGGAGCAGGGGTCCCAGCTCCTTCCTCGTTGGAGCTGCCACGGAGGCACCTAAAGCGCCCCCAGTCTTCACCAGCATTCCAGGAGGTTTTTGATATAAACGGTGGACTCTTCCTCAGTCTTTCTGCGAAGTGCTCTGCAAACTCAACTTGAAAGCCTCTCTTCCCAGGAACACTGGCCTCTCCAATGCAGACATGGAAGTTGCTTTCACTTTTTAACTGAATGTGTAACATTGCAGCGTGCATTATTCTGCATGTCACATTGTGGTTCTTTTGTGTTCTTTTTTCTTAGCATAAATCCAGGGATTTACAGGGTTGCTGACTGAAAGCCAGCAGTTCAGTTCATAATCCCATTAGCAGTGTAAAGAACTCATTCTCAACAGACTCTTACAAGGATAATTATTGCAAATTTTTTGAAAATTAAATGACCACAAAATCGGGGGGTGGAGAGTGGGGAAACATCCTCCAATCCAGAAAAACCTAGCACTGCTTTTTGGCCTCTCCTTAGTGTATTATAGACAAGTGGAGCATTTTTTTTCCCCTCAAAGGTCATATGTTGACCTGACAGTTGTTTAAAAAACAATGAAAAATCTTTACAGCAGAGTTTCCCTAAATATTTTTGTCTTTGTTCCATCCTAAGAGATGCAGTTTACATGACCCATTTGTTTTCTTGAAAAGGAAACAAATGCAGAGTGCACTCTATTTCCTATTGTATTTAATTTCTTTCTTTCTTTCTTTTCTTTTCTTTCTTTTTCTTTTTTTTATTTTTTTGAGATGAAGTCTCCCTGTGTCGCCTAGTCTGGAGTGCAGTGGTGAGATTTTGGCTCACTGCAACCTCTGCCTCCCAGCTTCAAACAATCCTTCTGCCTCAGCCTCCCGAGTAGCTGGTATTACAGGCATGCACCAACATGCCCGGCTAATTTTTGTATTTTTACTAGAGACAGGGTTTCACCATGTTGCCCAGGCTGGTCTCAAACTCCTGACCTCAAGTGATCCACCTGCCTCGGCCTCCGAAAGTGTTGGGATTACAGGTGTGAGCCACTATGCCCGGCCCTGATTTCCTTTTTATTAATTCACTGGTCAAGAGCCACTAAATTGGTTCCATGATCTAGTATGACGATCTGTCATAGTTTTAGATTCTCCAGAAGCTTTCTCTGAGACAAGGATTCCAGTGCAAGTAGGTCACCTGAGAAGCCACATCAGGACACAGAGATTGAGGGTTGGGGCAGGCAGGTGAGCAAGCAGGAAGGGAAGACAGCCAATAAAGGTGCTTATCTCCGCAGCCAGAAGAAGCCCTCAGGCTCTACAAACTGTGTGTGTGTGTGTGTGTGTGTGTGTGTGTGTGTGTGTGTTTGCGTGTGTAGGGCATGTGGGTGGGCAGTGGCAGCAGCTGTACACTAAGAGCTGTCACCCACAGTGTGTGGAGGTCCTGCATCAGAGCCAACAGTGAGAATGCAAGCATGTGCTACAGCGGAGTCCCTTTGAGGAACCTCCTCACTGCCCAGCAAGCAAAGAAAACAAGCAAGTTTCTGGTCACTGAAAGGGGAACCCGAGCTCTGTGATAGTGCCAGTCGAGCTGGAGGACCTGAAAACAAGAAGAGATGTTAGAAAAAAGGCAGGTGAATGGAGCCTTTAAAGAGCAAGTTGACAACTCCACCCTTCCAATAACAGATATATTGTCACCTGTTCAGCTTCAGTTTTAGTGAGGTGGAGAGGCTGGATGTGGAGATGGAGATATTTTTACTTCTTCCTGTTTAATTGGTGCCTTTTGTTTCTTTTTCTTGCTTAATTGCCCTGGTTAGAACCTCCAGTATAATGTTGAATAGAAGAGGTGAGTGGACACCCTTGTCCCAGTCCTCACCTTAGAGGGAAAGTTGTTAGTTTTTCACCACTAAGTATGAAGTTAGCTGTGGGCATTTCATAGACAGTCTTACCAGGTTGAGGAAATTCCTTTCTATTCTGTTGATTGTTTTTCATCATGAAGTGGTGTTGAATTTTCTTTTCTTTTCTTTTCTTTCTTTTTTTTTGAGACGGTGTCTCGCTCTGTTGCCCAGGCTGGAGTGCAGTGGCGCAATCTTGGCTCACTGCAACCTCCACCTCCCGGGTTCAAGCCATTCTCCTGCCTCAGCCTCCTGAGTAGCTGGGATTACAGGCACATACTACCCCGCTCAGCTAATTTTTGTATTTTTAGGAAAGACTGGGTTTCATCATGTTGGTCAGGCTGGTCTCGAACTCTTGACCTCGTGATCCGCCTGCCTCAGCCTTCCCAGAGTGCTGGAATTACAGGTGTGAGCCATCACGCCTGACAGAGAGTACATTTTAAATGTTCTTGCCTCAAAAATGATAAGTATGTGAGGTAAAGAATATGTTACTTAGCTTAATCTAGTCATTCCACAATACATACATATATAAAAACATCATGTACACTGTAAATATACACAATTTTTTGTGAATTAAAATTTTTTTAATGTTTAAAAAGAATCATTCCTGCTTTCTGAGAGCACCCCATCCATAGCAACCTCCTGCTTCCTTAGACCTTCCCCTAAATTACTCAACCAAAGTCCAAATCCTATAATAGGCTCTTTCTAACACCCCCTTACTGAGACCCCCATAGTTCCATATGGTGTCTATCCTCCCTTGCTACAATGAGTGATAAACTCAACTTATTCAACTACAGGTGCATTCCTGTGATCTTTGGCTGAAGGGTAATGATGCAAGAGATATATGTCCCCCTCCCTTCTACACTACTTCAGCTCAATATTCCCCCAGCCCACAGGACACTCCCAAACCCTTTGCCGATGGGTCCTTGTACCTGGCGAGCACCCTTCTTGGTGGAGTATCTCTAAGACTACTCAGTCTGGCAAGTTTCTTGATATCTGTGGGAAACCCGTGGTGCTGTGCAGCCTGCCCCTGTGAAGTCCCTCTATGTCCAGCCAGTACAGGGCCAGAAGCCAGCCTGCCTATTCAGGAGACATCTAATTGGACAACGGAATGCTTGTCTCTTTTTCTTGCAAACATCACAGACCTCTTGGCTCCGTTATCCTTGTCTTCTTAGGAGTTGGGGGTGGGGCGGTGATTAAGGGGAGGAGAAACCTGCTTTCTCCAGTAAGCTCTCACCCCAAACCTGTTTATATGTGCCTGTGTGTGTGGGGGGGTGGGGGGATGGTGTGTGGGGCTTGTGGTGCTTGTGGCAGGGACATGTAGCATTGAGGAGCATTCTGGTTCAATTTTTTTTTTTTTTGAGACAAGGTCTTGCTCTGTCACCTAGGCTAGAGTGCAGTGGTACAATCATAGCTCACTGCAGCCTCAAATTCCTGGGCCCAAGCGATCCCCCTATTCAGCCTCCTAAATAACTGAGATTACAGGTGCATACCACCATACCTGACTATTAATAATTTTTCTTTGCTTTTGTAGAGACAGAGTCTCATTATATTGCTCAGGCTGGTCTCCAACTCCTGATGTCAAGTAATCCTCCTGCCTTGGCCCCCCAAAGTGCTGGGATTATAGGCATGAGCCACCACACCTGGCCCTGGTCCAATTTTTGGTGGCTCTGCTTTAGAATGTGGGGACACGCAGAACCTATAGTTTTGGGTTGTAGATCCTAGTGCCATTTTTTAGGCAAAGGAAGAGTTGTTCTATTCAACAGTCTGTTACAATAGTTATCTATCATCTTTATTATTTCATTTTTTTCTCCTTTCTCTCCTTCATCGTTATCACCATTAGTAAGTCAGAGATTGTCAGGTGATGGGGTAGGGTGTATCTGATCACCCAAACTCGGATAAACAGTGCATGAAAAGGGGCTAAGCCAGTGGAAACCACTTTGGCATGTTCCAGCTGCCACAAGAAGTTCAGCTTAGCTGAAGCAAGGTGAGTATGTGGAGAAGTGGGAAGAAATGAGTCTGGAGAGAGGGCAGATGACAGATAATGAAGGGCCTTGCACACTGCACCCAGAGCTTTGGACTGCATCTTATAGATGACTGTGAACTGTTGAGGGGTGCAGGGGAGAGGCAAGGTCAGGTTGTGGTGTTGGAAGGTCATTACAGAAGTAAGAGGGAAATGAATCATAACAGGGACAGACTTGAAGAAGGAATGCAGTTTCCACAATGCAGGGGCTACAGTCAGCCTATGCTGTTCCTTTATGGTAATTAAAAAAAACCACCTCTACTGGGCAGATGCAGCACTGAGGGTTCAAGACTTGGCAAGCAGGTGGTTGCTTTGTGTGAAGAAAAAGGCGTCCCTTTCTCCGATGAAGCAGACCCAGTCCACATGAAGATGCGTGGCCCAGCAGGTGGAGAACTGAATTATAGTTTTCCTTGCTCCCTGGGCTGGGTGCCCTTGTGCAGTATGCAAATTGCATGCCCCTACCGGGGAGCGTGGCCTCATGCTAATAGTGTGTCTGGTACAGAATTGGCAATCAATTAAAATTTTTTTTCTTTTTTTTTTTTTTTTTTTTGAGTTGGTGTTTTGCTCTTGTCACCCAAGCTGGAGTGCAGTGGTGCAATCTCGTCTCACTGCAACTTCTGCCTCCCAGGTTCAAGCGATTCTCCTGCCTCAGCCTCCTGAGTAGCTGGGGTTACAGGTGCCCACCACCATGCCTGGCTAGTTTTTGTATTTTTAGTAGAGATGGGGTTTCACCATATTGGCCAAGCTGGTCTCGAACTCCTGACCTCAGGTGATCCACCAACCTCAGCCTCCCTGATGGTATTACAAGCATGAGCCATGGCGCCCGGCCGATTAAAAAATTTTAAAAGTAAATGGACCAAAGGGAAAATCAATTGGCAGCTCCTACTGCCAACTACTACTACCATCCAGGTAGGAATTAGCAAGGGCCTGAAGTCAGTTGTGGCAATGGGAGTCGAAGTAGAGACAGTATCATTTGTCTATACCTGGACTCTTGTGAGTGAAAGGGAGCACTGTTCATGATTATGCTGGGACAATGGGCATAAATCAAGACTGTCCTGGACAATAGAGACATATTGTTACCCGAAATAGAGATGAAGAGATGGACAAGAGATCTTAAAGAAGTAGAATATGCAGGTCCTGTAAAGAAACTGACTGGAGGAAAGTCAAGAGAAACCCCAACATTTCTCCCTTGGGGGACTCGGTGCCAGTCTCTGCCACAGCCAGTTTGTGTTGGGGGAAGAGGATGAGCTTGATTTTGGACTCGTTCTTTACAAATCAAGACTGCCTTTTGTGGACAGTTCTGGAGAGGAAGGAGGGGGGCTCCCTAGCGATCATATCACATTGTATCAGAGGCATTGCAGGGCATTTGGCTGAGAGTAAGCCCTTGAGGTAAAGTCCCTCACTGATAACATCTCACTGTGTAATAAAGGACATAAACTGATTTCTTATCAGTATTCTGCATCTCATCTCTTAAAAGAGGTACTGCCATGCAGGAAAATAGCTAATTATATAATTGAAAAGGCATTAATAGCCTGTAAAATTCAATATTAGAGACACAGAACTTGAAGGACTCGCTAGAGGTCATTTAAAGCCAGGTGACTGGATCCATTAGCCCTGATCCTAAGTCATCAGGGGCACAGAAATATCTAAAGAACCCTCAGAAATCATCAAGGAAGATTTTTTTTTTTGTGTGGTCAGTCTTGTGTTCTGCTCTGTTATTTAACTGCCTTTCACATCAGGAAGATTTGAGGTCACTGCATAATAGCCAACTTCCAAATATACACAGTTGAAAAGAAAATTTAGATTTTAAACTGTGATCCTGACTATATTGCATATATCATGAGAGGCTTTTGAACCCAGAATAGCCTCATTTCCTGTCTTAAAATTCATTATCTTAACACTTTAACTTTGCATTAACACAGACTTTTACATTTACATTTCCCTGTAAAATAAATTAGAAAACATTTCTTTTTGTGACAACAAGTAGAAAAAAATGTCTTTGGGTTATTCCATAATTAGGCTTCATCTTTCTTTTGTTATGGGGAAATGATATGATCATTTGGTGGCAAATGATGCAGTGCCCCATATTAATCTCCCAGTGGCCCGATTTCATAATTCAACTTGGCAAAGTAGACAAATAAAAAATAAAAATCTCTCCTCATCATCGTAAGAGGCTCGGGAGAAAGTCAAATCAGGAAAAATAAAATATTTTCAGTGGTTTTTTCAGACTTCACTATGAATAAAACTTTGTGCCCAGGAAGGAGTTTCTTGGGTGTTTTTGAATGTTTAGGAGGATATTTATCCTGCAAGCATTGATTCCTTTCCTTCTGAACAGATGATCAGCTGGGATGTTAAGATGTTAACAACATTTCTTTCATGCATGCTAGTTTGTTTTATTTTGTTTTAGCTTGTTAAGATGTTAGAATAACTACATTCCTTTCACCGATGCTGAAGATTCACCTTTTTAAGAAAGAGTCACTGATCACATGAATGACATAGATGTTGCTTTATCTGCCTCTGCAGTGCAGCTACCTGGCTGGTGTCAGCCTCTTGGGTGAATAACAGGCGAATTTCAATATTGTCAGAGTCTATAGCTGTCAAGCTTCAGATCTAACTTCCTTAATGCTAAGCCACTTCCCTGTGTAGTGTCTTCTCATAACATCATTGCTTATTGGTAATGCTTGCTTTAAAAGAGAAATGTGGATGTGTCCGAATAGAGGAAATCCTGGAAAACTTTAAGTCCCTCTTCTTTTTGATTCTTGTTGAGTGGCATTCTCTCAGGCCATTTGAGTATATTCCCATGCCTTATTGAGAAATAGCATTTTTAGGTTTTCCCTGAGGTTCAAAGGTTAAATATTTGTCCTCATGTTACATAAAATTGGGTCCTGGAAGCCCATGTGACACAGTAGAGATGGTGATTGGCTTGAATGTCAGGGTCTTCAGGAGCAGGGCAGGTTCCCTGTGGCTTTCTTACAGCAGGGCAAGTGATTTGGGAATGAGATATTCAAGAGACAGGAGGGAAGATACAATTTCAAGAGGAAGGAACAAGTGTCTTTGGGCTGCAGTAAAATCTCTAGCGTTCTGTGTGTGGTTCCTGGTTTCAGGAAGGAATGGGGCAGGTTAGGGCATAGCTGAGGAGTGTAGTGGGGGCTTGCATGGCCTCAAAGGGTCAGAAGTAGACCCAACTGAAGGTCCTGTTATCCTGGTAGATCTTCAGTGAGAGGTTTAGGAGGGGCTATGTGGTGGCAATGATGCCTGTGTAGGAAAACCTCCTACCTCTTTAGCCATTGAAATGAAGAGATGGACATCCAGAAGTCTAGGAAAATTGGCTTAATGCAAGAAAGCAACACTTTCCAGCTTTATGTGCCTCTCAGAACTCATCTTGCTAAATCTTTTTGGGTCACTTGCAAACACAATTGGTAATTCTATACCAATTGTGTTTGCAAGAAGAGGATAATTCGTGACTGAATAAAAGCTATTCTCAGGCATAAGGCCGAGTGTGGTGGCTTACACCTGTAATCCCAGCACTTTGGGAGGCCAAGGCAGGTGGATCACCTGAGGTCAGGAGTTTGAGACCAGCTTTGCCAACATGGTGAAACCCTGTCTCTATTAAAATACAAAAATTAGCCGGGCTCGTTGGCACGCACCTGTAGTCCCAGCTACTTGAGAGGCTGAGGCAGGAGAATTGCTTGAACCCTGGAGGTGGAGGTTGCAGCGAGCAGAGAGCACACCACTGCACTCCAGCCTGGGTGACAGAGTGAGATTCTGTCTCAAAAAAATAAAAAAGTATTCCTAGGTGTGAATGCACCAAACCAATTAGAACATACATCATTCTTAATCTGGGCCTCTTGCAGCAGCTCTGGTCAATTGAGGGTTTATACTCAGATAAATATCATTGAGTTATCACGCCCTGTTTAATGAGAAGAATGCCAGACTTCTTATAATTCTTCATAAAGCCATTACCAACCTGCCCTCTGTGTGCCTCACTCGATCCCTGTCTTTGACCTCCTGATGTGCCAAGTTGAATGACTTTCGGTCTCCCAGAATAGCCGTCCTCTTTAGATGTCTCACATGTGATTTCTTCTTTCTGGAATTCCCTGGGAAGACAGCTTTTACCTCATCCCAAGCCTCTGTTTTCTTTAGGAATACAGCCTTGCCTCCTCTGCCCACTTCCCTTCTGGGAGTTGTCTTGCTATTGAGTTCCAGCCAAGTCTAGAATCCTGTCTGACGCCACTCCTCTCTGTGTAGACGTCTGCCCAGTGTCTGCCCCGGAAGTGCAGCTCCCTCTCTCTGAGCCGCTCTGAGTTTGGTTGCTGTCTTGGACTGCTTTCACTTGTCCCTGTTGTATTCTCCACAAACATGTCCACATGCCAGGCTGAGCTCTTTCTTCCACTGCTGTAGCGGGCTCGTCCCACAGAGCTTTATTCCTCCCAGTGAGCCCCTCACATCCTAGCTTCAGGCCTTTCCCAGCCCATCTGGCCACCCACTGCCTTTGCTAAGCCCTTTCTCTTTCCCTGAGGGCTTTTAGGGTAGGAAGAAAAATAAACTCTATGACTGGATTCATTTGGAATTTGGCTGTCAGAGTCATGTTCTCTTCTTTTGGGTCTATTTAAAAAGCATCCAGCGCCCATGGGAAGCAATAACCCTTCCCAAAGGGCTAAGGCAATCTGCTCCGACCCCCGGAGCATCCTTCCTCATCCTTCACATCTCAGAGCAGACATCGGTCTCTGCTGGAAGAGTCTTTCTAACCTTCAGGTCTCACAGAGGTCTCCCATGCCCCTCACTCAGTGCATTCTCCATTTTAGCTTTACTGCACTGTATATAACCACCAGATCTCAAGGACAATGATAGCTTTAAAAACTGATTTGCCATTGCCGTATCTCCAGCACTCAGCTCAATAGGTGCATGAGTGAATGAATGAATGAATGATTTCTCTGCACATCTTCCACTGATTAGCTCTCTGTTGCCTAAGACATCTCAGTTACCATTCATTCTTCAGACTTTGTTTTTTATTCCTTTCTTCTCTTATTCCAGTTTCTAGCACTTGTTAGCTATATGACCTTGGGTAAGTGACTAAACCTCTTTGTGCCTCAGTTTTATCTGTAACATGGAGTAATAGTATTACCCATCTCATGAGGTTGTGGGGAGATTGAATGGAGCAGTGCTTGGCACATAATAAACCCTCAATAAATATGATGATTGAATTATTTCCTGTGCTTTCCTTGATGTTTTCACAGGATTATTAACCATGATTTTGTTAAAATTGACTAATAGAATAGAATAATTACTTGTTGCAACTTCTCTTGCTCTCTTGCTAAATTGAGGAGAATTATATAGTTTTATTTTCCTTTTCCTTTGCTCCTCCACTTGATCCCTCCCATATTTTTGGAGGGACTCAGGCTTTTGGGTGGGGAGGTGGTGAGTAGTTCCTCCTAGGGCTGAATTACTTTGCAGGTAACACTTGGAATATTAGAGATACCTAATGTTGGACTTAAGTTTGAAAGTCTTTCAATAGTTTTATAAGGTCAAAACAAACTTTTTTAAAGCAACCCTACGTGAACACTGATAAAGTTAAAATGATGACTGAGAAAAAGTGGTGTCAACTTAAATAACAGAGAGATGCCGTCTAAAAGAAATAATATTTACTTGGGAACAGGCATTGCAATAGGAATACATGTGCCAATAGGAATACATGTGAACTATGTGTGTATTCAGGAAGGTAAAAGAAGACAATGGCTTTTAAAGGAAAATGAGAGGGTTGCATAGTTGTTTTGAGATAATTATCCTGGGTTATAAGGATCAATAACAAGGGTGGTGCCGGTTCAAGGTTGGACAAATCTTCTGGGCAGATGTCCTTGCCGAAGTATTGTTTTTATATAAGATTGTGATGGTCTTTGTGCAAGGTTGTGGTTTTTGCTGAATCTTTAGTGATAGTTCTTGTTATTAGGCGTTTGTGTGTGATAACCTTCTTTTCATGGCCTTCCCTGGCTTCTTTTGTTAGGGTTTTTAACACAAGCGTCTCCATTTTGATTCCAACAACTTTCACAGTGGAAACTTGTATGTGTAGGGCTGGTCATTCCAGCCCAACTTGCAAAGACTTTCAAGCTGGACCTCTGTGCATCCGCTAATGGGGAGTCTGTGGGAGGATAGTACCTCTTGAAGAGTGCAGCCTCCTGTGTGCCCATGGGGTTCTTCGTGAAGAGTTTCATGGTTGCTGCTTCAGAACTACTGAGATTTGGGAATTCTCCTTTCTTGTTCTTTTAAAATAAGCAATAAGTCAAAGGGGTTTTTGACTGCCCTTTTTTTTTTTTCTGGGGGAGAGTCTTGCTATGTCACCCAGGCTGGAGTGCAATGGCACGATCTCAGCTCACTGCAACCTCCACCTCCTGGGGTTCAAGCGATTCTCCTGCCTCAGCCTCCTGAGTAGCTGTTTACAGGTGCATGCCACCATGTCTGGCTACTTTTTGTATTTTTAGTAGAGACGCGGTTTTATCATGTTGGCCAGGCTGGCCTTGGCCAGGAGGCCTTGGCCTCCCAAAGTGCTGGGATTACAGGTGTGAGCCACTGCACCCAGGCTTGACTGCTTTTTAAATTCTCAATCTCAAAGAATAATAAATAATATTTGAATAGTAACCATACTAGTTTTAGCCCTGTGTTGGTTAATTTTATGTGTCAACTTGATTGAGCTAAGAGATGCCCAGATAGCTGGTAAAGCTTTATTTCTGGGTGTCTATGGGGCTGTTTCTGGAAGAGATTAGCATTTGAATGAGTAGACTGAGTACAGAAGATCTTCCTCGCTAATATGGGTAGGCATCATCCAATCCCCTGAGGGATAAAATAGAACAAAGAGGCAGAAGAAAGGCAAATTCTCTTTTTCTCTGTCTTTGAGCTGGGATATCCATCTGGCCTTTGGACAATGGAGTGCCTAGTTTTTGGGCCTTTGGACTCTGGGACTTAAACTGATTACTGCACCCCCTTCCCACCTGCTGTCCAACCTCCTCCAGGTTCTCATACCTTCTGCTTCAGTTTTGCCATCAGCTCCCTCCCCTGGTCCTCTGGTCTTTGTACTCTGACTGCATTACGCCACCAGTTTTTCTGGGTCTCTTGCTTGCAGACAGCATATCATGGGACTTCTTGGCCTCCATAATCACATGAGCCAATTGTCCTAATAAGCCAATTGTCCTCTTTATCTCTATCTCTATCTCTGTCTTATCTCCAACTATATCTCTCTTATTGGTTCTATTTCTTTGGCAAACCCTGACTAATCCAAGCCCTCTGATGATGAGACACATTTTTTGTTTTTCAAAAGTAGTTCTGGTCCTTCACTTTAAAGGGCAAAGTGGACCTATGTCCACTTTGGTTCTGCTCACAAACAGGGGTTGATTCCAAGGGGCTGGAGTAGGGCTGTTTTATCCATCTTTATTATCTTCCATGGAGCAGAAGTGATGGCAGTTATCAATATCCAGTCTGCATTTAATCACCCCATTTGAAGCAGGTTTATGGCAAGTCTGCCTTTGCTCTATAGGAACAACAGTAAACAGCTGACTGGCCCAATTTTTTGGAAGATGAGTGTCTCCTACGAATCTCACAAGCATTGCATGTTCTACCTGTTGCAATATTCGTCTTTTTGGAAAAAGTGCCTGCAGATTTCAATGTAACTTGCTTAATATTCATAGATTCTTACTCTCTTCTCTTCCAGGAAAATATTGTTAATTTTAAGGTGAGTATCAGGGAGGTTGTAGGAATTTGATCAAGCAGAACCATGATAAGAAAAGCCAACAGATGCTTTGGAAATTCCTTATAATTCTGGCCTTAATAATGGAAGGAATGACAGTTTTATTAGTTTTCTATTGTTGCTTAACAAATCACTACAAAGTTTTCAGCTTGTAGGCTTGACTGGGTTCTCTGCCTAGGCTGAAATGAAAGTGTGGGCTGGGTTGGGCTTTTATTTGGTGGCTCTGGGAAGAATTCACTTCTAAGATCATTCAGGTTTTTGGCAGAATTCAGTTCCTTGTGGTTGTAGGACTGAGTTCCCTGCTTCCTTGCTGGATGTTGTTGGACAGCTCTCTGGTCCTCCTTGCACATGGCCCCTCCATCTTCAAAGCCAGCAATATGGCATATTCAGTCTTTCTAGTGCTTCAGATCTCTCTGACTTCCTCTTCTGCTACTACCCAGAGAAAATTGTGCTTTCAAAGGGTTCATGTGATTAGAGAAGACTTACTTGGATCATTTCCCTTTTGATGAATTCAGAGTCTACTGATCAGTAATAATGTAATTATTTTTGCAAAATCCCGTTTGCCAGGTAATGTAACATAGCCACAGACATGATATCACATCCTATTCCTAGTCCTGGAGATTAGGGCAGGAAATCTTGGGTGGTCAGTTTAGAGTTCTGCCCACCACAGTTGTCAAATATTGTTTTCTCAAACTAACTCTTTGCTGAAACTGAGCTCTGGGATTTCCCTTGCTTGTTTTTGTTTGCCTGTGAACCATACAGTTGGTTATGCTATATATCTTTTTTTTTTTTTTTTTGAGAAAGAATTTCATTCTGTCACCAAGGCTAGGGTGTAGTGGCATGATCTTGGCTCATTGCAATGCCCACCTCCTGGGCTCACGTGATCCTCCTGCCTCAGCCTCCCAAGTAGCTGGGACTACAGGTGTATATTACCATGCCCAGCTAATTTTTTGTAGAGACCTGTTTTTGGCATGTTGCCCAGGCTGGTCTTGAACTCCTGGACTCAAGCAATTCACCCACCTCAGACTCCCACAGTGCTGGGATTATAGGTGTGAGCCACCACACCTGGCCTATATCTTATCAATGGAATTGTATTCTCTGGCTCAAACAAGATGCCATTCTCCAGGGCACTTATTCCTGGGGTTCATCTATTGGTTTTGGACTTTGAGGTTTGGTGTCCTCCTTGCACATGGCCCCTCCATCTTCAAAGCCAGCAATGGCATATTCAGTCTTTCTAGTGCTTCAGATTTCTCTGACGTCCTCTTCTGTTACTACCCAGAGAAAACTTTGCTTCAAAGGGTTCATGTGATTAGAGTAGGCTCACTTGGATTGTTTCCCTTTTGATTAACTCAAAGTCTAATGGTCAGTAATAATTTAATTATTTTGACAAAATAATGATTTTAAAATAGAATTATTTTAATTTAACCAAAGCACCAAAGCACCATTTTTGCTTGGACCACACAAGGGAGAGATAAGAGAAGCAGAAAGCAGCCAACACAACCTTGGCTAGCTTCCAAACCTGTGTCTTTTAGTGTTACAAGTACATATAGAATTGCTGCTGTATTCACAGACCAACAATTATCTCATTAAATAACTTCCCAAGCCTTGATTTAGCCATTATGAAAGATGTTTTGATAAAGAACATCTGGTGTTGTTTTCAATTAAATATTGCACCACTAAACTTTGATTAAAAACTGATTTAAAATTTTAATAGTCCCTCCTTTAGAAGATGGCAAAATGCAAAAAAGAAAAATGTCACTCATTTAAATTGTTTTTTTCTCTCCTTTGTTGCTCTATTTTAACTGGATTCCCATTAATGACTGTTTAAAACCCACACAATTTTGGATGCAGTAAATAGAGATACATAAATAAGATTACCATACCAATACTGCTGTTCTCACTCTTTTACTACTGATACTTCATTTTGTTTTTATGCTTTAATTAAATTGAGTATATTTTATGTTTCAGTTTGCTTTAAAACAACGGCAGTGCACATAATTGACACTATTTCATCCCATGATAGAAAGTGCTGAATTGAATTAAACATACCAGTTCCATTTCCCTTTACATTTAATCTGTGGCAAAACTAAGGCAGAAATAATATGAACTATATTTCTTCTCCAAGTTGCCGTGGTAGGTGAAAATAACTAACCATCTAATAATTACTAATAAAGGCTGAAATGAAATCTTTACTGTTAGTGTAACTCTTATCTATATAAAAATAGATATTTAGTGGTATAAGCTAATTTTACTTAGTAATTTTCCCCAAGTGGCATGTAACAAATAATAAACACATAATTGCTATTCCATGTACTCCATATCAAGCATAAATCTTCAAGCACAAATTTTAATATATTTTTACTCAGACTATCAGGTTTAGCCTAAGTATTTATAGTAGGGAAATGATATTATGCAATGTTTCTATAGAATAGGGATTGATGAACTTTTGTAAAGGGCCAGATAGTAGATATTTTCAACTTTTTGTGGGCCATACTATCTCACAACTACATAACTCAGCTGTTACAATATGAATACAGCCATAGACGATATGTAAACAAATGAGTATAGCTGTGTTCCATAAAATTTTATTTACAAAAACTGGTGATGGGCCAGGTTTGACCTGTGGGCTGTGGTTTAATAGGCTGACCCCTATTATTGAGGATAATGACCAAGTGCTAGCTAATGTTCACAGCTGAGAAAAATCAATAGGTCAGTTCATGAATTAAGGTCCCGCATATACTTTTGTTATCGTAGGTATTTTTTTGTTTTTCTTGCAATAGTTTGTCTTAATTTAATCTGTTGATTCCCATGTGGGAATTTCCTCCCCAATCTTGTATTTTAAAATAGGGACCTATGCTCATCCACATTTCCGCAAGTCTAAATTAAGTCATCATATAATTACCGTGATTAAAATTACCTATCTTCTCTTCTGCAGTGGTTCAGGCAACAATTGTAACATGTTTATCTTACACAAACTTGGATTAAGTCAGGCCAGACTTTGCAAGCTCTTGGCTTCATACCATTTGATATGATTTTTCTCTGCATCCCCACCCAAATTTCATCTCGAGTTGTGATCCTTGGTGTTGGAGGAGGGGCCTTGTGGGAGGTGATTGGATCATGGGAGTGGATTCCCCCGATGCTGTTCTTGTGATAGTGAGTTCTCAAGAGCTGATAGTATAAAAGTATGTGGCACTTACCCTTTTGATCTCTCCTACCACCATGTGAAGGTGTTTGCTTCCTCTTCTGCTATGATTGTAAGTTTCCTGAGGCTCCCAGTCATGCTTCCTGTGAAGCCTGAGGAATTGTGAGTCAATGAAATCTCTTTTCTTTATAAATTACCCAGTCTTAGGTAGTTCTTTATAGCAGTGTGAAAATGGACTAATACACCACTGCACTCTGTTGCCCAGGCTGGAGTGCAGTGGTGCCATCATCACTCACTGCAGCCTTGAACTCCTGGGCTGAGGTGATTCTCCCACATCAGCCTCCCAAGTAGCTGCAGCTATGGGTATGCACCATGATGCCTGGCTAATTTTTAAATTTTTTGTAGAGATGGGGGGGTCTATCTATGTTGCCCAGACTGGTCTTGAACTCCTAGCCTCAAGTGACCTTGGCCTCCCAAAGTGTGAGGATTATGGGTATGAGCTATGGTGCCAGCCCCCATTGTATTTTAGATATCATTTTGGTTTTGGGAGGCAAGAGGGTCAAGTACAGTGATACGGTTTGGCTGTGTCTCCACCCAAATGTCACCTTGAATTGTAATAATCCCCACATGTCAAGGGTGGGGCCAGGTGAAGATCAATGAATCATGGGTGTGGTTTCTCTCATACTGTTCTCATGTTAGTGAATAAGTCTCATGAGATCTGATGGTTTTATAAATGGGAGTTCCCCTGCACAAGCTCTCTTGCCTGCCACCATCTAAGATGCACCTTTGCTTCTCCCTTATCTTCTGCCGTGATTGTGAGGCCTCCTCAGCCATGCTGAACTGTGAATTCATTAAACCTCTTTTCTTCATAAATTACCCAGTCCCAGATATGTCTTTATTAGCAGCATGAGAACAAACTAATACAGTAATTGGTACTGGTAGAGTGGGGTGCTGCTGTAAAGATACCTGAAAATGTGGAAGTGACTTTGATACTGGGTAACAGGCAGAGGTTGGAACAGTTTGGAGGGCTCAGAAGAGGATAGGAAGATGTGGGAAAGTTTTAAACTTCCTAGAGACTTTTGAATGGCTTTGGCCAAAATGCTGATAGTGATATGGACAATGAAGTCCAGGTTGAGGTGGTCTCAGATGGAGATGACAAACTGTTGGGAAATGGAACAAAGGTGACTGTTGCCATGTTTTAACAAAGAGACTGATGGCATTTTGCCCCTGCCCTAGAGATCTGCGGAAATTTGAATTTGAGAGAGATGATTTAGGGTATCTGGCAAATGAAATTTCTAAGCAGCAAAGTGTTCAAGAGGTGACTTGGGTGCTGTTAAAAGCATTCAGCTTTATGTATTCACAAAGATATGGTTTGGAATTGGAACTTATGTTTAAAAGGGAAGAAGAGCAGAAAATGTGCAGCCTAATGATGTGGTAGAAAAGAAAAACCCATTTTCTGAGGAGAAATTCAAGCTGGCTCTAGAAATATACGTAAGTAATGAGGAGCCAAATGTTAACTGCCAAGACAATGGGGAAAATGTCTACAGGGGATGTCAGAGGTCTTCATGGCATCCCCTCCCATCACAGGTCCAGAGGCTAAGGAGGAAAAAATGGTTTCCTGGGCTGGGCCCAGTGCCTTGCTGCTTTGTGCAATCTTGGGACTTGGTGCCCTATGTCCCAGCCAGGGCTAAAAGGGGCCACCGTAAAGGTCAGGCTGCTGCTTTAGAGGGTACAAGCCCCAAGCTTTGGTGGCTCACACGTGGGGTTGGGCCTGTGGGTGCACAGAAGTCAAGAATTGAGGTTTGGGAAATACTGCCTGGATTTCAGAGGATGTATGGAAATACCTGAATGTCCAGGCAGAGGTGTGCTGCAGGGGCAAAGCCCTCATTTAGAACCTCTGCTAGGGCAGTGCAGAAAGGAAATATGGGGTGTGAGCTCCCACACAGAGTCCCCACTGGGGCACTGCCTAGTGGAGCTGTAAGAAGAGGGCCATCATCCTCCAGATCCCAGAATGGTAGATACATTGACAGTTTGCACTGTGTGCCTGAAAAAGCCACAGACACTCAATGCCAGCCTGCGAAAACAGCCAGGAGCGGGGCTGTACCCCTCAAAGCCACAGGGTAGAAGCTGCTCAAGACCATGAGAACCCACCTTTTTCATTGGTGTGACCTGGATCTGAGACATGGAGTTCAAAGGAGATCATTTTGGAGCTTTAAGATTTAACTGCCCTGCTGGATTTTGGACTTGTATGGGGCCTATAGCCCCTTAATTTTGGCAAATTTCTCCCATTTGGAATGGGTGCATTTATCCAACGCCTGTACCCCAATTGTATCTAGGAAGTAACTTACTTGCTTTTGATTTTACAGGCTCCTAGGCGGAAGGGACTTGCCTTATCTCAGATGAGACTGTGGACTTTTGAGTTAATGCTGAAATGAGTTAAGACTTTGGGGAACTGCTGGGAAGGCATGATTGGTTTTGAAATGTGAGGACATGAGATTTTGGAGGGGCCAGGGGTGGAATGATGTGGTTTGGCTCTGTGTCCCCCCCAAAATCTTACCTTGAATTGTCAAGAGAAGGGCCAGGTGGAGATAATTGAATCATGGGGGTGGTTTCCCTCATACTGTTCTCATGGTAGTGAATACGTTTCATGAGATCTGATGGTTTTATAAATGGGAGTTCCCTTGCACAAGCTCTCTTGCCTGCTACCATGTAAGATGTGCCTTTGCTTCTCCTTTGTCTTCTGCCATGATTGTGAGGCCTCCCCAGACATGCTGAACTGTGGGTCCAATAAACCTCTTTCCTTTATAAATTACCATGTCTTGGGTATGTCTTTATTAGCAGCATGAGAACAGACTAATACACACAGTGAGAAAGTCAAGAAGCATTTCTTTAATGGACTTTGAAAACTAGATACTATGATTTTGCCAATAAGCAGGAAAGACATTTTTCTTTCTTTTTGATTTTGTGCATGATGGTTGTTTTCCATATACAAAATGTAGTATATGCCTGTCTCACATTCATGTCATATTCGCATAGTGACTTTGCCACCCATAGCTTTCTATAGGTGCAGTATTTGTATTCAAGAACAGTTACTGACTTCCACATCAATTGCTTTGTAGCGGAATAGCTGCCTCCTGGTCTATAGTGGCTGACATGAATTCACTTTTTAAGGGGGCTATTGCCTCAATAAAAAGTTAGAATCTGGAGATGTTGATTTGCAGAGGAGTGTACACACCTGGCCTGCCAAACAACTTTCATCATATGAATAGGCTGAGGTGGCTTACACAAAAACAAAAAAAAAGGACCTCTTTTTCTTAAAGCACTAATATTTTGTTGTGTAGGCAACATTGCCTTACATGTTTAAAACATATTGTTTTTGGGAGGAATTAATAATATGTATTATTGGGTTGTTGGGAGGAATTAATAATATGTATACATAATTTTATTGAGGGTTTATTATGTACCTGGAATTTTGCACATGTTTTCTCTAATCTTTACAATAATCATATGCAGTAGGAATTACTGGCACTTTACTTGCACAGAAAGGAAGCCTTAACTGACTTGTGGAAGATGGCAAAGGTGGTAAAGAGGAGTTGGGATTCCTGCTTAGGCCTCTTTGGAAGCAAAGCTCTTGTCTGTCTTTCTCTTATGATACTTTCTGTTTTTTTAGGAGACAGGGTCTTGCTCTGTTGTCCAGGCTGGAGTGTAGTGGCACAATCATAGCTCACAGTATCCTTGAATTCCTGGGCTCAAGCAATCCTCCTGTTTCAGCCTCTTGTGTAGCTAGGACCACAGGTGTGTGCCACTCACCTGATGGGGTCTTGCTACGTTGCCCAGGCTGGTCTCAAACTCCTAGCCTCAAGTGATCCTCCTGCTTCTGACTCCCAAAATGCTGGGATTACAGGTGTGAGCCATCATACCCAGACAGATATGTTTTGATATAGCTCCAGGCCAGTGGTTCTCAAAGCCTGGGCCCCACCCTGGAGTAATTTATTTACAATATCTAGGGCAGGATCTGGGTGTGTAGATATATTTATAGATTTTATTTTTTAGAGCAGTTTTAAGTTCTCAGCAAGATTGAGCAGCAAGTACAGAGAGTACTTATATACCCTCTTCCCCACACAGGCATTAGCCTCCTCTGCATTTATAGAAAGCTATGAGTGGCAAAGGCACTATGATGATGGCAATATGACATGAATGTGGGCCAGGCATATATTATATTTTTCATCCCCCAGCAAAGTGGTACATTTGTTAGAATTGATGAACCTCCATCGACACATCATTATCACTCAGAATCCATAGTTTACATTAGGGTCCACTCTTGGTGTTTTATATTCTATGGGCTTGGGAAAATATATAATGACATGTATGCACCATTATAGTATCATACAAACTCTTTCCACTGCCCTAAAAATGCCCTGTGCCTGCTTATTTATCTTTCCTTCCCCACTAACCCCTGGCAACTGCTAATCCGTTTTGCTGTCTCCATAGTTTTTCCTTTTCCTGAATATTACAGAGTTGGAATCACAGCACATGTACCTTTACAGGTTGGCTTCTTTCACTTAGCAGTATGCATTTAAGGTTTCTCTCAGGATGTGGAGAGTTTTAAAAAGCACCCCAGGGAATGTTAACATGCAGCCAGTTTTGTGAACCACTGGTCTCAGGGGTGAAATCTAGAAACAGCCAGCATTTAGGTAAAGACTGGGCTTCTCCTTGCCGCTAAGAGGGCAAAGTTGATCTTCATCGCCCTTGCTGTGTTTCCCCATGTTGCTGAGCTGCCCAGTGGCCTTCAGCAGGAAGTCATACCCTCGCTAGGAACACAGCTCGTCATGGCCTCTTGTACCTGGAATGGGTGTCAGATTCTGGCCCCATTCTTGTAAATAAATCTCTGGGTTATCCCTGCTAAGGATCTTTGGGTGGCATTTTATTATCTGATTCTTACCTTTCTCTTGCAAAGAAGCCTGGAGCAAGTCCTTAGCAGAGGTTGAACCAAGGTGTTTCCGACTTTGGGAAAAGGAGTGGTTAATTTAGAATGACAGGATCTGGGAATGAGATGAAATCTGAGTTGAATTCTGAAATAAGGCTATAACATCTATAGCATGACAGTGGGGTAGGGCTGTTTGGGATGAGGCTTTCTGGAAAGGAGGGAACAGTTTGAGACAAGATCTGAAGCAGGGAAGACAGGGTGACTTAACAAAAATGTGAGTGCCTATCAGAGCCAGGGGTTTTGAGTAGCCCACAGGAATGGGGTAGTGATGTGTTGTACATGCACTTGCGGGAGATAACTCTGCAAAGGCTGATGAGTCCTCTCTGAGGCATGTTTTAGTGTCTTCTTCACCTGTAGATCCCTGGAGACTCACCACCTCTCATAACCTTTGGAAAGGGTAGCTTCTGACTCTTCTTCCTTGACATGGCAGATTGGACCAAGGCTGAATGCTAGAACTAGTTTTCAGTTTAGTTTTAGCATTCAGCCTTGGTTCAATTTCTGTATTTGTTGGTTCAGATGCCCAGGGGAGATCATCTAGCTGGCAAGAGAACCAATCAGATGGTCTCATGTGAGCATTTGAACCAACAAATATAGAAATTTCATAGTAGAGGGCCCTGATTGTGAACCATCATGCATTTAATAAGTGCTGATTATCTGCCTCATGCTGTTCTAGGGCCTATTGATACAGGGATGTACAAGGCAAAGTCCTTCTTTCACAGACATTAGGTTTAAATGGGAAAATGCACAAGTAAATAAATAAGAAAATGTCAGGTCATAACAAAGGCAATGGATGAAACAGGGTCCTTTGACCGAGTGTAATCAGGAGAAACAGATGTCATCAAATGGTGGGCTTGGGGGGAGATCAGAGAAGACCCTTGAAAGAATGTGACAGGGATTAATAGATATGGAGTCCAAGGCAAAAATTAGGAAAAGAGTTGACTAGAGCATGTGTGTCTCATGACAGAACTAGAGTTGGGGGGAGCTTTGTGGTCCCTCGAGATTTAGGGAGCCACAGGTGATTCCTGGTTAATTTTTGGTTCCTTTGAGCCATTTCCTCCCTTGCATTCTTTTAATAACATCTCTACACACACACACATACACACATACACA
The DNA here is from genome assembly GCF_000001405.40 of Homo sapiens. Lineage (NCBI taxonomy): Eukaryota > Metazoa > Chordata > Mammalia > Primates > Hominidae > Homo > Homo sapiens. The sequence continues at coordinate 57,132,018 of NC_000004.12, forward strand.
CACACACACGCACCTACACACACCCTCTCCTGAGCTCGCTTAAGTGGATCTTGCATCTTGCATGCCAAAGTGCTTAAAAACAGGGATAAATTGAGGAAGATTCTGAATGGTAGTCTGTGGTTTTGGACTTTGTTCTGTCTCAGAAAGGGCTTTTGAGCGCTATAGAGTGTCTTTATGCAGTGGTGTCAGGGAGAACACATTCCTTTTTCGAGGATGGAAAGCTACTGATTGTACTGAAGCTCGCATTCCTCTGCCAACTGCTGGAACAGGAAAAACAACCATCATCCTGACTGCCAGCAGTCTGGCCAGACACCACCTGTTCTCAGTGCCTGTGTGGGGTGTTTAGCTTAGCTAGGCAGCTCCAACAGCACCTGGAATGCAAAAACATCCTGAATTTCTCCAAACACCACAGCAGGACTGTTTAAACAGCAAGACATTCAGGAAATAGTCATTATCTCCACACCTCCTGCATTCAATAGGGTGGATTGTTGGATGAGCTTCAGAGGGCAGCTCCAGTGAGTGCCAAGTCCTCCCGGACCAGATCTCCCATCCACATGCATGTGCCACCTGTGGGCCAATGGGTCTGGGCTTCTCAGGTTATTGGAGAGGAAGTTGGGCTTGATTCTGTCTCCCTGTGTGGAGTCCTTTCTGTATACCAAATGAACTGTCAGCATCAGCACAAAAAATGGGTGCAGACTTGTGCAGGGAAGAGGAAGACTGCTGCTGTTGCACATATTTTCTATAGGGAGCATTTTGGACTATTATTAGGGGGAAAAGGTGGAGGTGGGTGGGCGAGTCTCATCTGTCTCATTTGCCTTGGGATAGAGAAAGGATGTACTGGTAGTCATCAGCCAGTGTCTTCCTTCCCTTCATTTGCCCCATTTTTTTCCCCATATTTGGCAGGAGTCCAAAGCAAACCATTGATGATCAAGCACTGGATGACAGCAGTTTGGTCTGGTTAATATTCTCATCAAGGAATGAGGTTGGTAATTAACAACTATATGAGACTTCCAAAATACTTTCATTTTACAACTGCCTATTGTAACCCTCTAGTGTACCCTGATGTGCATACCTGTTCTTTTGCGGTTTTAAAACTTTACTGAAAAGCCAAACACTTTATTCAAGTGAATTTTACAGATCTGGATTAGGAAGCAGATCAACTGAGCTTCTTCCTAGGAAGAAGCTAAAAGATGCTGGAATAAATCAGAAATATGGCACTTTTAAAACTCAGGTTTCCACCTACTATTATTTTAAAAAGCATCAAAATGTATATCATTTTTGGTCCTAATGAAGTAGAGCCCCTTATGTGAAAATAAAAACAAAAGCAAAACACTCTTCGATGGTGGGGGCCAATTTGGTCTGAATGTTTTGATGACTCCAGCATGCCTGCAGTTCATTTGGCCCCAACCAGTCCCAGCAAGGTAGCTGACAGAGGCCTGAAGTTGGCAGTTGCAGTCAGCTGAAATTCTGAAACCCAGCAACACATCACTTAGTCCCACTTACTGAGAAAAAATGATTTACTCTATCATATGCACTGTAATCCCTTAATGCCTCCCAAAATGTATCTGGTTTGGAAAATCTCACACAACCTGGATAATAACACATATTTCAGAAAAGAGAATGTTTTGTTAACAAGAAAGGCAAAACAAAACACAGTAAAATCACCCTGAAAAAGCCATGTAAGCTGCTTCTATTCCTAGTGACTCTGAGGGACTTGGTATAACGGAACAGTGCTTTGTAGCTAGGAAAAATGGAAAATCAGTGAAATGGAAGACAATTGCAAATAAGTCAAAATATTATGTTAATGATAAGTGTATGTAATTGTCTCTTGTTCTGAACATAAAGGAGAAGGTATATATTTTTTTTCAAGTGAAGTTAGTTGGTTTCTCCCTACTCTCACTAAAAATGTGTTGAGTCAATATTTGAAGAATTGGCACAAACCATTAGCCAGCCCAGAGAACCCATGTGCCTCAGTGAGTCTGATAAGGTGGTATCCCAATATACGTCAAATAAGAGTAAGGCCTCTCTGACTGAAGAGGAAGGCTGGAGACCCACAGCTTCGCCCCTTGCTAGCTGCTTTTGAGTATCTTCTGTGAAGCAACTTGCAAACCATGGCTCTACTGGATCATTGTTTGATGACTCCTAATCTTTATTTCTTTTTCTGTCTTCACCAGTCTACTCTCACTCCATTTTTGTCTTTTCTACCACCCCTAAGCTGGTGTTTTCCAAAGCTAGTGCTCACAGCAGTGCTGGTCCCTGATGAAGTTCACACTACTATCTGAAGAGTGGTGGAAGAAAGGCACAATTTAGTGAGTTTTTGCAAAGCCAAATTGTTCTATTTAAGACTTTTTTTTCATTATGAGATAATATCTGCTTATTTTTTGGTTGTTAAAATGTTCTTTTTTAATGAAATGATGAGAATAGCAGATTTTTAAAAATTCTTTTTTTTGGGCAAAATAGAAAATTACTAGCCCTATATTAGTCCCCAGGTTTTTTTTTTTTAATTAAAATCACACTTTTTGGGTAAAATTCCAAAATCTAGGCATCATTATTTTAAGGTACATTTAAAAAATTTAATGGATACATAATATTTTACATATTTATGGGGTGATATTTTGTTACATGCATAGAAAGTGTAATGATAAGTCTGGGTATTTGGTGTATCCATCACCTTGAATATTTATCATTTCTTTTTTTTTTTTTTTTTTTTTTTGAGATGGAGGCTGGAGTGCAGTGGCATGATCTCAGCTCACTGCAACCTCCACCTCCTGGGTTCAAGTGATTCTTGTGCCTCAGCCTCCCAAGTAGCTGGGATTACAGGCGTGTGCCACCATACTCAGCTAATTTTTGTATTTTTAGTAGAGATGGGATTTTACCTGTTTGCCAGGCTGGTCTTGAACTCCTGGCTTCAAGTGATCTGACCGACTTGGACTCCCAAAGTGCTGGGACTATAGGCGTGAGCCACTGTGCCTGACCAGTATTTATCATTTCTGTGTGTTGGTAATATTTCAAGTTATCTCTTCCAGCTATTTTGAAATATACACCTTGTTGCTAACTATAGTCACTCCACTTTGCTATCAAATATTATAACTTTTAACTTCTATAGAACTGTAAGTTTGTACCCATTAACTAAACTCTCTTTATCCCTCCTCACCCCCACATAACCTTCTCAGTCTCTGGTACCTATTATTCTACTCTCTACTTCCATGAGATCAACTTTTTTTAGCTCCCAGGTATGAGTGAGAACGTGTGATATTTGTCTTTCTGTGCCTGGCTTATTCCATTTAACATAATGACCTCCAGTTCCATCCAAGTTGCTGCAAATGACATGATTTCATTCTTTTTATGGCTGAATGGAACTCCATCGCGAATATACCACGTTTTCTTTTCTTTCTTTTTTTTTTTTTTTTTTTTTGAGACGGAGTCTCGCTCTGTCGCCCAGGCCGGACTGCGGACTGCAGTGGCGCAATCTCGGCTCACTGCAAGCTCCGCTTCCCGGGTTCACGCCATTCTCCTGCCTCAGCCTCCCGAGTAGCTGGGACTACAGGCGCCCGCCACCGTGCCCGGCTAATTTTTTGTATTTTTAGTAGAGACGGGGTTTCACCTTGTTAGCCAGGATGGTCTCGATCTCCTGACCTCATGATCCACCCGCCTCGGCCTCCCAAAGTGCTGGGATTACAGGCGTGAGCCACCGCGCCCGGCCATATACCACGTTTTCTTTCTTTAGTTTAAAAATGAAAGCAAATTTGTTAAGAAAGTAAAGAAATAAAAGAATGGCTACCCCATACGCAGAGCAGTAGCATGGGCTGCTAGACTGAGTATACTTGTAGTTATTTCTTGATTGCATGCTAAACAAGGGGTGGATTATTCACCAGTTTTTAAGGAAAGGGGTGGAGATTTCCTGGAATGAGGGTTCCTCCATTTTTTTAAAGACTATATAGGGTAACTTCTGGACGTTGCTATTGCATTTGTAAACTGTCATGGCGCTGGTGGGAGTGCCTTTTAGCATTGCTAACGCATTCATAATAAGCATATAATGGCTGGGTGTGGTGGCTCATACCTGTAATTCCAGCACGTTGGGAGGCCCAGGCAGGTAGATTGCTTGAGGCCAGGAGTTCGATACCAGCCTGGCCAACATGGAGAAACCCTGTCTCTATTAAAAATACAAAAAATTAGCCAAACATGTGGTGTGCACCTGGATTCCCAACTACTTGGCTGAGGCACGAGAATTGCTTGAACCCAGGAGGTGGAGGCTGCAGTGAGCTGAGATCATGCCACTGCACTCCAGCCTGGGCAACACAGTGAGACTCTGTCTCAAAAGAAAAAATAGCATATAATGAGCAGTGAGAATGGCTAGAGGTCACTTTCATTGCCATCTTGGTTTTGGTGGGTTTTAGCCAGCTTCTTTACCACATCCTATTTTATCAGCAGGGTTTTTGTAAGCTGTATCCTGTGATACCAGTCCTGTCCACCTCTTATTTCATCTGTGACTAAGAATGCCTAACCTCCTAGGAATGCAGCAGCTCTTAGCCTTTTTTATCCAGCCCCTATTCAAGATGGAGTCACTGCCTCTGACATATTTCCCCCCTTCCTTTTACAAGGGAACCCTCAATCCTAAGGGTTGTAGAGGGATGAAAACTCATCTTCTGTAACTTCTTCAGGCTAAATAGGGGCAATGATAATCCTGCCTAACTATTAGGGTATTTGTATCTAGGACAGAGAAGAACTCAATCAGAAAGTGTCAATATGCTGAGGGTCATTCATAACTCTGAGTTCCAACAAAAGGTGATATCTGGAAGATTAATAAGTGTTCAATTTAAGAAAATGTTGAGTAAGCTTATCCTACATTCCTACAAAGGGTACAACAGCAATATATGCCACAACAGCAAAGCAAAATAAGTAAAATTATCCCAAGTAAACTAAATAGCTTTCCATGAACTGGGCAATTGTGGGAACCAAGCTGATATGGAGTTGCTAGCTGGTTCCAGTGTGTGCCAGAATTAGAATACTGATCTAGATTTTTACATTACCCATCCCTTTTGTTTCTTCTGAGCTGCAGCCAGAGATCACTGGTTGATTCACAGGAATAATCAGGGTTAGTCTAAATTGCAGGAAAAAACTTAAAAACAACTGATGAGATTAGAATCTAATAACAAGTGTACCATGGTTTTTGAAACATACTTTTTCTCTTCCCAGTTCTCATTTTGATTAAAAACAAATCATGATAGCACTGAATTGTTTGCAAAATAAGCTTTAGTCTTAGACTTGGCCTGATTATTTATATAAAGTGTAGGAAGAATAACTATTTTTCACATAGACTTTTTAAGTTGGCCCTGATGGAACTCTGTTCCATAAGGAATCTCAGATAAGCCTTTTTTTTTTTTTAAAGCCTTGAGCCCAGCCATGGCTTTGTGCCATTAAATACCTATATGAGTTGGGTACATTCCTCTCTCTTGAGGTCTCCAGACAACTTGGGGCTCCTAAGTCTGTCAGGAAGTGACATTCTTTACTTACCACAGGTCAGGAACTCTGTACAGGGACTGTGTAGACAAAGAATGAGACCAGTTTTCTCAAGGGGCTTTTATTGGCTCTATAAGTCAACTTTGATTCTTTAAACAAGTCTGTCTGTACCTGAAAGCATACCATTCCAGTAAAAGCCTTAATAAAATAATCAGCATTTCCAATTGTGTCCTGTTACAAAAGAAAACAGATCATTATTACACCTATGCAAATAACGATATTGCTATAAATTAAGAATACTTACAAATAGGCCAGGCATGGTGGCTCATACCTATAATCCCAGCATTTTGGGAGGCTGAGGTGGGCAGATCACTTGAGATCAGGAGTTCGAGACCAGGCTGGCTAACATGGCTAAAAATACAAAAATTAGCCTGGTGTGGTGGCGGGCACCTGTAATTCCAGCTACTTGGGAGGCTGAGGCAAGAGAATGGCTTGAACCTGGGAGGTGGAGATTGCAGTGAGCCAAGATCATGCCACTGCACTCCAGCCTGGGTGGCAGAGCAAGACTCTGTCTCAAGAAACTAAAAAAAAAAAAAAAAAAAGGAATACTTTACAAATAGTTTCCAGATTCTGGAGAAATCAGGTAGAGAGAAACAAATACGCTTCCAATTTTGTTTATAGAAGTATACTTTACTCAATTGTTAAAAGCTGTAAATAGCTCAAAAGAAAACTTTTCTTCTCTCTGAAAACAAAACAAAGAATCAGTAACATTTTAAGCAAAAAATTATAAAGGGATTATTTCAGTCTTCTATTAGTTAAGTTCATGCAGTTAACCTCCGTTCTGCTTGATATTCATGAACATTTCAGCTTTCCATGAGAGTCCTGAAAGATTTTTCTCTATTCTAATGTCACAATCTCCAAAGTTATCAGAAACCTGCATTCAAGAGCACCTGTCAGAGTCCCATAGCTGATTATAAAACTGCCTTTTAAAGAGGATCAAAACAAGATAACAATTGTCTGTGGATGACAAAGTCTTAGGGCAGCCACTATTAAAGCCACAATTGACTAGAAATTTTGGTTACTTCTTTGGCATACAACAACTTTACATAACAATTATAATTGTAAATAATGTACACTAAGTCAGAATTATAGGAGTTTCCCATAATTTTGGAATATATACCAATAGCATATTTAATGAATACAGACCAAAGAAAGCCAAACACCATTTTATATTTGACAATGCTTCTTTTATGATTTTATACCAAATAAACCAAAAATAGTAAGTCATTTTTGGACTTTAGGGGACTTAATATCTAAAAGATTATTTATTTGGTCAGAAAAAGACATAATTTACAATATGATTTTGGAAAGTTTGTCAAATATCAAAGGTTTAGAAGACTTGGTACTATAAAATAGAATTTCAGGTCACTGTAAGTCATTCATTTAGCCAAAATGATAACTCAACAATTTTAAAAAGGCAATAACCTTTACTCATTATTAGAGAAAAGACTTAGCTTTCCAAACAATCTCTTTTCTTTCCTTTCTTTTTCCTATAGTTTATTTAAAAGGCAAATAAAATCTTTTATTATTTTTAATATTACATGAAAATTTTGTTCAAGAGAAAAAGGGGGATGTTTCCATACCTTCCAGGTGGCCAAGAGCACGTGTCTCTGATCTAAAAGTGCAAAGAGCTGAGTATTCCCCCATAACTGCTATTAATATCAGCCATCTTCAAAAGTATATTTCCTACCTACTTATTACACACCAAAACTCTCTCATAATATGAAGTAATTCCTGATACTCTCCAAAGCTGAAGACGTCAGATAATGCAATGCAAAACAGAACAGAGCCTTAGATTTTGAGAGGGATCTATCCACTTTCAATTCCTGGGGTTTCATGAGGAAAATGGTGTTTTCCTCCCCGGCAGAGTCTGTGGTGCCTCTTCTGTTTTTCCCAAGGAGTTTCAGGCTGTTAGAAATTATCTTTGGATAATTTCTCTCATGTGTGCATCAACAGTGGCAAGAAGACAAAATGGAGAAAAACAATTAAGTCAGCTGAGAAGAGAAAAACTTTTTCTTCAGAAAAATAAGATCCAGTAAGAGAAAAAAACATAAAGGCCTTTAAAATATATGTATAGCATGTATATTGCTTTTAATTTAGCTGACTTTTAACCAAATATCTTATTACCAAAGTCTATCCAGAATAAACAGCAAGTATTTCTGGCTTTTGAACTTTACCAAAGGTAACCTCCCAGGTGCTCAGAGAAAGGAAAACCCAAGACAGGAAGTCAGAAGTTGTATATGGAGGGGAAGAGGATCAGTAAATGGCAAAGGTCACACAAATATCAACCAGAAAGTTCTCATTCCTAGGCTGAAAATGGAACCTGGGCTGCCATTGTGAAAAGACAAAGCCTTAGCTCCTAAGCTACAACATTGGGCAGTTTCCTCTGCCCTGCCCAGAAGGACTCTAGAGGCAGCCAATTTTGAGCCTGCAAAGGCTTTTAACTGCTCAAGAGAATTTTTAGAGCTATGACATGAATTCCAAAATTCCTGTCTCTGAATTTTGGCAGAGACCAAGAGCAAGTACTGCCATGTGGTTATGAGGACAAGCTCCTAAGGACATAAGACAAGATGAGAGGGAAATATCATCTAATTTTTTGTTTGTTTGTTTCAGGGAAGCAAAATTTGGTAACTGACCAGTTTGCTGGGATGGCTTGGACAGTGGACTTATGGGATCCTAGGCCTGTGTTCTATCCTAAGGTACCCCTCCTTATGACAGAATGATACAGAAAGACAAATTCATAGCATAAAGTCCACCGGATTTGTTACAGTCTAACACTAGACTCACAGATTATTTTTTCCCATTGTTCAAAACGTTGCAGAGGAGGTGAACAGTGATTTCTTTACCATTCACCCAACCAGTTTGCACAGAGAGCGAGGCCAGAAACCTGACTGGTAAGAAATTCTTACCCTTTTGCTGGCATGCTAGATTTCTGGGTTCCCTTTTCCTCAGCACCTGTAGTGACCCTTTTTGCCACATTATAGTCCTGGGTGCCAAGCCGCAACACAAAGGAAAATCATCTTTTTCTGTTTCATAGAACCATAGGCAAAAGCCTATCAAGTTTGCAAGATGCCACCCAAGGGGTTGCATGGGTTAACCAAATTCACATTTCCCATTCTGGCCAGAGCAAAATACATGTGACAAAACACAGACATTAGCCACCCTGTTTAGCACCCAATATTGAACTGGTGAGGCTCAAACTTGCCCCGAGTTGGGCCCTGTTATCTTTAATCCATTCAAAGTGGGGTGGAATGACCTCTAACCAGGAGTTTCAAAATGTGGCCTCTGGGTAAGATGGAAGAGCAGATGGCCTCCTTGAGTAACAGAAAAGTTAGGAAAAGGAAAGGAGAGAAAGAGAGAGAGAAAAGCATTGCTTGCAGTGTGGTGAGGAAGGTGAGCAGCTCAGGGAGGCCAGAGAAAGACCCACTGTTACCCATTGCAGAGACGGTGAATCAAAAGTTCAGGCAGCTGCTTGTCAGTCACAAAGGTATCTTTTCCAGCAGCCCCATAAGCTCTCAAGTTTCTTCCTTTGTGGAGAGAAAAGCTCCCCATGTCCTGTGATCCTGTACTTGCCTAATTATGTCACCCATAGCCATCAGCAAAGAGAGTAAGGCAGATTAATTCAAAGAGAATAGTGGTTAACATCCCATAATGTCAAATCCATTTTTAACCAAGAGACTTTACTGAGGGGGACCTTTAACCCCCTAAATCTTAGGAAGGACTCTAACCTTCCTAAGTTGGGCCTTGAAACCAAGTTTGGTCAAGTGTCCTTGCCTTTTATTAAGAGGGGCCTTTAGCCCTCTCTGTCTTAGGAGGGATTCTAACCCTCCTAAATTGGGTCTCTAACCCAATCCCATCATTTACCCTGGTGAAATGTACCCGCCCTCTTACCCAAAGTCAGCCAATTGATACTGCAGTCCATTTCCTTTGAGTTGGGGGTCTTCTCACTATAGTCTCTTCATGGTTTTCCAGGAAGATGTTATGGGAAAGGGGTCCCAATCCAGACTGCAAGAGAGGGTTCTTGGACATCATGCAAGAAAGAATTCTGGGTGAGTTCATAGAGTAAAATGAAAGCAAGTTTATTAAGAAAGTAAAGGAATAAAAGAATGGCTACCCCATAGGCAGAGCAGCCTATACCACATTTTCTTTATCCATTCGTCCTCTTAGGTAGATTCCATATCTTCGCTATTGAGAACAGTGCTGAAATAAACATACGGGCACAGGTATACACTTGATATGCTGGTTTCTTTTCCTTTGGATAAATTCCCAAGAGTGGGATTGCTAGATCATGTGGTAGTTCTATTTTCAGTTTTTTGAGAAATCTTCATATTATTTTCCATAGTGGTGGGACTAATTTACATTCCCACCAATGATCTACAAATGTTCCCTTTTCTCTGCAGCCTCACCAGCATCTGTTATTCTATGTCTTTTCAGTAAGAGCCATTCTGACTGATGTGAGATGGCATCTCATTGTGGTTTTAATTTGCATTTCTCTGATTATTAGTGATGTTGAGCATTTTTTAATATATCTATTGGCCATTTGTATGTCTTTTTTTGCACAATGTCTATTCATGTTCTTTGCCCACTTTTTAATGGGATTATTATTATTTTACTGTTGAGTTTTTCGAGCTCCTTGTGTATCCTGGATATTAATCCCCTGTCAGATGAATAGTTTGCAAATATTTTCTCCCATTCAACAGGTTGTCCCTTTACTCTGTTGATTGTTTCTTTTGCTGCGCAGAAACTTTTTAGTTTAATATAGACCCATTTGTCTATTTTGTTTCTGTTGCCTGTGCTTTTGAGGTTTTAGCCATAAAATCTTTGCCTTCACCAAAGTCCTGAAGGGTTTCCTCTACGTTTTCTTCAAGTAGCTTTGTAGTTTTGAGTCTTACATTTAAGTCTTTAATCTCTCTTGAGTTGATTTTAAGTTTTTTTTTTAATTTTAAGTTTTGGTAGAGACAGGGTCTCGCTATGCTGCCCAGGCTAGTCTCAAGCTCCTGGGCTCAAGCAATCCTCCTGCCTCAGCCTCTCAAGGTGCTGGGATTACAGGCGTGAGCCACTGTGCCTGGCCTTGAGATGATCGTTGGATAAGATGAGAGATAGAGGTCTAGTTTCATTTTTCTGCATATGGATATTCAATTTTCCCAGAACCATTTATTGAAGAGACTGTCCTTCTCCTAATGTATGTTCTTGGTGCCTTTGTTAAAAACCAGCTGATTGTAAATACATGGATTTATATCTAGGTTATCTATTTTGTTCCATTGTTCTATGTGTCTGTTTTTATACCAATATCTTGCTGTTTTGGTTTCTATAGCCTTGTGATATATTTTGAAGTCAGGTAGTGTAATGCTTCTAGCTATGTTCCTTTTGTTCAGGATTGCTTTGGTTATTTGGGCTCCATATAAATTTCTTTTGGTTCCACATAAATTTTAGGATTATTTTTTCTGTTTTTGTGAAAAATGACTTTGGTATTTTCACAGAGATTGCATTGAATCTGTAGATTGCTTTGGGGAGCATGTTTATTTTAACAATATTAACTTCTAAAATTCATGAGCACCAGGTATCTTTCTATTTGTATCCTCTTCAATTTATCTCACTGGTGTTTTGTGGTTTTCTTTGTAAAGGTCTTTCACCTCCTTGGTTAAATTTATTCCTTGGTATTCTTTTGGTAGCTATGTAAATGAGATTCTTGATTTCCTTCTCAGCTAGATTGTTATTGGTGTATAGAAAGGCTACTGACTTTTATATATTGATTTTGTATCCTGAAACTTTACTGAATTTATTTATCAGATCTAAGAGTTTTTTGTTGGAATCTCTAGGTTTTTCCAGATATCTGATCATGTCATCTGCAAAGGGGGATAATTTGAGTTCCTCTTTACAAATTTGAATGCCCTTAATTTCTTTCTCTTGCTGGACTGCAATGGCTAGGACTTCCAGTACTGTGGTGAACAGGAGTGGTGAAAGCAGGTGATATGGTTTGGCTGTGTTCCCACCCAAATCTCATCTTGAATTGTAGCTCCCATAATCCCCACATGTTGTGGGAGGGACCTGGTGGGAGGTAATTGAACCATGGAGGTGAGTTTTCCCATGCTGTTCTTGTGACAGTAAGTTTCATGAAATCTGATGGTTTTACAAAAGACAGTTCCCCTGCACAACTCTCTTGCCTGCTGCCATGTAAGACACACCTTTGCTCCTCCTTCACCTCCACCATGGTGGTGAGTCCTCCCCAGCCATGTGGAACTGTGAGTCTATTAAACCTCTTTTTCTTTATAAATTACCAAGTCTGGGTAATTTAATATAGCCCCATATTAGTCTTCGTGAGAACAGACTAATACAGTGGGCATCCTTGTCTTGCTTCAGTTTTTAGAGGAAAGGCTTTCAGCTTTTCTCCATTCAGCATGATGTTAGTGGTGGATTTGTCATTTTTGGCCTTTATTATGTTGAGGTATGTTCCTTCCATGCCTAGTTTGTTGAGAGTTTTTATTATGAAGATATTTTAAATGTTATCAAATGCTTTTTCTGCATTGATTGAGATGATCATATGGTTTTTGTCCTTCTTCGATGCTCTACCCTTTCTCCTGTTCTCTAATGATGCACTACAGAAATGATCCTTGGAAGTACAGTCTTTTAAGGTACATTTTAAAGACCTTCTGTGTTTTATTGAAAAAAGGAAATATGCCTTTTTAATTATAATGTTATACATATTCATTAAAAGGATTTAGAAAATACAGATATGATAGAGTCTGTAACATTAAAAAGTATGAATGTGTAAGTAATCACACCTTTTCCCATTCCCTTCCCTGTCAAAGGAAGACAGGATCTAGTGTTCTGCTGAGAAAATGTGAGGTTGCAGAACTGTAAGGACAGAAAGACTGAAATAATTTTTAGTCAAAAGAGCCCAGAGCAATTGGAAGAACAGAACAGACCCCAAAGCAGAGAGCTGGGGTCAGATGGAGAGAAAGAAGGACAAAATTTTGTATGTATCCGCCTAGCTGTGCGCTGTGAAACTGAGAAGAAATATATATATATATATATGATTTTAAAGATGTTTTCACAAGTGTCATGCCATCTAGTAACTCTTCCCACTCTCTTCAAAAGAATTCCATAAAAATGTACATTGCTTTTTAATGTTTTCTTTTGGGTTTTGGATTCTTTTGAATGCAAAACTGTATTGTGACTCATCATGAAATACCCAGTTTTATTTGGGTTACAAAAAAAGAAAACATTAAAAATTCATAATTCCATCTTTAGACTCTACTAGGGTTTAAAACATGGTAAAGATAGTATGTATGCATATGTTTATTTATTTTTTTGAGATAGGGTCTCACTCTGTTACCCAGGCTGGAGAGCAGTGTCACGATCTCGGCTCACTGCAATCTCCGCCTCCGGACTCAGGTGATTCTCCCACCTCAGCCTCCTGAGTAGCTGGGACTACAGGTGTGTGCCACTGCACCTGGCTAATTTTTGTATTGTTTGTAGAGATGGGGTTTTACCATATTGCCCAGGCTGGTTTCAAACTTGTGGGCTCAAGTGATCCATCTGCCTCCCTTCCAAAAGGCTGGGATTACAGGCATGAGCCACCCTGCAAGGCCAAGAATTTTTTTTTTTTTTTTTTTTTTTTTTTTTTTTTTTTTTTTTTTAGAACATGGCTCACTGCAGCCTCGACCTCCTGGGTTTAAGCAGTCCTCCCATCTCAGCCTCCCAAGTAGCTGGAACTATAGGCATGCACCACCACATGGGCTAATTAGTGTTTTTTTTTTTTTTTTTTTTTTTTTTTGTGGAGATGGGTTTTCGCTTTATTTCCCAGGTTGCTCTTGAATTTGTGAGCTCAAGAGATCCTCCATCCTTGGCCCCCCAATGTGCTGGGGTTACAGGTGAGAGCCACCATACCTGGTCCATTTATTGTCTTTTATTCCTCTGAGGAGAGCACACACACAGAAAATACATCATGGTCTTTTCAAGCACGTAGAGCTTGCTAGCCACTGGCTTCTTCTCTTGATAATGGCTCTAATGTCATAATTAGCTTGGCCTCTTCTAGAATGTTCCTTTCTGATAAAGGCATTTTGGCTGTAGGAACTTGTGACCAATGCTGTAGGTGCAATCTCAGAGGACTTGAGACATCAAAACCTTTTGTTTCCTCTGTGAGAGAGAATTCTCTTCTGTGTAGAGAATTATTGATCAACCATCTTTAGTTTAAATGATTATGTGTAGCTGCTAGTTCTAAATAATACATGGATTCCCTTCTGTAATTCTCTATACATGCTTTCACCAAAATAAATAAATAAATGATGAAAACTATGGAAGACAAAATCCTACATTATTTTGAAACAACAAAGGCTAAAATAGGGGCAAAACCCCCTTCAAGTCCTTTCAAGAGGGTTGAAAGGAAACTTCCTTTCCTTCTGTTTGGACCTCAGGGGAGATTCTTATCGTTTCTGGAATCCCATGCCTGCTTATGTTTCCCAGATGTTCTTTCAGATAATTAATCCCTCCTCCAATTTATTCCTCCTCTTCTCCCTGCACCCAACAGAAATAGGTTGAAAATTCTTGCACCTTTTTGATAAGAGAGAATGGACATAAAAAGCATCTAATGACTAAAAATCCTCATATAAATGTTGTAGAATCATTTCAATTTTTAATAGAAGTGTACCTGTTAAAAAAGGACTAGAGAATCCACCAAATATCAGAGTCCCTTGGTCTTGCATTCCTTAGTTTCTTACTCTTTTTTCTTTGGTGATCACTGTACCTCCTTCCTTACCCTTTCTCTCTTGTCCATTTCTGGAGAGTTGCTCTTGACTTCCAGGAATTTCTTGGCATTTCTGAAAACCTAGTTCCCCTCGTCCCCTTCTTATCCCCATGGTGTCTGATATTACTTTTAATATCATCTTCAGTTATCTCTGTTGCATGTTGGTTCCATTAATATGTGCTGAATAGCTCCTTTTTGCCAGGCATGTCTCTTGGAACTGAAGATTGATGCAAAGATAAATTGAGATCATGGTCCCTGCCCTTGAAGGTAGGAGAAAGGAAAGCCCCACATTAATTCACTATGCAGAATCTGACTGAGATGTCAACAACCCACACTGTTATACAGATATGACGGCAGGTGGGGGAGCTGGGGAGGACACTTTTGTCTGCATGACTCTAAAGATCTGCCTGTTTCCCCTCCACTGTGCTGTCCTCCCTCAGCTATGGCTGGAAGGCTGAGAAACAAATCCACTACAGTTGGGGAAAAGGAACGACCACATTGTGAGCATCCGCTATGTGCCTGTCACTCTGGATATATCGTTTAAAGGATATAAAGTAGCCATTGAATTAGTGTCTGCACTTTCTACATGGAGGGAGGGTTGAGATGTTTTAATTAGGTGACCCAGATGCATATTTAGAGGCTGTGAGTGAGAACACAGAGGACAGGAAGCATTTATAGGGTGGCGGTTTAGGGTTAAAAAGTTCGTATTTCAAGATACAGCAGGAGGCAAAATGGACAAGGCCAAGGAAGAGTGGAAGTGGAAATACTATGTCTCAGAGAGCAAGGGGTATAGTATTTTTCCTGAGATAGGATTGAAGAAGGGGCAATGGATAAAGAGATACATTCAAAGATGGAGAGAAGAGCATTTGGAGAATCTATCCCCAGCAGGTTTTTACCAAAGCCAGTGGGTCCAATGATGAAGGTTACATTAGATCATTTCAAGGGTTTGGTGTCATAAAACACAAGAGACAAACTGTTTCTATTAGTAGTAGAAATGGGAAGGAGCAAAACAGATACACACTAAGTAGGTGGGATGCCAGCAGTTCAGTATTACCTTTATAATAGTTACATAAAACAAGCCAGGAAAGAAAGTTAGTGAATATGGGCTCTGGGTCATTATAGAATTCATTTAGAGAAGAAGAATTTCAGTTAGTAGCCTTCCTGAAAAGAGATGATAAAGAGGCCAGGATTACGCCCAGGGTCTAAGTACCGGCTGAGTATGAGGAAATTGACTCTCCTCCAACTCTGGGGTAGAAGAAACATGATTGGATCAGAGGGAGAGAGATGATTGAGTCATTAGTTAGGCAAAGCAAGAGCTGACGACAATGATAAAGCACTAATGCATCCAAGAGATTTTTTTTCCCCACTCTAGTGGCAATTTTTTACACTTTAAAAAAAGAAAGTGAAGTCGACTGATTTGTCTTGCTGACTTTAGAAAGCATTTAAAAATCTTTTAATGACACTCGATTATGTTAAACGGTACATTTCTCCTCTTTAATTTCTGCTTGCCTCAAGTGTGTCCACCCACTTGTCCTAGTTTCCCTGATTAGGCACCTGGTGGCAACCAATGATGTGAGTTACAGGAATGAAAAGGCATAAAAACCTACTTTAGGTTTTACTGAAGTTCCAGGAGGCTGGGCGTGGAGGCTCCCACCTGTAATCCCAGCACCCTGGGAGGCTGAGGTGGGAGGATCGCTTGAGCTCAGGAGTTTGAGATCAGCCTGGGCAACATAGTGAGACTGTCTCTACAAGAAATAAAAAAATTAGCCGGTGTGATGGTGCACTTGTGTAGTCCCAGCTATTCGAGAAGCTGAGGTGGGGAGGATAACTTGAGCCCAGGAGTTCAAGGCTGCAGTGAGCTATGATTCAGCCACTGTACTCCAGCCTGGGCAAAAGAGTGAGACTCTGTCTCTAGAAAAAAAGGTTCCAAGAATGTCATGGGGAATTTTATCACTTCTATTCTCTGGACATTTCACTGGGACTAATTTCTCTCATAAATTGGATGGGTGTTTTCCTTGAACAGATTCTGGACTAAATTGGGAAGTGGTACCTAAGTGCCTTCTTTGCCTCTTTTCTGTGACTCATTTCCTGCTCTTCATGTCTCTCTCCAATCTGGATGTTTCATATTCTCATAAAGGCTTGTGCTCAGTGCCTGTCAACTTAGAAGACACCTCCGCTAATGTGGAGATAATAGCTAGCCCTCTAAGAGCTTAGCTTCTGGGATTCTTACAAGGGCCATTCAGAGACCTCACTTTGATTGAACTCAAATGAAACAATGTTTTTTTTTTTTTGGAGACAGGGTCTCACTTTGTCACCTAGGCTGGAGCACAGTGGCACAAATATACCTCGCTATGATCTCGAACTCCTGGGCTCTAGCGATCCTCCTGCCTCATCCTCCTGTGTGGCTGGAACTACAGGCATGCATCATCATGTCCAGCTAATTTTTTTCTTTTTATTTTTATAGAGACAGGGTCTTGCTATGTTGACCCTGGTCTCAAACTCCTGGCTTCAAGTGTTCCTCCTGCCTCAGCCTCCCAGGTCCTGGGATTATAGGCACAATCCACTGTGCCTGGCCTGAAACAAATCTTTAATGGTAAAATTTTAGGTATCATAATAGGTTGCTGGAGAAGTGTTCTGGATTAAGGAAACTTTGGGAGTCCTTTGAATTCTACCCTGTGAGAAGCTTCACACACTTAGAATTTCTGAGCTCACCAGACTCTGATGTCCTAGTTGCTAGGAGTTTAGAGTAACATGAAGCTGACACTTGGACACTGTTCTTTTCCTCTGTTAATCATCTATGACTAACCAACCACATTCTGCAGGACTTAAAAGTATTCTAGTAGCCAAATTAGCTAGTAGTCCTTAATGCTTTTAAGCATCAGAAAGTGAAAAATATCAAAGAACTATTGCTGCATTTGAGGAGCTAGAATGAAGTTTGGTTTGGCTTGAGGAGAATTGATGACACCCAGGAGTATGTGCTGGTTTCCATTTGGTTCCCATTCACAGGCAAACGGAAAGTACATACAGCCTGGGGTAGGTCAGGCCAGCAGATATTTAAGTTGTTCAGTAGTGGCTGGGCCTGGGAATATGGGGTGATTTTGAAGAATTAAGTTCTGCAAAAGATTCAAGAGTACAAAGCTGTCTTCATCTTAGTCAAATGCAGGCAATCAATCTGTCCTTTGCATGTAATAAACTGGGACCTTAGAAGTGAAGATTAAATAATCTGGGATGGAAAATTGGTTGGAGAAGGTCCAGCCTGACCTACATGTAGACATTTCTCCTGCCTTGTCTTGTCTCTTGCTACAAATCATCCTGCAAGGATTAGGTAACAGCAACTTCAATTCACACACCTTTGAAGGATGGTGACTTCAGCATTATCCACGGTGAAATTCACAGCCAACAATCAATACGTATTTTCAGGCAAAGAACCATTATTCATTTCTGTTATCGGACAATCTCAGGCAGAAATCATATCTTTTGTGACTGGAATGCACAGCATTTTCAACTGCTTTATTACTGCAGCTGAGAATAGGGCTTTGCGCTGACTGGCATTTAGCTGCTGAAGTTTTCTGGACTGGCATTTGCATTGGGGTATCCAGGACAAGTGTGGGTTTTGAAGGGAAGGGAACGAGGGGGAGAAGAAGGAAAGAAAGAGCCGTCTGCAGGTAAAGGCCATTTTTGTTAGCTTGAAGCAGCATGATTTGTTATCATTGACACTGAGTGCAATGTTGATTTAACTTTTGCACTGGGGGTATTGACTTTACATTGAAAAGACAGACACCAACCATTGTCTGACAATGACCAACACAATCAGAATTTCAGACCTAGCATGATGTAGAGGAGGAAAGTCTGCCAGAAGACAAAGGATCTTGTCCTGGTTCTTTGAAGAATTAGTTGTGTGAAGCTAGCCAAGTTGCTTTACCTCTTTGGGCATCAGTTTTTGCATCTGTAAGAAGATGTAGAATACTTGACTTATGTTCCCTTCCAGCTCTGAGAGGCTTTGACTCTATGATTGGGGTTCTGTTTTACTCTTCATTAACATCATAAATTCATAAAATGAGGGAGATTGCTAAAAAATATAAACACAAATATGCCTTAATCCACTTATTGAAGTGCCAACTGCTGGCTGATTTTTATTTTCAAAATCATCTATTAAGAAGGGAATATGATGAAGCCATTACTTAGAAGTTAACTAGTTTCCTACACACTTTTCAGATCGTGGTAATGATATTCACCAACATTTGTATAGTTCTCTAAAGTGTGCAGAAGATTCCACATGCACCGTCTCATTTTCTTCTTCCTTAATCTATAACTCTCAGTTTTGTAGTGCAGCTGAGGAGGGAGATGAAAACACTGTTTACATTTTTTACATCGGTTTACATTTTTTTTGGCAAAAAAGTTGTGTTTTGTCTGAAGAATGGGTTTATTAATCCAGCAGTGTTCATTGAGCCTCTATGAAGTGTCAAGACCTGTGCTATAGATGAGGAGATCAGGATAGACATGGTGCTACCCTTGTGGAGTTCACAGTGCAGTAACAAGAACATAATCAACACATGATTGGATAAATTAGAGAGTGGTGAGAATTTTGTTGCTTCATGGAAACTGGGTTGTCCAGGAGTGGTGATAGAACAAGGGTACTATAACCTTCCCATGGCTGGAAGGAACACAGTGCTCACTCCTCCTCTGCAAATGCTGTTTGGGGATGTAAGTTGGCCATCTCAGGTCAATTTTCAGGGGTTGCATCAGCCCGGCACACGAGGCCCCACTGATTTTGGTTTGAGATGCCCTTCCAATCGAAAGCCCATTTTCCTGTTTCACAGAATGAAAGCAAATACTCTTAATGGGGCCGTTGGGCTTCAAGTCTGTGCCAAACAATTGGCTTTCCCAGCACTTTCATAACCACGCAGCTCTGGATTTTTCAGGAGCCCGTGCAAGACTAGTTTGTTGTATAAAACGCATCCAAGAATTTTTCCTCATAGCACTGAATGGTAACTTGGTGGCACTGGCTTTGCCCCACATTGTGCTAAAATCCATGGGTTCACTCTCTCTTTTTTTTTTGAGACGGAGTCTTGTTCTGTCACCCAGGCTGGAGTGCAGTGGCATGCTCTCGGCTCACTGCAACCTCTGCCTCCAGGGTTCAAGCAATTCTCCTGCCTCAGCCTCCTGAGTAGCTGGGATTACAGGCACATGCCACCACACCCGGTTTATTTTTGTATTTTTAGTAGAGACAGGGTTTTACCCTGTTGGCCAGGATAGTCTTGAAATCCTGACCTCAGGTGATCCGCTCACCTTGGCCTCCCAAAATGCTTGGAATATAGGCATGAGTCACCACACCCGGCTGGGTTCACTCTTAAGAGATGAATTCATCCTGTCGTTCATTATGGCCAAGTCTTCACAATAGGAGGCGGGGCACAGTGACTCTAGGGTGTGTGTGGATAGGCTGCCCAGTGTTGTGTTTACATTGAGGCTCATCTGCGATTCCCCGTGCCTGGCATACAGCCTAGCATACAGTAGGTGCTGATTACACGCTTGCTTATCCAAAACACTACTCAAATGTATTGCTTTTTACTGTTTTTTCTTTTGTCCATTTTTTTTGTTAATTACCAAAATAATTTATATTTAATTTTTTTTATTTCAATAGATTTTTGGGGAACAGACATGAATAAGTTTTTTAGTGGTGATTTCTGAGATATTGATGCACCCATCACCCCAGCAATGTACACTGTACCCAATGTGTGGTCTTTTATCGCTCACCCCCTCCTACCCTTTCCCCTGAGTTCCTACAGTCTATTGTATCATTCTTATGCCAAAGTAATTTATGTTTGAGGTAAAAAAAATTAACCATATAAAAATGATTTAAAAGTGAATGGTCCTTCATCCCCTTCCACAGAAATTACCACTGTAAACCATTTGATCCTTTTAGACCTTTTCAACACATGCATGCATTCATTCTTCTCACTTCAAAAATAGTATTTAAAACACAGCTTGAAACTGGTTATTTTTACTTATCAACAAAAATCTGACTTTTTTCATCTCAGTTATATTGATCTATCTGAATCGTTTCACAATGCTTCATGGCATAATGCAACATAATTTGTGAATAAGTTTTTCTATTGAATGACACTAGTTG
Source organism: Homo sapiens (assembly GCF_000001405.40). Lineage (NCBI taxonomy): Eukaryota > Metazoa > Chordata > Mammalia > Primates > Hominidae > Homo > Homo sapiens. The sequence goes on from NC_000004.12 coordinate 57,152,414, forward strand.
TTTCCAATCCTTTCCCAAAGGATCGTTTGTCAAAATGCTTTAATGAATTTCTTGATTGTATACATATATTTTGATAATTGTGAGAGCATTTCTTCAGAATATATTTCTGGAAGTAAAATTGTTAGGGCAAGAATTATGCATAAGAAACTCTTTTTGTAGACACTGATAAATTGCCTATTAAATGCTGTATGAATTTCTACTTTAAAATGTTTTTGGTGTTAGTGATAAGAAAGTCAACCCAGTGCAGAAAGGAAATTTAATGGACCTTGTACTGAAAGGTTCAGAGTGTAGCTGGTTTCAGGCTTGGTTTGATACAGGCTCAGAAATGATGTCATCTGGCTCCAGGTTCTCTCTCCTGGCCTCTCAGCTCTTATTCCTCTTTGGTGGCTTCATCTCAAACAAGTTTCCCTCATAGTCTTAAAACATCTCTGGCTGGGTACTGTGGCTCATGCCTCTAATTCCAGAACTTTGGGAGGCTGAGGCAGGAGGATTGCCTATGCCCAGGAGTTTGAGACTAGCCTGGGCAATATAGCGAGACCCTGTCTTTGCAAAAAATTAACAAAAAATTTAGCCAGGCATGGTGGTATGCACTTGTAGTCCTAGCTTCTCAGGAGGCTGAGGCAAGAGGATCACTTGAGCCCAGGAGGTCAAGGCTGCAGTGAGCTGTGATTATGCCACTGCATTCCAGCCTGGGAGACAGAGTGAACCTTGTCTCAAAAAGCAAACGAACAAACAAACAAAAATCAAAACTCCCCAAAACCTCCAAAACCCAAACCAAACCAAAAGCAAAAAACAAAACAGCTGTGGAACTCTAGGCTTCATCATTTCAGGTTTTAGCTCAGTGAATACAGGTTTATTTCCCAGAAGTTCCAGTCAGTGTCTCATTTGATTTGATTGGTCACGTGTTCGTCTCTGAACCACGTAGAGTGTCCAGGGCCATGAAGGCTTTTGTTGGCCCAGCCTGGAGCTGGGTGTAGAGTCAGCTGCACCAGAACTACATGGGCTGAGAGCAGGGCAGGATGGCTCACCAATGAAAGTTGGTAGCTATTTCTGGAGGCAGGGTCAGTGTGTAGAGTGTGAAGTCAATAAAGGTGGATGGAGTACTGTGGAGACAGATTCTTTCCTGTGGACTTATGAGTGTAAGTTCAGTTTTATCTTGGTCTTTGGGAAAGCTGTCACTGAGGATCAATTTGGTGATATGACTTAATGACATTCCTTACACCGCTAACTGGGACGACAATTATGTACTGCTGAAGTGTGTTTAAGGGTTATCCTTAGATAAGATTGGATTTATAGCTGAAAAAGAAACACAGTCCCTTTAAAAGAAGGAACAGATGAATTAAAGAACAAAAACATCTTAATGGTTTTGTTAAGATTGCTATGGAAATAACTGAATGCAAATTTCATTTTAAGTCTCTTGAAGTTAGCAATCTATTGAGAGGAGAGAAGTTTGCAGCAGGATTTTTTTTTTTTTTTTTAGAGAGAGAGAGAGAAGGAGGAGGAGGAGGGAGAGGAAGAAGACTTAAAGTTGGGGCAAAAACTCTTATGGTTAGGGCAAAAAGAGTTTGAGGTTTTTTAATCTGGAAGAGACCTGTAAGATTGTTTAGGCCTATGGTTCTCAAATTTGAGTGAGAATCACCTGGAAATGTTCTTAAAACACAGATTTCTGGGGTGCATCCTAGAGATTCTTCCTTAGTTGGTCTGGGAAAGGGTCAAATATTAACATTTCTGATAAATTCCCCAGTGATCCTCATGCCAACATTGTGGTGGTGAAACTGGTCGAATTTTCCCATAGAACTGATATTTACAGGTTTTTTTTTTTTTTTTTTTAAACAAATGTAGAAATTGACCCTCCGGGGTTTTAAAACTTGAAATTTTCGTTTGCCTCATCTGGGTTGCTTCCTCAGGAAATGAGCCCTCAGGCAAGAGACTAAAAGTCACCAGATCACTGCAACTGGATAATGACAGCCAGACCCTTCATTTGTCATGATTGCTTGTTTATCCTGCCCTAATTCCTTCCCGCCTATAGCTACATTCCTTCTACCAGTACAGAAACCCCCCAGTTTTAGTTGGCCAGGGAGACAGATTTGAGGCTTTGTTTCCTGTTCTCCTTGGCTGCTGAGCCAAGTGAAAGCCTTCTTCTTTGGTAATAGTCATTGTCTCAGTGATTGGCATTCTGCGTGGTGAACAGCAGGACCTAGACTGACCTTTGGCATTGGGGTAACAGTGGCTGATGCTACTGGTGGAGGAACCACACCTTGAGAAGCACTGATCTAGGCACCTTCCACTCCTCTCAGTCTATAGATGGGAAAATGGAAACTCGGAGAGGTGAGGGGCTGGCTCGCGGTGACTCTGGGAGAAAGCAGAGGAGCTGGGGCTAGAATCACCTCTCCTGGCTGCTTCCCTGCCCTCCCCTTCTCCCCTCTTCTCTTTCCTCTCCCTGCCCGCCCCTTCCCTTGCCTCCTCCTCTCTCCCCCATTTTCCTCCCCTCCTCTCTCTCTTTCCCTTTCCTTCCTTCTGTAAAGGAACTGACCCCTGGTCTGGTTAATGTCAAGGTTACAGAGTAGAGTCAGGAAAGAACCCAAACCTCTTGACTTCCAGGTTGGTGCTTACCCCACGTCTCAAGTTTCCTGCTCCTGGAGAAGCAAGACACCAGGAGATTATGGGGTTTCCCTCTCAGTAGCTGGATCTTTCTGAAAGTGTTTTTCTTTGAAGGTGAGAACAAAGACAGCCTGCATTATTAGGCAGGATGTCCCTGAGACACATGACAGAGGGAGGCTGTCAGCAGTAACAAAGAGGCTCTCTGGTTTGGGAAAAAAAGGTGCTTGTAGTTGTTGTGGGAGACGAAAAAGCGTTTCTTTGACTTTCTTATATTTAGTACCTGGGGGCCTTCAAATTAAACTAACAAAGACAGATTAACAGCAGGAAAAGAAAAGCATACAGTTTTATTCGTATTTTACGTGCATGGGAGTTCACAGAAAAGAAGTGAAACTCAAAGAAGTGGTTAGTTAGGCTCCAGGGCTAATATCGCATTTTAACAAAAGAAAGGGGGTTTAGGCTTCAGAGGATGAGACAGGGTAGGGAAGTGACTGAAAAATATATGGGAGAACTAATGGAAGATAAAACCTTATTTTAGTGGGGTCTGTTTTTGCAGACTCCTCTTGGTGTCAACTCTCTGTCTCTGGTGATGACTGCTTTTGCTCCCCGGTATTGGGGTGAAGGGTGGGACACTTTCACAAAGGGAAATTTACACCCTGCTTTTAGGCAGACAAGAGGAGGGCAGAGAACTCTTCCTGCATCTGTTGATTCTCAATTGCCTTCAGCTCAAAATAATCCTTATGCCAAAGTGGCACGTTTTGAAGCGGCATATTCTGGATCTCTTCATTGGATGGAGGATTCACAGACTTGCCAACATCAAGGGTGGTGAAATGTAGATGCATGCTAAAGCAGTGTCCCAGTGTCACAGGGTGAGGGAATCAGGGCCATGCTCATCCAGCCCAGGGGAAGCTAAGCTTAGATTAAAGGGACTTATTTAAGAGCCTAGTAAAATTAAATTTCAAATGATTTTTATTAAAAAACTTACCTTAATTGTGTATTATATTTTAGAGTCTAGTATTTACTGATGTTGCTTAATGAATAACTCTATTTTGGCTTTTAGAAAATATCTGTGTTATCCATACCTATGTAAAGGATAGTTATTTTTACCACTAGATAATTAGTAAGTGACTATTATCTACCTTATCTTATCCCAATTACAGGCAACATAACTAGGAAGAAATAAATGGCTTCGGGCATGCTGGACTTGCGAACACAAATTTATGAAGTGACAGCTAGTGTCATGATGCTCCTGCCTCAAGATGACCTCCCAACCCAGAGCCCGGCTGCTTGGGTGAAACATTTTCCCCTCCCTGAATTGTCTTGCAAAATGTAAACACACATTGTCACTCCGAAGGAGTTAGTTTATCAGATTTCTTCCCTTGGTGATAGGAGGGATCTAGGGCAGGCTGAGCAGGGAGGTGAGGTGGAGGATGACAGAAGCACAGACAGGGATGCCTGGGGCTTGTGACTCACCCACAGGAGTACAGCAAGTGCATGTGAGACGCTTCTCAGGATTTATATGTTAGCTTTTCTCCCCAATTTTGGAAGGCAAGGAATTGTAGTCAGCAATCGGCCAGGTGAGGGGAGTATTTTTGGTGCAAGGGACTGTCCAAGGGATACTGACTGCAGTGTCCTCCCATCTTCACTGTTTTCTTAAAGGGACTCACTCCTTCCCTGATTTTCTGGTGTCCTCCAGGTTCATCAGCAGTTATTTGGATGGTCTTCTGATGTGCAAGCCCAGCGTGGTAGGATGTGGTAGAAAGGGCGTATCACACACTGATGCTGCATCAGCTCAGTTTAACCTCAGTTCTACTGCCATGTGACCCGAGGGCCAGTTATAAACCCTCTTAGAGCTTTGGTTTCCTTAGATGCAAAAGGGGACAAATTTATATATATGTACACACACATATATACACACATATATATGCACACACATATATATATATATAAAAAATATATTAGTGCAGATTAAGGGGGTAACATGTAAAGTATCTGGTACAATAAAATCTAGGCCATTGCAGTGTAGGTTTTTGGAAGCTGATGCTGAGATGGAGTTTGGGTTGCAAGACATTTATTAGGGATCAGCTCCTGCGCTTAGAAACGGGGGGAAGCAAGAACTGGGCAGAGGGACAGGTTGAGCTGTAATGTGGGCCCCGGAGAGCCTTGGCCAACCCGAGGAGCCCTGCAGTGAGTATTGTCCATCTGCATTGTCCCATGAGGGGCTGAGATGGCCAGCCCTTAGAGCCTTGCTTCACTCAGTCACCAGACCTGGCTCCCTGAGAAGGAGGTGTTCTAGGGTGAGGCAACTCCAGCTGCAGAGGCAGCCCCTGAGCTGCTGTCAGAGGCTGCCTGCTCTGGCCACCTCCTGCAGCTGCACAGCAAGTGCTTCCTGAAGGATGGTCTGGGTGGCTCATTTTCATGCCTACCACATAGGCATCCAACAGACATGTCTCCTCCCTGCTGCCAGAACTATCCTCTTTTTTTTTTAACCTTTTCTCCACCTTCTTTCTGTTCTCCATCTGTCCTCTTCTCTTGCACCTGCTTCTTCCATCCATCCTCTCCACAGTCCTGGGAGCTTGTGGCTCCTCTGCAGGGGCCCTAGAAGTGGTGCGTGCCTTTGCTACTCTCTCTGCCAGTCCCACTGCAGCAGGAAGCATCCGACACATTTTTGTCTCACGCAGATAATGTACAAGTTACCCATGACTTCTCTTTTACTTTGGTAGAGGGAAGAAAAGAACCAGGCTTTATTCTGCAGAATAAAACAACACAGATGCTGGTGAATGCACTGTCAGCCCATGCCTGCCAGCTGGGACCAACAATAGGAGAGGAGGCACTGGCTGCATCGCTAACAGATTTCCAAGAACGCTATGGGCAGCCAAAAAAGCCATTTGGGCTTGTTTCTTTTTCCTCTGTTGCCTTTCTGAGAGATAAAGAGGCTGATGGATCATAAATGGAGATATGAATTTGATAACATTTGGAAAGAGGTTAATGGAAACCAACGTACAAACTACAGAATAGGAGAACACGGCAGATTTCTAAATGCCAATAGCATTTAGAAGCTGCTCTTAAAGAAAATTTGAAGGTGAGCAGGCGGTGGGCAGAGGATCTGAAGCAGCTGCAAGGGCCTCACATGAGTTTGGAAATGTCTTCCTAATGTGATGGATCCTGGCATCATTCCACGCAGACGCCAGGTAGGTGTCCCTGTCCACAGCTCTCTGAGCTCCTGGGATAATTTCAAAACAGCAGAGAGTGAGGGCATGTGCATCATTTGAGCACATCATAGAGGGCACCACTGATTCGCTGCACTGGAAGTTTGTTTGCTCTATGTGAAATCTCTTATGTCTGGCCTAGAAGCCTGCATCAAGGAACTGGGAAACACCACCGGCTCCCTCTGTGAGTGGCAACCATGAAATCCACCCTCCAGTGGCCTCTTGTGGACTGTGGACTAACTTCCTTCAGGGGTCCCAGGAAGTCCTAGGGAAGTGGAAACTCCCTTCCATATCCCACTTCAAGACTCAGCCATTGTGCAGAAGAGGCCAATAGCAAGACCCCAATTTAGTTCCATGCCTGAGGAGTTCAGCCTAAAATCCTGAAGTTGCACAGGGTTTTACTGTCTTATTCCATTCTCTCAACAATGCTGTTTCATTCGCGAGGACAATGGCACTTGGAGAGATTGAGTGACTTCCTCAGGTCTCACCAATTGTAAGGAGCAGGGTAGGTCCTGAATTCTGGCCTCTTCTGGATCCACAGGGTTCTGGTGCATGGTTATCCTGGTTCTGATTTTTCTCAAATCAGAGAAGACAAGGGGACAAAGACATTTAATCCCACGGAACCTCATGTCAGTCTCACTAAGTAACCAGGGCTTCAGAGGATGCCACTAGTCCTTGCTTGCAAGTAGTCAGGCATTATGCTGCTGCCTGCTAGACTGTGTTGGCCACTAGCCACACTTGGCTACTGAGCCCTTGAAATGTGGCCAGTCTAAACTGAGATGTGTGTGTGAACTTCAAAGGCTTTAAAAAAGAAGGTAAGGCTGGGTGCAGTGGCTCACACCTGTAATCCCAACAATTTAGGAAGCCAAGGAGGGAGGATTGCTTGAGCCCAGACATTTAAGACCAGGCTGGGCAACATAGTAGGACCCTGTCTTTACATTAAAAAAAAAAAAGAAAAGAAAGGAAAAAAGGAGGTAGATACCTCATTAATAATTTTGTATTGACTATATGTTGAAATAATATTTTTGATATGTTGGGTGAAATACTTACATTTAAAAACTATAATTTATATTTATAATAATGTAAAATATAATAAAAATTTATTTTACCTACCTTCTTAATTTTAACAATTGTGCCTACTAGAAAATATAAAATACCCATGTGGTTTGCATTACATTTCTATTGGATTACTCTAGATTCATCTGCATCCCTAAATGTCTTTAGTCTATTTTTAGCTTCTGCTTCTTCACTCTATATCACTGTTACTGGTAGCGAGCGACTGGGTAGGTCATCTGCTTTAGACTTTGAAATTTAAGAGGCAGTTCACAGAATGACGGCTATTTCACACTCAGGTGAGCATGGTCATAATTGGGTGCTCATAGGGGACTTGGCGGTTTAATGTCAATGAAGAAGCCTCCTAGGGGTGATGCCTCATTCATTCAACAAATATTTATGTTAACAGCTTCTTTATGATGGATGATTATGCTAGGTTCTGGGACTATGTCTGGGAGCAAGAAATAGTCACAGGCATTGGGGAGCTTATCATCTGGCAGGGGCAGTAGACATTGTGATGGTTAATTTTGTGTGTCCACTTGACTGGCTACAGGGTGCCTAGGCATTTGGTCAAACATTTTTCTGGGTGTGTCTGTGAGGGTGATTTTGGATGAGATTAAAATTTGAATTGATAGACTGAGCAAAGCAGACTCTCCTCCCTAAACGTGTGTGGTGCTTGTCCAATTGGTTGAAGGCCTGAAGACAACAAAAAAACTGACTAAGAGGGAACTTCCTTGGCCTGACTGCTTGAGTTGCAACATCAATCTTCTACCCTTGGGCTGTGACTTACACCATTGGCTCTCCTGGTTCTCAGGCCTTTGGATTCAGACTGGAATCACTCCAGCAGCTCTCCTAGGTCTTTAGCATGGCAACTGCAAATCTTGAGATTTCTCAGCCTCTATAGTTATTGATATGATTTGGCTCTGTGTCCCCATCCAAATCTCATCTCAAATCATAATCCCCACATGTCAAGGGAGGGATGTGATTAGACATGGGGGCGGTTCCCCCATGCTGTTCTTGTGATAGTGAGTGAGTTCTCATGAGATCTGATGGTTTTATAAGTGTCTGGCATTTCCCCTGCTGAAACTTCTCTCTTCTGCCGCCATGTGAAGAAGGTCCTTGCTTCCCCTTCCACCATGATTGTAAGATTCCTAAGGCCTCCCAGCCGCGTGGAACTGTGAGTCAATTAAACCTCTTTCCTTTATAAATTACCCAGTCTCAGGTATTTCCTTATCGTGGTATGAGAACGGATTAATACAGTTGTGTAAGCCAGCTCCTTATAATAAATCTCTCTCCCTCTCTCTGCCTCTCATCTATGTATGTATGTATCTGTCATCTATCTCCTATAAGTTGTTTCTTTTGAGAACTCTGACTAACATAGACATTAAATAAACAATTTGTATACTGAATAATTATATAACTACTGCTTGGGGGTGTGGTTGTGTTGTGTGGTGAGGGGGTGTAGAAATGTCTAGGGGTTGATCAACCCTAACACCTTCCAGATGACCCTAGGTTCTGGCCTTTCCCCAAAGAGTCCTGGTCTACTCAGTCATCTCCCACAATTTGGCCATCTTCTTGGGTCCTCAGGACAATAAATGACCCAGCCAGATCTCTACCCTAAGTCTGACTTAGGATGGAAAAATGTCTCCTTATGCCTTTATCAGTCTTGACTTCAGGTCAGGGAGGCCAGAAAAATGAAATCTGCTCTATTTTGAAAGTTTCCTTCATTTCCTTTTTATGATTTAAATTTATTTTTATAAAGTGAATTGATGAAAACAAACACCTTTAACACCTCTACCCCTCGGTATTCTACAGATTTCCTGTAGTTTTGACAGTGAAACAAAAAACGTCATAATTCTTCACATACTTCAATACTATTCTTGCAGTTCTAGTCTTGCATTACTGGTGGAGAGTCTGGGGGTTGGAGATGGGGGTTACATTGTAAGGGAAAGCACATAGTTTGGATGTGGTGAGAGTATAATGAGATTAGCGTGCATGTCCAGCTGTCTATCCACTGTCTATCTAACCATGGGTAAGTTATTCAAAGTTACCTCACTACAGCTTCCTTGTTTAGCCAGTGGGGCTCATACCACATACCTGGTGGGTTTCTGGAAGAATTAGAGATAAAGTGTAGAAAGCACCTAGCACCACTCTGGCATATAATGGATACCCAGTAAGTGGTCTCTATTGATATTTTTCCTTGTTCCTTGGCCCTAGACTGGTCAGGTTGTCAGAGGAACAGAATTTGACCACTTAATTAGAACAATGTTTCAGTAATATATGACTGCATAACATACAATTCCAAACTTCGGATCGTAACATATTATTATGCACATAAATCCTATGGGTCAGAAATTTGGGCAGTGCATGCAGGGGTGACTGTCTGTGCTCCACCATGTCTGGGTTCTCAGTAGGAAGGCTTGAATGGTTGAGGCCTGGAATCATCTAGAGGCTTCTTCACATACATCTAGCTGGGATGACTCAAAGGCTGGGATCAGTTGGGACCACTGAACAAAGCACCTGTACCCAGCCTCACCACATGGCTTGGGAATCTTACAACAGTGCAACTGAGCTGTGAGAGGGGGAGTCTTGAAAAGGGGTGTCTGAAAGTGAGCATTCTAAAGGAGCAAGGCAGAGGTTGCAAGGTTTCTTTGATCTTGCCTTGGAAGCCACACAGTGTCATGTATTCTGCTTCTCTTGTGACAGGTGAATTACCAAAGTTAGCGTAGATTCAAGCTGAGAGCAACTAGATTCTAGCAGCAAGGCCACATTGCAGAAGAGCATGTAGGATGGAAGATATTATTAAGGGCATCTTTGAAAAATGGCATCAGCTACAAAGAACAACCTACATTAGACTCCTTTAGACTTGTTTGTTGGGCTTCTCAAAAGGAAACAGTGGAGCCCAGGAGTTTGAGATCAGCCTGAGCAGCATAGTGAGACCCCCATCTCAATTATATATAAAAAAAGGAACAGGGCACTGTGCAGTTCCCTTCTCAAAGGGAACAATCACATTGCTTATGTCAATGTATCTTCAGAGAACAAGTTTCAGCAACATTGTTGAAATTTGCCTGAGGTAACACTGTAAGTTGATAGTGAATTAGACCCTGAAATTTCAGATATTGACTATATTCAAAATTACAGTGTATTTTTAAAAAAATAACAGCTTTATTGAGTTATAATTTGTATACCATGTAATTTTTTCATTTAAAGTGTACATTTCAGTGGTTTTAATATATTCACAGAGATGTGCAACCTTCATCACAAGCAATTTTAGAACATTGTCATTACCTCACCTAGAAATGAAATATCTAGTGTAACAAACAGCTGTGTTTCAGCCAATCACAAGCAACTAATAGGATTCAGCCAATCTCAGCAGCCAACTCATCACACCATGTCCAAATAAGGCAGATGCCTACCTGTAGCCAATCAGGTGATTTCTCTGCTTTGCTTGCCTGTTCAGCCTTTAAAATCTCTCTGCCCACACTACTGGGCAGGGCTCTCTGAACCTCTTCTGGTTTGGAGTGCTGCCCAATTCATGAATGGTTCTTTGCTCAAATAAACTGTTAATTTGTCTAAAAGTTTTTTGCTAACAGCAATACTGGAAGAATTGTACTCACTGCAAAAATGTCTAGCATATGTTTTGTTTAGCTTCTAAAAATAAGATTGACATTTTATTTCAACTTATCAACAAATACAACTCCAAAACACAAATACCCTAATCATTTTCTAGTAGCTGTTCTCCAAGGACAGAGGTGAGCTTTTAATGAAACTGATTTAATTCTTCACAACATCCCTGGGGGTGGTATGGGAGAAGCCTTAAAAAAAGTCAGGTTTTATTGAAAACACTACCTGGAAAAATAGAATTGAGATACACTAATAGTCCTCTCAACACCAAAAAATCCTAGATGTGGGAGATCTTGCTTAGTCAACCCTAACTTGGAACAAGAGTTTGCATTTGATCACATCCAGTGATGACATATAATTTTATCCTTCTCCAAGCTCTTTTCAAGGATCATTGTATCTGATCCTCAAAACATTCCTGGAGGCCCACTTTACTGTGATATTACAGATGAGGAAACAACCCAAAGGAGCTGACATATTTAAGACCCAAAGTGACTTTGACCCAAAGCCTGCCACCCACACCATTCCAGACCCCAAAGACTAGTCTGCTTTTTATTTTCACACTTATTGGAGACTTTCTTTCATTTGCCCATGGTAGTGTTTCTCTTTCTAGAAGCTTCTTTATTGTTTTAAGATGAAAAAATTCATGACCAATTTCCAGAACCTCAAAACACAAAGCAACTGCTTATTTTCCTGAGCTGCTGCGTGAGTCAGTGATTCCCAGTGTTGCTGTGCCTGAAAACCCACCACTAATGTCAGCGCCTTGTGCTGTTGAGTTGCACGCGGCGCCCCTGCAGTCCAGGGCTGGGGCTAGCCCGGCGAGCGCGCGGCAGGCAGAGCATTCCCGGACGAGTCCGGTAGATGGTAGCATTGTGCAGCCGATGCGTCCTCTCCCAGCTTGCGTCTCATTTTTCCCTCTCCCCCTTTCCTGGGCTCAGCGGTGAGGCTCAGGTACCGGCGCCGCCCTGATGCCTACTATGCCGCGCCATCTCCAGATGGTCCGCACCTGGCGGGTCACGACGAGTCTCAATCCACAGCATGGGGCTGACTCGGACTCAGGAGTTTTTGTGGCTCCAGGCGTAACCGTTGCTTTGGATAAAATTGGTCCAGTTCACTTGACCAAGGAGAAGTGCAGAGGAGGATAAACGTCCCCATCCCAGTGGTGTCCTCTCCCGACTCCTTTCGTGTAGTGAGCTTTATTTTTAGAGACTCCCGCGCCTGCCAGCCGCTCATGCTCGGGTTCCCCAAGCGGAGGGGCTCCGCGTGCAGTGTGATGCCCACTGTCGCCGGCAGAGGGCACCGTCGTCACACACTGCGCAGGAGCCGGCGCGGGAAGGCGGCGGGGCTGTCCTTCCCGGTCAGCGTCCTACGCGTGACCTTGGGACCCGCAAATGTCTGCGCCGGAGGCATTGCCTCTTCCCGACTATGGGGGATACTGCACGGGGCTCCCGATGGCCTCTTCCACGCCTGGCCCTTCACTTCTTGAAGCTCACCCTTTTCTTATTTGATCTTTCTAGAACTGGCGCTCTCTCCCTTCAAATTCTGTCCCACCTTGGCTAGGTTCTGGTTCTGAGACTTCTGTCTCCCTGGCTGTTACTTTCCGTTTTTCAGGAATTTTCTTCCTTTGCCAATCCTTTAAACGTCCCTGATCCCAGGATTATTTGTTCTTCTAAGACTCACTCTGCGCACCCTCGCAAACCCACCGCCACCCTCTTCACTGCCTTGTCTTGACGACAACCACATTTTAATCTCCAGTCTAAGTTTATCTTTTGAGCTACAGACCCATTTCTTCATTTTGCCAGGCCAATAGGGACTGCTTGGAAATAATGCTTAGAAAGCAGCCAGTCTAAGAGCTGCTATTTCATTGAGGATGGTAGTCAAGGTTGTCTTCTGTCTAGAAATGCTTTGAATAACAAGTGCTTTGCTTTCAGCCAGCTGGTGTTTCTCTCTGAAGCCTTCTTCAAGGTAAAAAAAAAAAAAAAGAAAGTTTTTAGTGCTTACCTAGAGATGCAGTCACCAAACTTAACCTTCCCCCCCATTCCCCTCTTCTGCTGAGGAAACCATGCCAGGCCACAGGACCAAAACCTCCTTTGCTAGCTCCCTCTGTTTAGACCTGGACAGGATACCTACCTTAAGGCGACAAAAATGCGTGGGAATGGGCCAATCAGAGTCTTTTGAGATTTTGGGACTGGAATGTTGAAAAGAATGGTCTGGTGAAAATATGGAGAGCTCTGTAGCTTCTCTGTAGCGAAGAATCTGTAGACAAAGGGGTGTGTAAAAGATGAGTTGCCTGAGGGAGCAGGCTGAGGTAGGAGGAGGACAGAGCAGACAGAGGTAGTGGAGAGGGCCAGAGTGCCCCAGAAAGCTCTGTTTCGTTCCTCAAGAAACTCAACAGTCTCTTAATTTTGGAAGGTTTTTCTTTTTAAACTTTTTAAATTATTATTATTATTTTTTTTTTTTAGAGACAGCCTTGCTATGTTGTCCAGGCTGGTCTCGAACTCCTGACTTCAAGTGATCCTTCCACCTCGGCCTCCCAAAGCACTGGGATTGCAGGTGTGAACCACTGTGCTTGGCCTATGAAGGTTTTTCTATATTCTGTCCATAGCCCCTTCATCTTGAGCCAGTGCAGAACTGTAGCTAATTCATGAAGAAGCAGAGGACATGAAAAGGAAGGAAAGGGAAGACGGGCTGCTGACAGAATCAGCAAGGTTTAGCAGGCAGCTCCACTGGGCTGGCAGAGTTGGGAGGTTAGTGGCTGTTGTGGTGGTCGGGGAAGCAGAGAGGTTAAATTCCACATTCCCATGAACTTACCACTCCCCTTCCTGAAAATCCCCACATCCCACCTATTGCTGGATCTTAGCAGGTTGGTCAGCCATGACTCCAAAAGTCAAATGCATTTGCAAGTGTCACTAGACTTGTGGAGTGGGATAATACCAAAAGACAAACCCTGTCAAGTATTTATGGAATGCTTATTTTATAAGCATTTAAGGAAAGGGCTGAGGTGAGAAATAAAACTGAGTAAGATAAGATGCCTACCTTCAAGGAGATCCTCAGGGAACACAGGCACTTGAACATAGCACGGGCACTAACATAGAATTAAGTTCAAAATGCCACATGAATACATACAGGAGAAGGGAAAATTAACTCCGCCTTTGATGAGGGTGGGAAGGAGCCAGGGAGAACTTCAAAAGGGGAGGTGACTTTTGAGCTGGACCTTGAAGGATGAGTAGGAGTTTGTCAGACAGAGAAGAGAGATTTGCATTCTAGGGAAAGAGAGCAAAGTGTCAAAAGAATACAAGTGCATGGTGTATAGGAAGACTTTTAGTACTGTGGAGTATCTTTGTTGTATGCATATGGGGTTGGGGTTGGGGTTGGGGGTGTCAGTGGCAGCAGATGACAGGGAAAAAGGAGGCAAGGGCCAGAATGTGAAGGACCTTGAATGTCAAGATTAGGAGCTTGGACTTGATCCTGAGGACACTGTGAAGCCACAGAAGCTTTTAATCAGGGAGTCTTATATTAGCTGCCTTTGGAAGGACAACCGCAGACTGAATAGAGGATGCCTGGAAAGAGGAGAGAGCAGAGGAGGTCAGTCACATCGCCTGAACTCAGCTGCAGCTGATAAACTTTCTAGCAATATCCTGGGGCTTAGAGAAGAACAGGCAGGCTGTACATTTTAACTGATTGAAGCATTGTCCTCAAGGAGGGCTGATGAATCCGTGCATGCTCACCATTAGCACGGAGGGTCATGGTTCTACTACTGAGCCACAGGGTGCTGCATTCATTCATTAATTCATCCAGCAAACATTCATTAAATGTCTCCAAGGGCCCAGTTTAGTCTGTCCTCTTCAGCCTCAGGGATTGGTTCCACCATACCGAGGGTACCAAATCCACAAATGCTCAAGTCCCTTACATAAAATGGCATAGAACAGTTGGCCATTTGGTAGATTCACCAACCAAGAATGGAAAATATGTACGTACAGCTGGCCTTCGGTGTCACTGGGTCTTTATCAGCAGCTGGTTGAATCCATGCATGCAAAACCGGTAGATACAGAGGGCCAACTGTACAGCTTTGGTGCTAAGGATAACATGGGCAGGAAGTAGGCATGGCCCCTGCTATCATAGAGTCTGTTGTTGAGGGAGAGAGACAGCTATTAATCAGATGATTTCATGACCTAGTGCATAAATTTCCCATTTGGAAGGAAAAGAATATAGTTCGGTGAAAGTGTATAACAAAGAACTCCCCCTGGCCTCAGCTTTGGCTAAGATGCAGAGCACTACTGGGAATTTACCAGGTGAGAGCAGGGGGTTGCAGGAGAAGGAGCAGAATGTGCAAAGGCCCCGTGGCCTGAAAGAACATGGTATGGTTGAGGAACTGGAAGACTGTGTGATAGGGCATCAAAAGAAGACTGAGATGAGCTAGTGAGAGAGACAGGAGCCAAGCCATTGGATCTTTTCCTGTCCAGGTCAAGCTTTAGATAAAGTATTTGTTTAGAAGAATAGGTCAGTTAAATCTGAATGATGCAAAGCTGAGAGGACAAGTGGAACATTTGAATTGCAGAATCAAGATTTAAGACAATCTTGCAGGTCTAAATTAAAAGTGATGGAATTAAACAAATGTAAAGTTCTACATTTATGTTAAAAGTTTTAATTGACTTGCAAAGCTTTGTGTATAAGGATGCTTATCACTGCATATTTATAGCAGTGAAAACATGGGAAAGAAGAAATATGCAACTGTAGGAAAATGATTAAATATGCGATGTGTTAAAAAAAAATGAGAACATTAGCACTGAAGGTTACTTGGGTTCAAATGCTAGCTTCTTTTACTAGCCGTAGGTCATTGGACAAGTTACGTAAACTTTTTGTGCCTCAGTTTTCTTATCTAGCATATGGGGTTAATAATACTGCCTCACATAGTAGATACTAAATAACCGCTACATCAGTTTTAGCTATTGTCATTACCTAGTAGTATTATGTTTACAAATATGTTTAATGTCATTAGAAAATGCTTGATAGATAATATTAAGTGGGGAAAAACATATAGCATTATGCAGTTTAATACCATTTTGTTGCAAATTGTGTGTATTTGTATTTTTGTGTTGCTTATGTCTTTTGCTTCAACTTGGGGTGTAAGAAATGATCACATGTGGCCAGGCGCGGCAGCTCACGCCTGTAACCCCAGCACTTTGGGAGAGCGAGGCAGGTGGATCATGAGGTCAAGAGATGGAGGCCATTCTTGCCAACATGGTGAAACGCTGTCTCTACTAAAGATACAAAAAATTAGCTGGGAATGGTGGCATGCACCTGTAGTCCCAGCTACTCGGGAGGCTGAGGCAGAAAAATCACTTGAACCTGGCAGGCGGAGCTTGCAGTGAGCCGAGATTGCGCCACTGCACTCCAGCCTGGTGACAGAGTGAGACGCCGTCTCAAAAAAAAAAAAAAAAAAAATGAAATGGTCACATGTCTCCACTGAACTGAGTCATTGATCTCCTCTTCCCAGCACCATGAGAACCATCCCCTGACCAGCTGTGACAGCGCAGACAGGAATGGCCCAAGGCTGGGTAGCCAACAGCTTTCACCAGTCTGCAGGATGGTAGCATGCATAGATTTATCAGCATTAACATGCTCGTTTCTCTTTCCCAGTGTTTTCCTTTCTGTGATACATTTAAGGTTCCACAGTCCCAGTTTATTCAGGCTAAAGGATCAGTGATACTCCCAAATCCCTTGTAGAGACAGCACTGGAAAATATGATGGGTCCACCGTGGGCTGCATTTGCTGTTCCCTAACACCAGTGCCTGCTAAAAGCAGCTGTCCACACAGCCTTGAGCTATCACTGTCTGTGCTGTCACAGCTGGTCAGGGGATAGTTCCTACGGAGCTGGGAAGAGACCTCTTCTCACTGTCTTATGCCAGCACGGCTCTGGGTTCTCAATGTTTCAGCCTCTTAGTTTGTCCTCATATATACGATTCTCAAACCATGCCCATGGGGCTGCAGTGGCTGCTGCGGTAGAAGGTTCCAGCCTTGGCAATGTGCTATACCTACAACACCTCCCCACTAACACCAACAATTTAGTAATCCAGGCTCCTGCAGAGGACCCACTGAGCTTATCAGAGATGTTTGGAAACGAGTGAACCTAAGGAGAAGTAGTTGGGAGTCTTGATTTGTTTTCTCCTAGGAGGCTTCTAGCCCCCCTCTCAAATGGGCTCAACTATTTAGTACTTCCCAGTGACATTTGGCCTTGGTATCCTGGGGAACAAATGGGGAGCTGAGAAAAAACATTGCCTGTGACTAACATTCCTGCCTTTGGTCGATGAGCGCCTCTGCCTTAAATTTGCAAAGCTAAAAGAAACTGCCTGGGTGATTGTTTCCAGAACAAAAAAATGTGTCCCAGGATGACTTGTTAGACATGGAAGTGGCTGGCAACTTTTAACTTGCAGATTTTCTTGCTAAAAGTTTAAAATTCTGTCTCATTGGGGATACTGCTACATATTCATGAAAAAGAAATTGACTATTAAGAACTACACCACAATATTAGCCATGCCTACCTTTGAGTGGTGGGATTCCAATGGACTGTTTTATTTTTTATTTTGTTTTGTTGTTCAGATTTCTGACAACAAATATGTATTACTTTCACAATTAGAACTATAGATCCTGCCAATAAGTTTACTTAGATCCGTCCTATTTGTTTCAAATGACAACCCCATCCCTGGCAGGCAGATTTGGCTCTCCCTTGGTACCAGTGAGAGGCCACTGGGTCTGTAATACAGGAGTTCTGTATAGCCACAGAGAAGGAGGTTTGCAGTTAACCTCCATTCTGGGCTCTAACTCTCTCTGAGTTCTAAGTCCTCCAACAAGGCTGCCATTCACAGCCACCCCTTCCCAAAGGCTGCCATTGGGAAGTGTGTGTAGGGTCCCCAAGTCCACCCTCAGGTTTGATGATTCACTAGAAGGAGTCAGAGAACGCAGAAAAGCTGTTATACTCCCAGTTATGGTTTATAGAGCAAAAGATACAGATTAAAATCAACAAAGAAAAAAGATATACAGAGTAGAGTCAAGGAGAAATTAGACAGAAGCTTCCAGATGTTGTCACCCAGTGGGGTCACATGGATACCACTTAATCCCCCCAGCACTGATGTGTGGCAACATGCATAAAGTATTGCCAATTTGAGTCTTGGTGTTCAGGGTTTCTATGAGGGGTAAGTGACATAGGAAAAGAACACTTATGTGGCTGACCTTAGCTGCTGAGGCTGCAGCTTCCCCAGAGGTCAAACTGATGGAGCATGGTCGGGTGAATCAAACCAAGGATTTGCCACACATCACCTTGTTAGCATAAACTATCTGTTGTGGCTTAGGGATCCAGGTATACAAAGACACGCTTTTTTTCAGACAGGATATTCCAAAGTCTGACAGGTTATCCCCGAGGAGCTGGTCAAGGGCCAGTTCCTTTTTTTGGAATGTGCAGAGTTTGGGCACTCCAAGCCTCCAGTGTTAATCCTTTTCTGCACCACAGGTCAGGTCTTACAAGCATAGGCCTTGCCCTTCTGTCTGTATCTTTTTTTTTTTTTTTGAGATGGAGTCTCGCTGTGTCGCTCAGGCTGGAGTGCAGTGGTGTGAACTCAGCTCACTGCAACCTCCGCCTCCCAGGTTCAAGTGATTCTGATGTCTCAGACTCCCAAGTAGCTGGGATGACAGGCTTGCACCACCACACCCAGTTAATTTTTGTATTTTTAGTAGAGACGGGGTTTCATCATGTTGGCCAGGCTGGTCTTGAACTTCTGATCTCAGTGATCTGCCCGCTTCTGCCTCCCAAAGTGCTGGGATTACAGGCCTGAGCCACCATGCCCAGCCTGTCTATATCCTTTGCATACTTACAGTTTTCCTGTTTTTCATCCTTTTCTACATCATGGGGTCTGAGCCAGGTAAGCAAAGACTAGCTTTATTCTCCTCGTGGTTTTATACACTTGTGGAGCCGGGGGGCTGGAACTCCATTACTATTGTTAGGCTGTTTGTCCCCATCCAAATCTCATCTCCAGTTGTAATCCCCATAATCCACATGTGTCAAGGGTGGGACCTGGTGGGAGGTGATTGGATCATGGGGGTGGTTTTCCCTATGCTGTTCTCGTGATAGTGAGTGAGTTCTCCCGAGATCTGATGGTTTTGTAAGTGTTTGACAGTTCCTCCTATGCACGATGCTCTTTCACCCGCTCCCGGGGAAGATGTGCCTGCTTCCCCTTCCACCATGATTGTAAGTTTCCCAAGGCCTCCCCAGCCATGCAGAACTGTGAGTTAATTAAACCTGTTTTCTGGATAAATTACCCATGAGAATGGACTAATACATCTATGTAGAAACTTGGATTAGCTTGACATTCTCATAGTCAATATTTTGTACTTCTGAGGCTGTGTTCCTGCTCCACTCTCCCTATGAGGTCTTCCTGAGACCCCTTGATGATGGGCTGCATTGGCTGTATGGCTGCTCAGATTAGGGTTTGGAGCATGGATGGCCTATCCTGGGGTCACAGACCTGTACCTCACCTGGCCTGGGACCAGCCTCTCTCTCCTGGCATACCTTGGGATGAATGCCACTACCTTGCAAAGTACTTTACTCCCCTGCTGGGTACAAAGCCTTAACACCTGTGAAGACGAAAGAAGTCTGGGGATTTTGGTTGACCATGAGTACAAATGAAAAAAACAGGGAGGTAGTCATTAAGAAACTATTAGACGGTATGATCTACTGGAAGAGTGACAGCTTTAGTGTCAAGACAGCTGAATTTGAATCCCTGCTTAGCTATTTTCCAGCTCTGTGACCTTGAGCAAGTTATTTTCTCTGTAAATTTCAATATTTTCATCTATATCATGGGAATATTAAAATGGGCCATGGTTAGGATTAGAAATAATGTATACAAAGTGGCTAGTCCAGTGTCTAGCATGCAGTCGGTTGTAATAAATAATGGTTATTGCTAATATTATTTGGCTGTATCAACAGAGTAGCTGTTTCTAGATCAAATAAGGTAGTTGACACACTTCTTAGCTTCATCTGGGGAAACATATTCAATTTGGGACCCTCCACTTTGTGTGTGTGTGTTTGTGTGTGTGTGTGTGCGCACACATGCATGATTAAACATTTAGATATTTCCAAGGATGGTGGTCGGAAAAGCAGAGAATCTGAAAAACATGTCGTATGAGGGAAATGGGAATGTTTATCTTGGCAAAGAGAAAGTTGAGATTGAATTGCTTTTAACTGTTTGTTGGGTCACCCTGTAGAAGTGGAAATAGACACATGGGTTATAGCTCTGAAGGACGTAATTAGACTCAGTGGGGAAACTGGGAGGCCAGATCCTGCCAGAAACAATTCTAGCCATCTAACAATTAGAGCTGTCCAGCAGTAGATTAGGCTGCCTCTGAATTGTCCTGTTCCTGGAATTATCAGAAGATGTGAGACTAGTGGGAGCACTGGGAAGGTTTTGGCTTTGGATGGGAGCCTGGATGAGAATGAACTCCAAGGCTCCTTTGTCTGTAGTGGCCATCTTGCTCGTTTTTCTTGTTAAGTTCCTGTAGGAGGCACCAGTCATAAAAACCCCTTGATATTAAATACCATTATAGCTCTCCCTCTCCCTCTCCCTCTCCCTCTCCCTCTCCCTGTCCGTCTCCCCACGGTCTCCCTCTCCCTCTCTTGCCACGGTCTCCCTCTGATGCTGAGCCGAAGCTGTCCTGTACTGCTGCCATCTCGGCTCACTGCAACCTCCCTGCCTGATTCTCCTGCCTCAGCCTGCCGAGTGCCTGCGATTGCAGGCGCGCGCCGCCACGCCTGACTGGTTTTCGTATTTTTTTGGTGGAGACGGGGTTTCGCTGTGTTGGCCGGGCTGGTCTCCAGCTCCTAACCGCGAGTGATCCGCCAGCCTTGGCCTCCCGAGGTGCCGGGATGGCAGACGGAGTTGCGTTCACTCAGTGCTCAATGGTGCCCAGGCTGGAGTGCAGTGGCGTGATCTCGGCTCGCTACAACCTCCACCTCCCAGCTGCCTGCCTTGGCCCCCCAAAGTGCCGAGATTGCAGCCTCTGCCCGGCCGCCACCCCGTCTGGGAAGTGAGGAGCGTCTCTGCCTGGCCGCCCATCGTCTGGGATGTGAGGAGCGTCTCTGCCTGGCTGCCCAGTCTGGAAAGTGAGGAGCGTCTCTGCCCGGCCGCCCAGTCTGGAAAGTGAGGAGCGTCTCTGCCCGGCCGCCATCCCATCTAGGAAGTGAGGAGCGTCTCTGCCCGGCCGCCCATCGTCTGAGATGTGGGGAGCGCCTCTGCCCTGCCGCCCCGTCTGAGAAGTGAGGAGACCCTCTGCCTGGCAACCACCCCGTTTGAGAAGTGAGAAGCCCCTCCGCCCGGCAGCCACACCGTCTAAGAAGTGAGGAGCCCCTCCGCCCGGCAGCCACCCCGTCTGGGAAGTGAGGAGCGTCTCTGCCCGGCAGCCACCCCGTCCGGGAGGGAGGTGGGCGTCAGCCCCCCGCCTGGCCAGCAGCCCCGTCCGGGAGGGAGGTGGGGAGGTCAGCCCCCCACCCGGCCAGCCACCCCGTCCGGGAGGGAGGTGGGGGGGGTCAGACCCCCGCCTGGCCAGCCGCCCCATCCGGGAGGTGAGGGGCGCCTCTGCCCGGCCGCCCCTACTGGGAAGTGAGGAGCCCCTCTGCCCGGCCACCACCCCGTCTGGGAGGTGTACTCAACAGCTCATTGAGAACAGGCCATGATGACAATGGCAGCTTTGTGGAATAGAAAGGGGGGAAAGGTGGGGAAAAGATTGAGAAATCGGATGGTTGCCGTGTCTGTGTAGAAAGAGGTAGAC
Source organism: Homo sapiens (assembly GCF_000001405.40). NCBI lineage: Eukaryota > Metazoa > Chordata > Mammalia > Primates > Hominidae > Homo > Homo sapiens. Next base: position 57,173,713 of record NC_000004.12, read on the forward strand.
ATGGGAGACTTTTCATTTTGTTCTGTACTAAGAAAAATTCTTCTGCCTTGGGATCCTGTTGATCTGTGACCTTACCCCCACCCCTGTGCTCTCTGAAACATGTGCTGTGTCCACTCAGGGTTGAATGGATTAAGGGTGGTGCAAGATGTGCTTTGTTAAACAGATGCTTGAAGGCAGCATGCTCGTTAAGAGTCATCGCCACTCCCTAATCTCAAGTACCCAGGGACACAAACACTGCGGAAGGCCGCAGGGTCCTCTGCCTAGGAAAACCAGAGACCTTTGTTTACTTGTTTATCTGCTGACCTTCCCTCCACTATTGTCCTGTGACCCTGCCAAATCCCCCTCTGCGAGAAACACCCAAGAATGATCAATAAAAAAAAAAAAAAAAATACGATTATAACTTCCAAGGAGCTGCAAACACCCATGGAATGTAAAACACGAAGGTCTCTTATCCTATACCTAGCTTTCTCCCTAGAATGAAATTTTAACTTGGTTTGGGAGAGAGAGAGTCCCAGCCAGCATTTCTCTTTAGAATGATTAAAGTCTTGGGATCCATCTGGACTCATTCATTTTAACTATTCCATTTCCCAAGAATATCATCTCATTACTTTTTCAATGACCCAATATTTTCAGCACAAGTGAATGAGTCCAGAAAGTCATTTCAGCCATCGATTATTTTTGGTAACCTTCTGATCTGCTCTGAATCCCTTTTCTTTTAATTTCCATTTATGTCCTCGTGTCTCGTCATCTGTTCTAAGCTGAAAATAGTAACTTGGCTTGACCTTATTATCTACCATTTAAGATTTTATAGTCTTTGGTTAAATCTCATCTTAATAAGTGTTCCTAGGCTATAGATTGTGGTTTTTCCTTTACTTTTTTTTTTTTTAAAGGCTGTTCTTTGTCACTCCTATCTATGATGACAGGACCAACATTATGGCCCTTCTCTGAGTATGCCAGAATCTCACTTCATCTTTTTGATAAGAACCATCCTCAACATCAGCTTAGTAAGTTATACCTATTTGCTTAGAAACAAAGAACACCTCCTCTTTAGCCTTGACCTGTGTCCCAATTCTGTTTCTGAATATACCTAAAATCCTACTTACATGGGATTTAAAATGCCACTGGGTAGGGCAACGTACCAAGTGGTATTAGTTAAATCTTAATGTGGCTGAGTTTGTCAGCTTCTTAGAAATAAGTTTTGACAACTGAGAAGAGATTGGGCAATAGAACTCTGGATTTTTTTTTTTTTGCTAGACTATAACTGTAACTATAACTATAAAACTATATATATACATATACATATTTGAGACAGGGTCTTGCTCTGTCACCCAAGCTGGAGTGCAGTGGTGCAATCATGGTTCATTGCAGCCTTGACCTCCTGGGCTCAAGTGATCCTCCCTGCCTCATCCTCCTGAGTGGCTGGGACTATAGGTGCATGTCACCATGCTAGGCTAATTTCAAAATTTTTTGTAGAGACTGAGTCACATTAAGTTGCCGAGGCTGACCTTGAACTCCTGGGCTCAAGTGTTCTGCTCACCTTGGCCTCCCACATTGTTGGGATTACAGGCATGAGCCACTGCGCCTGACCAAAGAATGTCTTTTAAAGCAAATATTTATTGAATGCATAGATGTGATTGGCAGTATAACATTGAAAAAATCATGAAGAAGACACAGTAGTGGACCTCAAGGACCTGCTATGCAGGAGTGTGGGGGTTTGGGTTAAGACCTGAGAAAACATGGAAAGGAGAGTTTCAGATCATTAGTGACAAACTTCAGATTTTGAGAGCAGGATCTGGGTGGCCTAAAGTAGTTTTCATACTCAGAAGTGGAGAGAAAGGAGACAGAAGGTGGTAGAAAAGAGTAATTTTCTTTTGGCTCCCTGGCGTGCTTTTTTTTCATGGATGAATCAGAGTTTCTTTAGATTTTCAATTATCTTTCTAGTGTGTCCTGCCTAGCTGGGCATTACTCAAAACCCATCCAGTCCTCTGAGGCTTGAAGGGACTTCTGATGCATGTCCTTAGGGCCTGTCTTTGTTGGTAAATCCAATTTGAGAGGAGGCAGCAAATCAACAGGAAAGGAAAATATTTCCCTTTCTTAATGGTAAAGCCCTCCTCTTTGTTCTTTGTGCCACAAAGTCTTTTTTATGTTCCAGGACCCAGCTCACCTTCCACGTCCACTATGGAATCTTTTCTGATCACCCAGCTGGACTCGAGCTTTGGGTGGCTGCAGTGCTGTCTGCTGTCACCCTGAGTGCCTGAGCACTCCTATGGTGCTTACCAGTCCCTGGTTGGCATTACAGGTTTTCCTTTCCTGTGTAGGACAGGAGGCTGGCCATAGTCATATCACCATCATCAACCTCAAATAGTCAGAGAAGGGCGACCAGGTCAAGGTGCTGAGGATGAAGTCCAGTACTATGCCCTGCCTTCAGTCCAGGGCTTACAATCTGGGCTGGTCTTTCTCAAACGGGTTTGCTGGTGTTACTTGAGGTCTATGAATTCTGTGAGAACTTTAAAAAATTGTGTTTATCTGTCAATAATAATAAAACATTTTATCAGTTATAAATACAGAAATTATTTTTTTATAATGATAATTTGCTATGGAGAGGCATTTTCTTATTTATTTATTTATTTATGTAACTTTAATTTTAATTTTTTTGAGACAGGGTTTTGCTCTGTCACCCAGACTGGAGTGCAGCGGTGTGATCTCTGCTCACTTCAGCCTTAATCTTCCAGGCTCAAGCGATCCTCCCACCTCAGCCTCCCCAGTGGCTGGGAATACAGGCGCACACCACCATGCCCAGCTAGTTTTTGTAATTTTTGTAGAGATGGGGTTCTTCCATGTTGCCTAGTGGTGAATTTACTTTTTTTTTTATGACCATATTATTCAGGGGTTTTACAGACAATTTCTGGTACCGAAAGACTATTATTTCTCCAGAAGAGGTTCTTATATTACTCAAATATGAGAGACATTGGTTTAGTCAATTTCATTCTGTCATTAACAAATTCATTCATTCATCAATAAACATTTATGGTACGCCTATTTATTAGATGCCAGGCCGTTTGTCAGGCACATGAGCAAGTGGTCAGGACCTGTTCTGGGCTCCAGAATCCTCACTGCTCTTCCTGACTTACCAGGTAGCCCCTACCGCAGAGTTCAGGCTATCGACTTCTCTATGCCTCACTTTCTCCACCACTAATAAAAGGGTAAGAGAGTATATCTATTTTTGTCTTTTGGAGGGGTAGAAAAACATATCCTAGGATTTATTTAGTTATTTATTTTAATTAAAAATTTTTTTAATATTGCCCTGAGAAAGCAGATACCTTAGGATTTAAAAACCAAACAAAACCCAATCGAAGTATTACTTGTTTCCAAATTTGGTGTTTTTGAGTCAGAGACAAGCGCTAAATTCACATTTCTTTCCACCTCCCACTAACCTCAGTGGGAGGGATCCAGGACCCATGGAAGGTCTCAATCAGCTCTAACAGAAATGGGTCCTACACCGTAGAGCAGATTTTTCACAAGAGCTGTTTTTAGATTTGTTTATGCCGCCACCGACCTCCAATTTCACATTTCAGAAACTCCCGTGGGGCTGAGGAGTTACTCCCTGGGAATCTTCTCTGCTTAGCAGGAGCTCAAGAGCAGAGTGCTGATGGGTCTCATGTTTAAAGAACAATCTGTCACAAAGCTAAGGGGCTTATTACTCATCCTAACACTGAGCACTAAATAAACACTGGAGTAGATAGAGACATAACCTGGGACCTTTGAGCATAGAGCTGATATGAATAGTCATTAAAGTAGCACATTGGCAAACCCACTACCCACTGGGGCCATTCTTGTTGGAAAAGTCTGATCATCTGGCATCCAGTTGCAATGCAATCAGTAAGAACCATTCCATGGTGCTTAAACATGTCAGAGTAAATCTCTAACAGGGCCACTACCACCCCGGAAGAGTAAGTGGGATGCACTTTGCTTTAAAGGGATACCTTCCTTTCTCAATATGCTCACAGACAGACGGGGAGCCAGGATCACGCAATCCAGTTGGGCAGATTTTTTTCTGATTCTGAGCGTCGCATTTAGCAGGGCAAGTTTTTGTTCCCAAAGCTTCAAGGTCTGGAGCCAGACCTCCACTGGTACATGAATCACACTGTGTTTGGGCATCCTAGAAGACATAGGGTGGGCCTACCAGTGGGCCAGCTTATTTACCAGGGCGTGCTTGCTCTCTGTGGAGCAAGAACTACTAGGGCTTTTATGGGGACATGCTGCCTTCATTCATCCAGCAAAAATTATTGAGTGTCTACTTTGTGCCAGACACCACACTAGATATCAGAGACACAGAGAGAGATAAGGCCCAGTTCCTACTTTTTAGGTGCTTATAATCCAGGTGGAGACACAGACAAATAACAACACAGAGCAGTAAGAGTGATGACAAGGGAAATGGAGTCCTTTTCTTCTTGCCAGTCTTGGAGGGTTAGAAAAGCCTTGTTGGAAGGTGGATGTTCAAACTGAGACCCAGAGAATGTACGAGTTAATAGGTAAAGGCAAGAGGATGGCAAACTGTACAAGTCCCAAGGCGTGGGACAGCATGTAGATCTGAAACTGCACATATTTCAAGATTGGCTGCTCAGAGAGTGCAAGATGATATGTTGACAAATGAGACAGAAGAGGTAAACTTCCTTGATAACATTGCCCCTTACTTATTTTTCTCTGCACTCCTTCCCCAAAGCAGGTATGGCAGGTACATCTGTGTGTGCATATGTGTGTGTGTGTTTGCATTAAAAAACAACAACTCCAGCAAACGTTTCAATTCAAATATTTAGTTTGCTTGGCTGAAAACTATTTAGAAGGTAAAGTGTTTGCTCCAGGTCGGGTTGGGGAAAATATCACATGTGAGGCTAGTTATCACAGGGGCTGTGACCTGGTCCTTGCCAAGCTTCCAAATGTTCGGAAGAAGTTTTAGTCTTTAAGAAAGCAAGCTACCAGGGACTCTCAGTATAGAAACAGAAAGGACTGTGCCAGAGGGATGCTAGGAAAAACCCTCACAGTTTGCCTCATATGAATGTAAGACCTCTGAATGAATAGTTGTGTATCCTATGGGACCTACAGAAACAGAAATTGTGGTCCTGTGAATAAGATGGTGACTTCTATGTGACAACACAGCTTGTTAAATCAAGCTGGCAGATGTAATTAACAATAAGCACAGTATAAAGTCTTAGCATGGCAGTTTACATAGTCATAGAATGTTGCAATAGTTAACATATTGGTTAGATATTACAATAAAGTAACAGTGGATTTAATAAAATAAGAGGATTATTTCTTCTCTCATAGAAGTCTGAGCTGGTAGGTGGTCCAAAGGTGGTAGGTGGTAGGCAGCTCTGCTTTATGAGTTTGTACAGGACCCAGATACCTTCTATCTTGTTCAACTACCATCTAGGGTTGAAGATGACTCACTACCACCATGTCCAACCTCCAATTTGAAGGAAAATGGAAAGGGGAAAGTTGAACCAACAGTACCTTTATGAAGGCATGGCCTGAAAATGGAAGATTATCACTTCTCTTTGCATCACACTGGCAGGTAATTGGTTGCTTGGCCACATGTAGCTGCAATAAAGGCTGGGAACTGCAGTCTCTAGTTGAGCGGGGTATGTTTAGCTAGAGTTTGGGGTGTTATTGCCAAGGGGAAGAAGAGAAGAATGGATAGTGGTGAACAATTAGTCAACTGTCATAGATGTTTATCTCTATCATTTGATCCTCTCAACAACCTTGTTAGAAAGCAGGCACAGATTATTTACCATCCTCATTTTTGCAGATGAGAAAATTGAGGTGGAAGATTAAGGGACTCCATCAATATCATACAACGAAGCCACATGGCATAGTGGGACAACTGCAAAAACTTGGTCAGGAGGTGCCCTGGTTGGGCACAGTATTAACCACTGAGTTTTCTGAAATGTATTCCTCAGCCTGGGAACAGAATTTCCCAGTGCTTGCAGCTTCTTTCAAGAAAAAGCTTCCCGGTAATCACGGGTTAGAGGTCGGAGGAGCACAAATTCAAGGGCATTTTGAACATGGCCCCACATGGATGTGATCTGGCTAACCCATCTTTTTTTTTAAATTATTTATTATTATTATTATACTTTAAGTTCTAAGGTACATGTGCACAACGTGCAGGTTCGTTACATATGTATACATGTGCCATGTTGGTGTGCTGCACCCGTTAACTCGTCATTTACATTAGGTATATCTCCTAATGCTATCCCTCCCCCTTCCCCCCACCCCATGACAGGCCCCAGTGTGTGATGTTCCCCACCCTGTGTCCACGTGTTCTCATTGTTCAATTCCCACCTATGAGTGAGAATATGCAGTGTTTCGCTTTCTGTCCTTGCGATAGTTTGCCCAGAATGATGGTTTCCAGCTTCATCCATGTCCCTACAAAGGACATGAACGCATCCCTTTTTATGGCTGCATAGTATTCCATGGTGTATATGTGCCACATTTTCTTAATCCAGTCTATCATTGTTGGACATTTGGGTTGGTTCCAAGTCTTTGCTATTGTGAATAGTGCCGCAATAAACATACGTTTACATGTGTCTTTATAGCAGCATGATTTATAATCCTTTGGATATATACCCAGTAATGGGATGGCTGGGTCAAATGGTATTTCTAGTTCTAGATCCTTGAGGAATCGCCACACTGACTTCCACAATGGTTGAACTAGTTTACAGTCCCGCCAACAGTGTAAAAGCATTCCTATTTCTCCATGTCTTCTCCAGCACCTGTTGTTTCCTGACTTTTTAAAGATTGCCATTCTAACTGGTGTGAGATGGTATTTCATTGTGCTTTTGATTTGCATTTCTCTGATGGCCTGTGATAGTGAGCATTTTTTCATGTGTCTGTTGGCTGCATAAATGTCTTCTTTTGAGAAGTGTCTGTTCATATCCTTTGCCCACTTTTTGATGGGGTTGTTTGATTTTTTCTTGTAAATTTGTGTAAGTTCTTTGTAGATTCTGGGTATTAGCCTTTTGTCAGATGGGTAGGTTGTAAAAATTTTCTCCCATTCTGTAGTGGCTAACCCATCTTTGCCTCTTCCAGTCCAAGCACAGACAATGAGCAGAGAGGAGGACAATGTGGGTTAATGGAAAGAACACTGGATTGGGGTCAGGAGACCCCAAGAACATTGAATTGGAGTCATTTTTAGCTCACATCAATTGCATGCCTGTGAAGTGACAGCTACTGAGCTTGACACTGGCATGTCTTCTCATTTAATCTCAGAACAACACTGTGAGGTAGATGTTACTATGTATATCTTACAGAAGACAAAACTGAGGCCCAAAGAGCTGAGTGGCCCAAAGTTATATAGCTTGTGAGAGGTAGGGCTGGAATTCTAACCTAGACCTTCTGACTGCTAACCCCAAGCCCTTCTACAAAATCATACTGTTCTTTACGCCAAGTAACTGCTGGGCAAGCTGGAACTGAAATGGGATATGTCACCAGTCACACGGATGACCCGTAACACGTCTACCTGGGGCCCAGGTACTTAGGTTGTGTACTTTGTGAGTCTGCTTTTTGTGTGTGAAGGAAACCCGTATATCAGAGGTTGGATCCCCTAAATTGGCCTTACCCACACATTCTGCTTGATCTACCTTCTCTGGGCTATGCTTTTTTCTTTGTTAATTTTCTTCTCTTTTCAAAATTGCTGAAGGAATGTATGTTCATAAAATTCAAATAATGTAGAAAAGTCAGAGATCAATTAGGATGCTTCCCTAACCTCTCTAACTCCTTTTCCAGTCCCTTTCCAGAGGAGACCACTTTCAGCAGTCTGGGGAGCACCTTTGGATGTTTCTTGTCTAAGCATTTATTTTTGTCAAGATTTTTAAAAAGTAAAAATGGGAATGTGTGTGCTGTTTTGCAGTTCACTTTTTCCACTTCACAATACCTTGGGTTTATCTTTCTATACCAGTATATTAAAACTGATCTCATTATTGCTGGTGGACATGTGTTGCACTAGACACACACCTGACTTCAGGTCCTGCTCCGTTTGGTATTTTATGATGTGTGGTTAATGGTGTGGAGTTTAGATCCATTCAACCTCCGTCCTGAATCCTGGATCCATCACTTATTAGCTGCGTGATCCTGGGAAACTGACTTAATGGCTCCATGCCTCAGTTTCTTCGCCTGTAAAGTGGGGTTAATATCGGTAACCTACCTCATAGGATGCTAGGAGGACTGAGTTAACGCATGTAACACATTTACAACAGAGCCTGCAACATATGCTATATGAGTGCTAGATGAGGTTTAGCTATTCTTTTCACACCTGAATACTATTTCATAATATATTTAGTCTATTACTTGACATATAAGTTGTTTGTGATTCTTTTTTTTTTTTTTTTTTGCTAAAACAAACACTGTTGTGATCAGTATACGTTTACATATCCCTTTGTGCACATGTGGAAGTGTTTCTGTAGAATAAATTTCTTGGAATAGCATTAGTGGGCCTGAGGGTGTGGGGATTTTCAGTGGTAACATCAGTTGGTGGGCTCTGCTTGACCATGCTTTTCTTGGTTCACTCATATCAGCTCACCCAGTAGCAGCTGTTGGGCATCCTGCCAGTGTCCTTCCGTCACATGTCCAGTGGTTGGCAGAGCTATGTGGCAGTAAGCATTCCTCTTTGTCTTCCCAGGGCCTGGCCCTTTGTCAGCGTTCATTAGACTGGATGGCTTGGCTTCCTGGTGATCCTGATGGAGATTCTGAATTGCTACTTTATGTAAAGCATGGTGCCCGGGGGAGACATGCCCAGGGCCAAGAACCTTGATCAGACCCACATGCCCAGCGTAAGGCTGAGGATGAGATTGTACAAGTGGTCAAGAGAATCAACATGGTTTCACCCTTGAATCAGTCCAGGTTCACTAGGGGTTCCATGACATGGCACTTTTTAACTTGGCGATCATGTCTTTGCTCAGTGATATGGGGTAGGTGTGGATGTGATGATTCACACGATGCAGGGATCGAGTGCACCTCCCAAAAAACAGGAAGTGAAATAAAGCGGCACTGTGTATTGCTGCTATGACATTTCTCTTGATCTTATTAACACAGGAGGGGCTAAGCAATAAATGTGATAATCTCACTTGGGGAATTTGGGGTTGGTTGTTTATCCAATCCTTGAACATTTATTGAACAGTTATTTTGTGTCAGACACGGTTATTGATGTTGGGGTATGGAACTATGGACTAAGGCATAATTTCAACCTTTGAAAACTCCACAGAAGCTTTAAGAACCCTTGAGGAGACTTAATTTTTCAAGAACAATGGGAATGAAGATATAATACTGCAGGTGGGGCCTGAGCTCCACCCTGGATGAGGCTGGGGGATGGGTATGCATGGGATTATTGGGGTCCCTTCACACAGAAATGCTCACTGGAGAGGCTTTCCTGTACAAATATTAGAAATGTAAAATTACATGTTAATTTCTTTTTCTGTGCTTAGAAAAGGTGCAGGATATATAATTTAGAAAAATGTAAAGGAAAGTTAAAGATCACCTATAACTGTCTCATCCCAATGCAACCATTGTGGAATGTACGTGTATTTATTTCTTTATCATGTTTGTATGTAGGTGCATTTTAAAAGCAAAATTAGGAATCATACTTCATATTCTGCTTTGTGACTTGCTTTGTCACTCAAACTGCATTAGAAGCATTTCACAAATCTTTGAATATTCCTTTACTACATGATATGTAATGGATTATGGTGTTCTGTTATATATTATAGTCAAGTTAGTCAATTAATGATTTGAAAGGGCACACTGGTTAATTATTGTTGTCTTTTCTCCTACGCCTCCTGGTTTTGGCTTTTATTATTTTGTAAAGATGCAGGAGAAATCTTGAGTTCTGAGTGGTTATCCCATCCTTTGTGAACACTGCTGTCAGGCACACAAAACAACATGGGCTGGGCATGGTGGCGGGCGCCTGCAGTCGAGAGGCTGAGGCAAGAGAATCTCTTGAACCTGGGAAGTGGAGGTTGCAGTGAGCCGAGATCGTGCCACTGCATTCCAGCCTGGGCGACAAGAGCAAGACTCCATCTCAAAAAACAAACAAACAAACACACACACACACACACACACACACACACACAAACCCACAACATGATTCCAGTTTCTATGCTCATTTTAGAATCCTGCACCTGACCACCACGCAAAAATTCCTCTGGATAACTTCATCTGGGCCTTCCCTCCGGTGGAACTGGAAGATTGTTTTCCAAACTCCACTCCTTTTCCATTTGTGTTGTCCACTCACCGAGTGCCCCTTCTTCTTTCATTTTTAGACACCTCGGCTGCAGCTGACTCCAGAAACATATTCCCTCTTTAAGTCTCGGCTCCACAGGTTGCCTCTTCTCCTCATCATTTCTCGTTTCTCACCGTGAAAATCTTTGCTTTCTCTCTTTATGGCTTCCTGAGACCCGAAAATAGAGGTAATTTAAATTTGGTAATTATGATGACAACAAAACAACTTATGTTGAAATGCAGAGTTTAAAATGCCAGAGTTTCCTACTGTTGAGATCTCTCTGCCTTCATTCTGTGGATACCGCTGTGGGAGCTTACCTGAGTCTGCCCCAGATCAGGAGGCCAAGCATGAGGCGATGAGAAACAGCTTCTGCACAGAGGTGGTGACTTCTACCTCTTGGGGGATGGGGGCTGGTCAGCCAGAGCTACCACATTCAGGTTCAGCCCCTTCAGACCTTCCTAAGCTCCAGGTGGAATCTTTGCCTTCCCACCTTCTGGACCCTGCACGGGGAGGGTCTCGGGCTGTAGCCACGAGGCGGCATTAGGCAGCTAGAATCACAGAGTGGGGACTGGGGGATGGGGTTTCTTCTCTGACAGTGGTTAGGTGAGTCACTCTCTGTGGGCTGCTCATGGCAGCCTCTTCCTCCATCCTTGAAGCGGGCCTTCCAAAGACTTCACCTGCTCCGTTATAAAAGGCTTTGAGTTCTGCAAGAGGCAGCTGTGAATGTATTAGCATCCTGCTTTCTGTATGAACATCCTGCTTTCTGGCACATGGCTAGGCCACCGCTTAAACAACCGGCGCCAATTCACAGTGAAAAAAGATCTGCTCAAAGCTGGTTTCAGAAGGAGGACACGGGAGGCGTATAATATCGAGCCCGTCTCCCGACGGTGCCATCTGTTCTCATTAAGGCAGCCACAGCGCCGAAGGAAGGGCCTCCAGGTGCACACAAGGAAGCCTGCTCGCCTTGTTATCCTCTCAGAGACTTTGCCTTTTGTTTTGTTTAGTTTTGTTTTTGTCTGGCAGGCTCAAAAAGACACTGTTCTACTTTCCGCAGAAGAATCACTCTCACATTTTAAGAAATTAAGTCTCTGGGAAAAAAAATATTGTTTGAGAGGGCTTGTAATGGCTCCTTGACCACATGCTGTGCCTGCCAATTTATAACAGAGAAATATTACAGAAGTTGGGATCCAAGGTTGGTGTGCACAGCCATTGCTTAAAGAGGGATGGATGCTTCCTGGGGACAATGATCTTCCCCCGGGCCCCCCAGCATTTATTCAATCTGGAGAGAATTGTCTGCCAGGCTCCCACTCCTACATCCCAGGAAGAGCTGGGCACATTCATCATCTTGTGTATTCAGAAAGTGATGATAATTCCTCTGAGAGCCAACTGGGCTGGGGAGGGTGTGATCAAACTTCTGCTGGCAATCAGACTGCCTTTGGGGAGGGGAGTCTCCATTTTGCAGGTATGTCTCTACTGCCAGTCTGCAGGGAAGCCTACCCAGTCAACAATATGTTACCATGAAAATCTCCTTTTGGGGGTATCTTATATCACATTATAGGGAAAGGCAGAGGAAATATCAAAAGCATTTGGCCCTGAATTTAAAATGATCTTTCCGTAGATTTTTATAGACTTTGTTTTACAAGATTGGTGTAAGGCCTAAAGCATGTCTTCAGGCCTCTTACATATCCTCCTTCTCTCTGGGGGTTTCCTTCCTGCCTGCCCTCAACATCCCTTACCACACACCTATTCTGTTTCTCCCCACATGCATGGTTTGTATATTATGTCCTGTCAGTCAATTCCTACTAAAATGTTAGCTGATGTTAGGGTATTCTCGTGGGAAGATATTTGCATTTTAATAGGTGGCTTGAATATAGAAAAGCTTCATCCTAAAGTTGCAAAACTTTAGGGGAAAAACAGGCAATTTTGGATAGAGTGAGGGATGAGGGGATGAGAAGGGGGAATGTATGTGAGGTCAGAGACATTCTCACATCTCACTGTGCATCATCCATAGAACTTGCCTTTCTTTTCTCTCTTTTTTTTCTTTGTCCCTGACCTCAGAGTAAATGGCACCTCACACACTCTTGTGGGCCAGAAAGAAAGTCTTTCATAGGCAGATAGGAAATAAGACAGCAGTTTTTCCAAGAGTACTGAAATGCAACAAGTCTACTGGTCTGTTGAGTTAAAAAATGGTCAGTTTGGTTGTTCTTGTTCATCTAGTTCAGCTGATTGGTTCGGTAGAAGCAATAGAGTACTGTACTACAGTATAGTAAAACTGTTGCTTCACAGCAGCCATCCCTAAACTTTTTGGCACCAGGGACTGGTTTCATGGAAGACGTTTTTTTTTCCACAGAAGGGGCGGGAGATGGTTTTGGGATGAAACTGTTCCACCTCAGACAAGATCATCAGCTATTAGCATATTAGATTCTCATAAGGAGAACACAACCGAAATCCCTTGCATGAGCAATTCACAATAGGGCTTGCACCCCTATGAGAATCTAATGCAGCTGCTGATCCGACAGGAGGCGGAGCTCAGGTGGTAATGCTGCTCACTTCCTGCTGTGGGGCCCTGTTCCTAACTCATACCAGTTTGTGGACCAGGGGCTGGGGACCCCTGATTTACAGCACTAAGTTACCAGTTTCCACGTCGGTGGGATTGGCGGAAACTTTTCAAGCTCTGTGTGATGGAGTAACACAGGGTAGAAAGAGTACCCTTGTGAAAAGCCTGGCTGCATCTGCCCCTTTATAAAGGAGACAATTGAAGCTAATTTATTTTTAAAACACAAAATGAAATTTGGTTTGAAATTTGAGGAGGAGATACATTGATGTTGCCTCTGAGAAGGAGTCAAAGACCAATAAAAGGTGGTTCTTTCTGTTCCCAAACCCAGAAGCCAATAGGGGCCACAGAAGGAGCACAGTGCCACGGTGACCATGCTGCAGCATTGTCAGATTTAGCAAGAAGAAATACAGGGTGCCCAGGGAAGTTTGAATTTCTGATGAACACTGAAGACTCTTTTAGTATGTATGATTTTTGGAACATATTTATAGAAAAAAATTATTTATCTGAATTCAAACTGAGTGTCCTATATTTTTGTCTGGCAATCTGGTACCATACTGCCCCTTTGTAATTCCTTGTATATGTTGTTAAAGAATAATTTTTCTGAAGGGTAAAATTATAACTCTTGTATGATTATAAAATGAACATGTGTCAAAGATTTTTTTAGTTCACTGATTAATGAGCGAATCAGTAAGATGTCACAACTGGTTAGAAGAATTCAGAACACACACACACACACACACACACGCACGCACACACACAATCAGGAAAGGCTGAACTGAATTTGTTAATAGTTGCAAAACTACCCAAATTCCTAGGACAATAATCAACTGCATTCCACTGGGCAAAATTAATTTGCGTTTCTATGGACAAGAATCATTTGCATTACTCTCAGTTTTCTACAACTTGCAGTAGTTGTAAAATAGGCCAAAGACAATGAACACTACAGAATAACCAGGAAGGGTGTGTTAGAACATCCATGAATCATCTTTGCCTATTTCAAAGCCTTTCACAATGGAAACATTTGACAGTGTTGTGCTCTCTCCTATCTCGGGCCTTTGCACCTGATGGTTCCTCCACTTTTTTAGTTGTCTTGAACTTACCCTTGACTGTGGGAGATCAGGATATGCCACTCCAAAATATGCCTCTTTGGCATGAGGATTGTTGAGCTGACCGCAAATAAGGAGAAACACATGCAGGAAAGCACCCTGCTCTTTCCCTATTTGCCTCAAATCAGGACATACATTTATGAAGACAAAAGACATCCCACCTCCTCTTGCTCCCCAGGCAAACAGAGATTAACCACTTAAGACAACTTTGGATCCTTACATGCCTGGAGAGAGCACCAGAGGAACCTACATTAACAAGCTTCACCAACTAGCCTTTATCTGCCAATTATTTGCCTTTCCAAAAGTTGCTGCCCCTAAGGACTCAAAGTTCTTTTCCTTTGTGTCACAAATCTAAAAACGTACTGTTCCTTGTTGAAGATACTATATAAATTGGTATTCAAAGCCACCTCTTCGAAAGTTTCTTATTCTCTGGGTTTCTCCCATGTATGTATGAAATATACGTACATCAAACAAACATCTGTTTGTTTTTCTCTCGTTAACCTTTTTTTTTTTGTTTGTTACAGGGGACTGTTCTAAGAACTTATAAGAGTTAAGAAAAAAAATTATCTTCAAACATCATTACCTCTGGAAAGCTCTTCCTGACCCACAAACTAGGTTGGGTTCATGTGCTACAAGCTCTCACAGGACCATGTTTCCTTCATTAGGGCATTTATGTGAGTTTATAATTCATCCTCCTTACTGAGGTTTCTAAGTCCTTGCATGATCTGACCCCTGCACCCATCAGCTTCCCTTTCAATAACTGTGCTCTGGTCATACTTCTCTCCCTTCTGTTCCTCGACCATAACAAGTTCTTCCCTGCCTTAAGGACTTTGCACCTGTTGTTCCCTGTGCCCGGAATATTTTTTCTCTTGGCTCTTGCAAGGCATGTTTCTTTTCATCCGTCAGGTCTCAGTTTGAATGTCAGAAAAGCCTCTCCTGATTATCTTATCTAAAGATGCTCCCTTCTCCACCCTCACTTTCTATTCTAGTGATTCCTCAGCCTTAGCACAGATTAGAATCACCTGGCAGGCCTGATAAAACAAAGGTTGCTGGGGCCCATGGCCAGAGTTTTTGATTCAGCAGGTTTGGAAGCAGCATGAAGTTCTGTGTTTTACCAAGTTCTCAGTTGATGCTGATGCTGCCAGGATGGGCATCACTCTTGGAGAAACACTGCTCTGAGTGTTTTCTTTCAACACCTGACATTATTTTCCCCCTTTGCTGATTTGCTTTCTGTCTCCCATAGAGCTGAAAGTTCCACACGAGCAGAGATAGTGATGCTCCTATTTTCTGATTCATCTACGGTACTAAGAACAGTGCCTTATATAAAAGAAGTTTAATGATTATTTGATGAATGAATGAATGAACCATTTTCTATTTTTTTGTTTTGTATTGTAACAAAGGGTTTGCTTACCAAATTACTGTTGAACTGAGGTGCCAGAACCAAGTTATAGAGATTGGCTTTCATCACTAAGATATGTTTGTGGAAGAGTAGTTGTCTTAATTTAATAAACCACAACAATATTTGACCAGTAACTTGAATAAAGACAAGTGCCTACTGCGGCCTACACTTTCCATTAGCACGCCTTCCTGCTTAGGGTCAATGTCATTAACCAACAGTTGGTTAGATGACATCAGGGCTTTAGGTGCTATTGACAGGTCTCAAGAAGATATGAGTTTTGCCAAGACTGGTAGCTATGATGAGCATTCAGAAGACATATATGGCAAGTGGGGTGAGGGAAGGGCTTGTGCTTTGGCTTTAAGCATGCCTCATGGATGAAGCAGCTTGGGTAAAGGAAGGGAGAGAGAGGAAGCAGGGAGAATCCTTCCTCCAAGCTAGGTTATAGGCAGTGCTCTCACATCCCTGGTCTTGGCAGGTCCTAACTCCAGGCCTCCTGATGCCCATATTCTGTTCCAAAGACCACAGTCCAGGCTTTAGGGCATAGCCTCAGGCTCTCCTACCCACTAACCCTCTAGGTTCTGTTTGTTTCCCCCCTTCTACTCTCTTCTATGCCATTCCTCTAGGCTTTTACCTTGCCATGTGACAGGCTTATGTGGTAAACTAATGGGTCCTAATGACTGCCACACACACACACACACACACACACACACACACACACACCCCTATATATAAGGCCACATGCGGTGGTTCACGCCTGTAATCCCAGCACTTTGTGAGGCCGAGGCGAGTGGATTGCTTGAGCTCAGGAGCTTGAGACCAGCCTGGGCAACATAGTGAATCCCTGTCTCTACAAAAAAGTTCAAAAATTAGCCAGGCATGGCGGCGCTCACATGTAGTCCCAGCTACTTGGGAGTCTGAGGCAGGAGGATTGCTTGAGTCCAGGAGGTCGAGGCTGTAGTGAGCCATGTTCATGGCCTGGGTGACAAAGTGAGACCCTGTCTCAAAAAAATATTTATATATCCATATGTATCTCCTTGGGGTGTGTGTGTGTAGTGAGACACAATATGGCATAGTGCCTAAAAGCATATACTCTGAAGCCAATCCTATGTTTGAATCTTTTTTCTGCTAAATACTGTGTGTCCCTGAGAAAGTTGCTTACCCATTCTGTTCTTCATATTACGGGGTTAACAACAGCACTAAATCATAGGGTTGTTGTAGATATAAAAGCGATAATAATTGTAAAGGGTTTAGTTCCTGTGCCTTGTAGCTACCAGGATAATAGGCCTAATAGACAGCACCCTATGGAAACAGCTTTCCATTTTAACAAGGGACTTTGGTAAACACATGCGCTGAGTACAACACTCTTGGAAGATCAGATATTTGATGGCATTCAGATGACAGCATGTGAGCAGATGCCTATTCTGTCTGGGTGTTAGGGGACAGAGCACTAGGTGACTTGGCTGCTGTCTCTGATCTTAAAAATTGCTCAGACCCTGGCAATTGAGGATAAGACAATAATAGCAATGTTGTATTCAGGAGCGTTGCTTTAAATAATCCTTCTCCCTAATAGCTTTGCCCCTGGCGTGTGACAGGTGTTTACATTATTAAGTAAAAGCATTTAAACAGCGACCTCCTTGGTATAAGGGTGAAGGAGATTAAAATCCAAGCAGTGCTCCAGCTATTTAAATCAATGAGACTTGTCAGATCTGTAACACATGAGCTACTTAGAGGGCGCAGGCACCTATTGTTTTGGAGCTTCGACTAATATCTCAATATGCTCCCTCCCTCCAAGTCTAGCCAGGCCCTGGGATGCTCATTAAAGGCTGGTCTGACCACGGCCTCTTTCCCTGTGGAAGCAGCATTAACTAACTCTTGGCTAGATGCGTGGCAAATAGTTATGCTATTAGGGAGGATCAGAGCTTGAGTTGATTCCTGCTTAGAGAAATGACCTTGCACGGAATTCCAGCGGTTAAGTTCCTTAGCTAACCAGAAGCAGGGACCATAAACATTGTCCCCTTCTTCCGCTAGGGGGTGCTAAACCAGGCTGCTTGGCTTTGCCCACAGCCATCCTTTCTTGAGTTGTGTTTTCCCAGTCTTTAGCTATGACATTGACAACTTCAGGTCCACCTGCTGCATTGAGGAACCAAGTTTCTGAAACTTAAATCTCTCTCTTTTTTAAAGCTTCATGCTCTCATCATGAACAAGAAACCTCTCTCTTCCTTAGTAATCAAACTTAGATCCTTCATTTGTGTCAACGGAAGGGAAGTCTCCACGTAAGAAGAGCAGCTGGACCTTAAAGATCCAACTCTTATTCCTCAAGATTTATTGTCCCCTTGGAGGTCTCTAGCTAATTTCTGCAGGTCCTACAAGGCTGGCTTCAGAGGGAGCTGATTCATTATTAATTCTCCAGTTCTAAGCAGGCGAACAAGGTGGGGGACACTTGAACCTTTTAATTCCTTGGATTCACAGCTGAGCCAGGCTGGCCACAAAAGGAACTGCACACAGGCAGGGTTACAAGGCAAAGTTTACTTTTCTTCAATTTATGGCCTCATATGTCTGCCTGTCTGACTCATGGAATGTTGCCAGGTGGAGGGTTCCTGATGCCAAGAGACCGCTTAAGCCTCATCTGTGGAAGTGCTGGTTCAGCAGAGGGTGAAGCACTTTCTTCCTGGGTGGTCTCAAGTTCTCTTTTCCTGGTGATTGACTTTGGGAAGTTCTTCCTGTCACAGGAAAGCCCTACTTCTATCCATAGCAGCAGGTGAGGCCACAGCCTTTAGTCTCTACATGACTTCTTTGTCAAAATGCAACATCAAAGGGTTCACAAGGAAAAGAGACCCATGCAAATAATCCCTGGCTGCTCACAGTGTCAGGACCAGCAGCACAAGTATCCCCTGGGAGCCTATTAGAAATGCAGAATCTCAGGCCCCCAGCCCTTTTGAAACAGAATTTGCATTTTAACAAGCTGCCTAGATAGTTTGTGTGCATGCTGCAGCTTGGGAAATAGTGACAGAGCAGAGAGACAGCCTTTTGTCTACACTGTCTCTTTCCACCACAAGAAACAACTGCATTAAAGCTTGGTTCAAGGAAAAGTCCTGTGATGTCCCTGTCCTTTGGAGCTGAGGAATTAACATGGGCTCTGTGGGGTTTTTCTGGAGGATGGCAGAATTGTTGGGGATGCTTGAACTTCTGAAAATGTTTGAAGGGAGAAGGAATGTAACGAACCTTCTGCTCAGAGCAAAGCAATGAGACCGCATCATGGGTTAGAGACCACTGCACAAGTTGCTTTGCTTATTTCTATAATTGTGGTCAGTACCTCTGCCATCTGCCATCTTCCTACAGCAGTGTGTAGGCCTCTAGGAGGCTTTAGCAAGATCAGCACCCAGGTGGAGGCCTCTTAGAAGAAAAAACCCTGTCAAAGTGCAGGGGACTCCCAGACAATGCAACATTCATTTAGGCCAATCAATTCTGTCAAAAATTCATTCGATGAAAATAGTACCAAGTGGGTACTCAACTGCTTAGCCAATTTAGTCTCCACAGCAACTCTGAGGCTACAGGTAAATACAGTCTCAGGCACGGAAGGAAATCTGGTATTTATTCAGAGAGGCAGTAGACATCCCTCTGTCCCTGACTTGCTAGCTATGTGACCCAAGGCAAGTTACTTACCTTCCCCAACCAGTAGCTTCTCCATTTTAAAATGGGTTATCAGAAGGTATTGATCTTCTGGGTGTGTTGTAAATGCTAAGCTTACTATTCATTCTAGGCCAGCCAGGCATGGTGGCTCATGCCTGTAATCCCAGCACTTTGGGAGGCCCAAGCGAGGGGATTGCTTGAGCCCTGGAGTTTGAGACCAGCCTAGGAAACATAGTGAGACCCAGTCCCAGCAAAAAATAAAAAAAAATTAGCTGAGTGTGGTGGTGCATGCTTGTAGTCACAGCTACTTAGGAGGATGAAATAGGAGAATCACTTGAGCCCAAGAGCTCAAGGCTGCAGTAAGCCATGATTGTGCTATTTCACTCCAGCCTGAGTGACAGAGCAAGACTCTGTTTAAAAAAAAAAAAGCACCCTGTAATGCTATTACTCACACGTAAAGTCTTCTCTATAGGAGGTAAGAATGATATTTCAGGAGTGTAAAGAATCTTGATGTCACCTTATGGAAAGGGGATGAAAAAGAAGATGAAAAAGGCTTGTTTTCATTTTGCCAGAGTCATGGATTCCAGTTCCAGGTCTGTTTTGCATCACCATAGTCCCAAACAAGTGTAACATCCAGAGCCCAGGAGGAATTCTGGATGAAATATCAGCCAGGAGCAGGAGTGTGACAGCTGTAGGTCACTTGGGCCATAAAGTTAGTTAATGGGGAAGACAGATGAATGAGTGTATTGTGGCAACATATCAGAAGGTCTGAGGCATAAATAGTGTTGGAAAATAATAAGACAGTTGGTTCTTGAGGATCAACATTGCAGGGAAGGAGAAATGCACAACAAAAGACCATGTTGTGTTTTTGGATGGTGGCCGGGGATGCACATTCACTGCCCCTCCCCTCTTCAACCCCACTCTCCACATCCCGTGACCTGGTGGGATGCCAGTGGTCATGAGATCCCATCACATACATGAGTTTCAAGAGTCACTAACAAGCTTGTAAAGAACAGGTACTTTCTAAGGAATATTCACTCTTGCAGCTGTATTCCTAGGGCTTAAATAGCACACTGTTTTCCACTGACAAATGATTTCGGGTAGGGTGATCTCATGAACTTGTACTAATGGCAGACACATTTGAATTTCTTTTTTATTCTGAAAGTTAACTGCTGAAAGCAAATGTGAAAAAAAAATTATCTCCCTCTGTTTTATCTCTGGGAGAAGATAAAAATACGAGGTGTTTTAATTTGGCAGTGATCTGGGCGCCTTCCGCTGGCCTGTTTTTCTTTTGCGAAGAGCTCCCACTTTCAGGACTGCCGTTTCTTTGATCTTATATTCTGTCTGTGTTCAGGTACCCCTTTGTGCCTACCTGAATCGTGTGTAACAAATCATCTTAATTACTTCAGGCCTGGCTTCCTCCTCCAGTTCTCATTTTCTGAAATTCCTGCGATGGTTACCAAATAAATCAGTGTGGGGCTCCAGCCCTTGGAAACAGCACGGAGGCACCAGCAGCAGCCAGAGGAATTTCAAAGTTAGTTAAAAGGCACAGGAGGAGTGAGGGAATTGATTGAGAACCTCCCTACCCACCATGATTTTCAGCCTGGAGAGTTAGTGCTGCCTGTACTCCAATTCCATGTGCTTTGCGGGGCTCAGCCCTCACACTTTTCCCCGTAGAAGAGAGAATAATTAATGCCGTGACCCCTTGGCGTGGTAGCTAGAGCCCTGCTGTCATCAGCAGTGCCCCAAACGCAGTAGGAACACGTACCGTATTTCAAAGCCCAGGCAGGCAGAGAAGGGGGAAGGAACTGGTGGCGCGCTGTGACCTGCGGGAGCTCCCCAGCGCAGCCAGCAGGAGGCCCAAGCTAGGCGGAGAGAGGGTCGTGGGGAAGCGGGCCGCTCCCGGGACTCGTCACTGGGTTGGAGCTGGCCCGCTTGAGTGGCTCCAGTTCCAGGAAGGCCGGGTGGCGTGGGGCTGTGTTTTTTTTTTTTTTTTTTTTTTTGAGACGGAGTCTCGCTCTGTCGCCCAGGCCGGACTGCGGACTGCAGTGGCGCAATCTCGGCTCACTGCAAGCTCCGCTTCCCGGGTTCACGCCATTCTCCTGCCTCAGCCTCCCGAGTAGCTGGGACTACAGGCGCCCGCCACCGCGCCCGGCTAATTTTTTGTATTTTTAGTAGAGACGGGGTTTCACCTTGTTAGCCAGGATGGTCTCGATCTCCTGACCTCATGATCCACCCGCCTCGGCCTCCCAAAGTGCTGGGATTACAGGCGTGAGCCACCGCGCCCGGCCGGGGCTGTGTTTTAAGTGGCCGTTTGTAAGAAGAACCTCTGGCGGAGAGGTGCTGAGGCAGGCTGGGCTGTGATCCTGCACGCCAGGCGGCCTAAGGGGAGGTAATTGGGAACCGCGAGCTGACACTGCGGAAAAACCAAACACCGCATATTCTCACTCATAGGTGGGAATTGAACAATGAGAACACATGGACACAGGAAGGGGAACATCACACTCTGGGGACTGTTGTGGGGTGGGGGGAGGGGGGAGGGATAGATTTAGGAGATATACCTAATGTTAAATGACGAGTTAATGGGTGCAGCACACCAGCTAGCACATGTATACATATGTAACTAACATGCACATTGTGCACATGTACCCTAAAACTTAAAGTATAATAATAATAATAATAATAAAAGAAATTGGTATTTACTAAGAAAAAAAGTGAGAGTTCTGTGTAGGCCTTTGAAAAACACAAATCTCTTACTTGGGGAGACATTCCAGTTTAAGTATTATATTTGACAAAGTCCTAAATTATGTTTAAACTATGGTTATGAATTTTACTAGGAAAGGAAGAATTTTTATAGCAAACAAATTACAGGAATTTCAAAGACCAAAAAGAAAAAAAAGAAAATGTAAGCCGCGAAGCCGCATCAACGCCTTCCTGACAGCGGTGTCTGTTAGTCCACGGCGTCCCCTCCTAAGGGGAGCTGCGAAAGACCCATTCCGGAGGCATTTCACGGGGCCCCGTAACACCCGGGCGAGTGAGCTACTGAGAACTGCATGGCTCCTTCTGGGGCCAGGCGGTCCTAGGAGAGCCGGCTGGGAGGCGGATTGCTTGGACGTCCCCCGCCCGCCCCCGCAACTCTGCGTGCGGCGACGTTGGGAGGTCCCATTAGAAGCTCCTTGGGCGGGATCTGTCCACCATGCCGCGGCGCGGAGTGGGAGAGGTTTCGGTCTCTGCCAAGGGAAGTTGCTGTTGAGTGCATCGCCGTGAACACGACGCAGCACATCCTACAGCCCCTGTGGATATGTGGATGCTGTGGGGGCCTGTTGGGTCCGATAGAAGTTTCAAAATCAAAATTTTTCACCATCCTCGTTGGGTGATGGTTTGTAGAATATTTTTGAGGGAGTCTTGTTTGAGGCGGACAGACTCACTCATCTGGTACACTCTTTTTCGAGAACATGGTGATAAAATAGGTTGGCTCTAACGAGAAGGTGTCATTCCGCCACTCCCTTTCCCAAGAGGGCTTCGAGGGACACTCAAGTGACCAGGATGTGGCTTATCCTGTGATAGCCATCTGAGAACGTTGTTCTCTGTTCTTTACTTGCTTCTAGTCAGAAAACATGGCCTGTGTTAGGCACCCTAGGGGATAAAGTGAATTAGACCTGGACCTGACTCCAGTTTTTTCTTTTAAAACTCACTCGTTTTTTCTTCAAAAAATAACTCCCCCGGTGTTTCTAATGTACAGCTGTTTTTTGTTGGGAATTACTACATTAAATTATCTCTAAGACTCTTCTCATTTCAGATATTTTTTGGTTTCCTAATTGTCTAAAATTTTTAATTATTTTTATTTTTATTTTTTATTTTTTTGCAGACGTGAGGCCTCCCTATGTCGCCCAGGCTAGTCTCGAACTCCTGGGCTTAAGCGATCCTGCCACTTCAGCTTCCCAAAGTGTTGGGATTACAGGCCCGAGTCACTGTGCCAGCTTCCCCTAGTTCTTGAGCTCTTCTAGGGCCACTAGATTCTCTTTCACCAGCATGAAGTAGGATCATTTTAGTTAGGGTCAAATTATAACCTTAAATCCCAAGTGACACTGTTCTTTTGTGACCACTAACCCCTCAAAAGATTTTTTTTTTTCTGATTTCAAAACTTCTCCTCCTAAATCATCCTGCAAATTTTACTGAATCTCTACTGCATGCCAGAGGCCCCATTCTAGGCATTGGGGAAAAATACAGTGGTGCAGACAAGGAGCCTGTTCTCATGGAGCTTACATTCTAGAATCGGATCCAGATCGTTATGAATTTCCCCTTTATTTTGTTTTAGTCTCTTTCTTAAACTTTCAACTGTATTCTTCTGGTTACTCAATCCCAGTTCATCCTAGGGCAGAAACATAAATTAAGTCCACTTTTATACTTGGTATTACGCACTGAATGTTTTTGTCTCTTTCAAATTCATATGTTGAAATCGAATCCCTAATGTGATGGTATTTGGAGGTGAGGCCTTTGGGAGGTAATTAGGTCATGAGGAAAGAACCCTCATGAATGGAATTAGTGCCTTTTAGAAAGAGGCAGGAGAGCTAGCTCATTTGCTTGCCACCTTGGGAGGATACAACACGAAGTTGGCAGTTTGCAACCTGGAAGAGAGTCCTCGCCAGCACCTGACCATGCTGGCACCCTGATCGCTGACTTTCAGCCTCCAGAAATATGGGAAATTTCTGTTCTTTATAAGTCACCCAGTCTATACTACTTTATTATAGCAGCTGGAACTAAGGCACTTGTTTATCCTTCATCTGTAGGAAAATGCTAAATCAGATAATGGCAACCACTGTGAACTATATTATCTCTAGGGTATTATGGGGTCTCCATGGCAGGTGAGAGAAATATCTTTTTATAACTAAAAATGTTGAGCACTCTAACCATTTGGATGCATATTTTTTACTCTCTGTATTTAAAAGTTAAGTCTCATTTTCTACTTGTAGTTGACATCTGTTGTTATCATTTACTTCTCTGTTACATGCAGGGAGGATACATTCCCTAGTCTTCCATTTTTGTGTGTAGGGACTTTTTCAGAAAACACTCCTAGCTCCTTGGTTTCCTGTATCCCCCTTTTCCCTTCCCCTCAAGGGAGGAAGCGTGAGCTACTTGATGGGTGAGTTTGGGTGCAGTGGCTGAGCATGTGACTCTCAGCCCCTTTCTATTTTCTCTTTGTCACCTACAAGTGTGCAAACAGCTTTCTATGCTCTTCCATGCCATACATGACAGGAGCAGGCCCCCATGGGAGACTGCATGTCCGTGATGGGGCAGGCCCATCTAATTCAGGAAGCAAGCTCATTTGGTTAACAGACCTAAAGCCATGTTGTAAGGCTGACATTTTAGGGCTTTTCTACTTGGCTCCTGGGTCTTTCTCTCAACTGGCTCCAAACTAAGGTGGGGCATTGAGCTTTCTCAAACCCCAACAGTACCCATATCTCAATTCCCTAGAGAACCACCTTCTCCAGCTCATAGTAAGTTTGAATTAAGTGAAACTGACTCTACACATGAGACCCACAATTAGCTCCCCTTGGCTACAAGATTTGTTTAAGGATGAACATAGGGCCCAGTCAGATCTAATGAATCACAGTGATGTTTTCCTCGTTGAGGAACTCTTAATTTTATCTGCTGGACCTAAAGGAGGGTGTAGGGATTACAGCCATTGCTGCCATCCCATTACAACATGAAGCCAAGAGATGTAGAAAAATGCTCCTGATGCCATTGGTTGAGTTCAGGTTTCAGCCACATCTGAAATGTATTCTACCCCTGGACTTTTCATCTTAAGTGAAACAATAAGTTCCCTTTGTGCTTAAGCTAGTTTGGGTCCGTTTCCTACTGCTTTCAATGGTAAATGGATCATTCTTTATATTATTTTCATATTGTTAGTTTTAATTGATTTTAGATCACCACAGATCACCTCAATTACTCACGTTAGATCCCAGGAGCTAGAAGCGATTTTAGAAAGTGTTAATAGCAGGAGGATACTTAGGTTTTAATGTTGAGATGTTAATTATTTTAGGCACCTTTTATTACCTATTTACTTTGTCTATTTATTTGTTATTTTTTGGTAAACAAATCTGATGGGGTACTTGACTATAGTAAGTCTTTAATCAAACTTTAACAATGCAATCAGTTCATTTTTTCCTTTTGATTAACTGGAGAAGAGCAACTCTTGGTCTTTAAAGTCATAGTGATCATTATAAATATCCTCAAGGAAACAACAAACTCTTGAGGAAAGTTATTTCAGTTACATCCCAACATAAGAGACTGGAAATTTTTTACCAAGAATTCTGGTAGAGGTGTAATATAACCAGGAGGGTGTTGTGGTTTGGATGGACAATGAGAAGAGAGAAGGGCCTTCTGGGAATGGGGAAGAAAATCAGTGGAGTTAAGAGTGAGGCACATTCATAGCTGCTGAGGTGGAGATGGCAAGCTGTCCAAAAAAAAAAAAAAAAAATGTGAGCTTTCCCTTTCATTTTTCATAGCATTGCTGCTGGGAGGTGGCTGCTCATCCAGGGACTATATTTTTCAACACTCTTTGCATCTAGATATGGTCATGTGACTTGTTCTCACCAGTGAAATGTGAGTGGAAGCTACTTCTATGCCAAGGCTTTTAAAAAGTAGCCTACTTTCCTGGTACGTTTCCTCCTTTCATCCCTACATTGTCCTTCTAGTGGTTAGTAGGGGCATAAACTCGAAGCTTGGCTTTCTGAATCACTGAATGAGAGAAAACTTGCTTTGATTTTTTTTTTTTTTTTCAAGAGACAGGTTCTTGCTGTGTCACCCAGGTTGGAATGCAGTGGGGTGACCGTAGCTTACTGCAGCCTCGTACTCCTGGGCTCAAGTGATCCTTCTGCCTAGGCCTCCCAAAGGTGCTAGGATTACAGGCATGAGCTATCACGCCCAGACTGGACTATTTTGTGAAAGGGAAATAAAGTTCTATTGTGTTTGGCCACTGTATTAGGCTGTTCTTACATTGCCATAAAGAAATACCTGAGACTGGGTAATTTATAAGAAAAGAGATTTAATTGGCTCATGGTTCTGCAGGCTGTACAGGAAGTATGACACTGGCATCTGCTTCTGGGGAGGCCTCAGGAAGCTTTCCCTTGTGGCAAAAGGTGAAGCAGGAGTAGGCACTTCACATAGAGAAAGCAGGAGCAAGCCAGAAAGAGAGAGAGGCAGGGGGAGATGCCACACACTTTTAAACAACCAGATCTCTTGAAAACTCACTCACTATCGCACGGACAGCACTAAGCCATGAGGGATCCACCCCCATGATCCAAACACCTCCCACCAGGCCCCAACGCTAGCAGTGGGGATTACATTTCAACATGAGATTTGGGCAGGGACAAATATCCAAACAATATCGGTCAGTGTGCATTTACAGATATATTTGATACAAAAAGATCTCAGTGCTTCTCAAAGTGCGGTTTCCAGACCAGGAACATCAGCCTCGCTGGAGACTTGTTAGACATGAAAATTCTCAGGCCCCACTCTTGACCTACTGAATTAGAATCTCGGATCCAGAGATCTGTGTATCTGACAAGCCCTCCAGGTGGTCCTAATGCACACTCAAGTTTGAGGACCACTGCCTTGTGCCGTCCCTACCAACTTCATCACCGCTCTAACTGATCAGTAGACATGGGTTGTTTCTCTCCTCAGCTTTGCCTTTTCTGGATTAAACTCTCAAAGTGTCTAAAGTTTCTGAGCTTCATTAGCAATGGTGCTGAAAGTTAAGGATAATGTTGAAAAATCTTGTGCATGAGGGAAGACATTTGGTGAGTTTGAAGTTCTGATGAATTTTGAGAAAAAGAAACATCCTGAAAGCTTAAGATAGCTTAAAAACAACTTTTGTTCAGTTCTAAATATTAGCACTTTTTATAAAAGGGCATATATCCTACCTAGAACAGGGGTCACAACCCAGATGCCCCCCAGGTAATCTAATCCAGGGGAGTGGGCCAAGTGGAGGGCAGCGAACAGTATGAAGCAACAGCTGATTGTTAAGAGTATGGGCCCAGTGACTTCAGGTCTAAACATTATTAAAAAGAACTGCAGATTTGCATTTTCATTTTACATCTTCTGGTTTGTAAATGTTAACTCACATTACAAAAAATCCAAATCCAAGAAACAAAACCAAAAATTTTGTATGGGTTGAACATGCCTGAGTGTTTAATTTGGCCCCTGGGCTGCCAGTTTTACAACCTTTGTCTGGAAGTACCAGGGAAGCAGTCAGGTTGCTAATGTCTCCTCTTACTCATTAGGAGGCAAAATAACTTTTACACAATCATGAGCTCCAAAAGGGAGACGAATAAGAGCTGTACAAAGTAGTTGCCAAGGTAACATCTTGCTGATCAGAAAGGGGCGACAATTGGGTTTTATGTAGACGCAGTGGGAGAATGAAACATAATCTTTCTCTGTCTTCTTTCTGTTTAAGATCAGTGTGGAAATGGATGTGGACGCGGTGCTGCTGCCTGAGATTAGCAGGAAGCAATTCTTTTCCCATTTGGAGAGACCCCGGTGAGACCTGATCAACTAGCAACATGCGGAAGTCACACCATTAAGTCTTCCAATTTGCTAGCAGCAAATCAATGAACTCTGATAGCTGCTGCCCTAAGCTAGCATCCAGGGAACTGTGGACAAGCTATTTGATACCTGAATTTTAGTGAAGGAAAGTTAAATTTTTTCTTAAAGCAGGGTGGGAGTGGGGTTGTGTGGGGAAGATTATATTAAGCAGTGAGAGAAGACAGATGGAGTTTTGTAGAAAGAGAGCTGGTTGTTTTAAATTGTATCTTAAATTTATTGTAGAGCTATTGGTAATTAGTGTTTTGTTGTTGTGTGTTTATACCAACCAATTAATAAGAAAGGCTTTTATTTTTATTTCATCAGTTGGAGCTGAACTTTATTTTTTATTATAAATATAAGGCATTATTCTAGGGCCTGGCAAACATAGGCAGCCACTTTTTTTTTCTGGGGAAGATTATACCTTGGTATGTTTTCACCACTGTGAGATGAAAATTTGAGAACAGTGAGAGACAGATGCTTGCCTGAGGAGTTTTATTTTCCCTTTAATCCTTATCAAATATCCAGATATTACCTATATTGCCTTGATCTGCTGTCTGAAGGTGGGTTTCTTTGATTGTTTGAAGAGTTCTGGGCACTAGAGGTGCTTACTTTGTGACGGGAGCAAATAACAAGGTGTTGCCCATGACATGGTCAAGCCTCTTCTTCAATTAGCCACCTATCTTGGGCATGTTTTCATAGAGATATATCTCATCCCTTTTAATAACTGCAGAATCTTGGACATTTAGAGGTCTCCAAATATTGGTTGTCATTTATGGTGTATCGTGTTTTTGTTATTATAATAACGTTGCAATAAATACCCTAGCAACCTATTTTTGCTTACAAGTAGAGTATTTTCGAAGAACAAATTCCTTCATGTGAAACTGACGGGTCAAAATATAAAAGGATTAAAGTTTCAATAGTTAGTTAATTGCCTTACAATGGAATTACAACAATTTATACTTCCACCAGTAATTCATGAACTCTGCCTTACCACATAATATTTCTAATCTTTCCCAATCTGATATGGAGAAACATGTTTTATTATTCTATTTTTTTTTCACTAAAAGAGAGACTTTGAACACCCCTCCATATGTTTCAAAAACACTTGTAGACCAGGTGTGGTGGCTCACTCCTGTAATTCCAGCACTTTGGGAAGTGAGAAGATTGCTTGAGCCCAGGAGTTCGAGACCAACTTAGGCAACAAATCTAGACAAGGGAGACCTTGTCTCTACGAAAAAATGAAAACATTAACTGGGCATGGTGGTGTGTGCTGTGGTGCTAGCTGCTCAGGAGGCTGAAGATGGGAGGACTGCTTGAGCCTGGGAAGTTGAGGCTGCAGTGAGCTGTGTGATGGCACCACTGCACTCCAGCCTGGGCAACAGAGTGAGACCCTGTCTCAAAACAAAACAAAACAATACAAAACAAAACTTTTTTTTTTCAGTGAATGTTTCTTTATAGATTTCAACTTCTAAAAATTGTTGGCACTTTTTTTGATTGACTGAAGAGCTCATTATATATTAAGCAATGTAGACTTTTTTTTTTTTTTTTTGAGACAGGGTCTCGCTCCGTCGCCCAGGCTGGAGTGCATTGGTGCGATCTGGGCTCACTGCAACCTCTGTCTCCCAGGTTCAAGCAATTCTCCCCGCTCAGCCTCCTGAGTACCTGGGATTGCAGGCACCTACCATCATGCCCGGCTAATTTTTGTATTTTTGTAGAGATAGGGTTTTACCATGTTGTTCAGGCTGGTCTTGAACTCCTGATCTCAGATGATCTACCCGCCACGGCTTCCCAAAGTGCTGGGATTACAGGTGTGAGCCGCCGCGCTTGGCCCAATTTAGACTTTTTAAACCAACTTTTGAAGGTTGGTTTTTAAAAAATAAATGACTGGATCATGTTCTAACTACTCATAGTCTCAGCCAAACACAATTGCGGAAGGCCTAGCCAAAGGCTCTTTGCTCAGTGAAAGTCCCATGAATCTCAGGCACAGAGGATAGTCTGGAAAGACCTAACCTGCACATGCAAATCTATTAAGAAAGATGAAGTCTTAGGCTTATATGGAGCTAAATAATTGCATGTTTAATGCAATGCCAGGGTACAGGTAATGGTGATTGGAGTTGGAGGGGTGATGTGTGTGGTGGGTGAGGAAGTCAGGGCTGAGTCCTAGGTGAGATCTATAAGAGTGATGTTTATTTATGCATCTGAGGGCTGGGACTCTCATGACAGGATTTATTTTCATTCTCTTTCAAGGAGAGCCATGCTGCCTTGCTGCTTCTTGCTCGTGTACACAGAGCACTTGGTGTCTTGCGAATCCCCTTTGACGCCGGTGCCTTTCCAGGCCAGTGCTTTGCTTGTGTTCAGAGGATGCATGCTCAGGCCCTACCAGACTATCTTAGGGATGAGGGGCAAATTTTGTTTCCAATGCTCTGTGTGGGCCCTCCATGGCATTTTCTTCATTTTGGGTTCCATCCTGGCCTAAAGCTTCCCATTAAAGCTAATGGCCATTGGAGTTAACCCAAATTTTCTCCTTTGGTATTTATAAAAAGCAACACTGAAAAACCTTGAAATTAACTAACAATAAAAAAACCATTGATCGGTTCTTTCCTGGAGATGGTTCTTTCTTCTCAAATAGGCCACTTTGCAGACTGGAAATCACCCCAATCCTCAAATAGCCTAATATTTTTCACATGTGATTCCAGCAAATTGCTGTTTGCATTAACACCTTGGTGGGGACTCACTTAAGAGCTAGATTTGTTAGTGTATTTACTGACATTTTCACATGATGTTTTCAGCTGCCTGAATAATTGTAATATTCACCAGAAAAAAATCAAAGTAATGAAAGGTGCCTACAATTATTCATATCTCAACATTGTAAGCCTTAATTTCCTGCCTGAAGTGTGGTAAATTACTCATTTTTAAAGTCATCTCTAGCCACTGAGAGTTTATGGTGATGTATATAGATGTTTTGTAGATTCCAAAAAAAATCAATGACTATGAATATCACAGACTGTCAAAACAGCTGGTGTGATTATAAAATAATGAGATCAACTAAAGACATCAGCTCTCAGACATCCAAATTGTAAGAGGAAAATGAAGACGAGGAAGGGGAAAGTGAATTGCTTAATGTCTTGTAGGTACCAAATAATAGAGTCAGTATCTGCCACTGCCATGCTGAAGATTTTGCACTGTTACTTACACAGATTCATTCCCCTTTTTGCAGGCTTTGTTGGGCCAGGAGATGGTTTTGCAGCAGCAGAAGACTATGAACTGGGCTTTGGGAGATAGGATCTCTGGTTGTATTCTGGCTATCCACACTCTGAAAGAGGACCGTGACAGGTATTGTCATTATTGGTGGCTGAGTTTCTAGGTTAGCCAACCTATGGCAGATTGGGAAGACTTTATAATGCGAATAAACAGAAGAAAGTTTACTTGATCAAAAAAGATTTTTTCTCCTGGTGGAAACTGCAATTATTAGGGCAACTCTTTAAGTGTCCATCAATATTAGGATGCATTTTAACAGGTTAAGTACTCTTCTAACTGGGATGAATAGGGCATTGACAGGAAAATTAACACACAAGTTCTTATATCCTCCTTCCCTTATATCTGGTCGCATAACCTAATGTGAATTTTTTATGCCTTTAAGTGCTGATATTATGGAAAAACCTTCTAAAACTGGATAAATATCATTTTCCAAGACTCAGATCAAATATCACATCTTTCTCTGATTTTCTTGATCCTTCCTGCCAAAAAGAAATAGCACCATATATGCATTAGTATAATCTATTTGTAATTAACATAAAATTTCTCATTTTACAGAGAATTTGAGTATCCTACCAATATACCTACAAAAGGATGAAAGAAGATTTGGAGTCAAGGGAAAACAAGGGCAATAAAATAGAAGCTTACCACCTGCTCTCATACAGTTGCTAGAAGAGGACTGCATATTTGGTTCTAAGTTTCTGGAAGATAAAGCCAAAATAGAAACACAACTCATTATAAAATTTTGGTGTATCCATAAAATAAAAACAAATGACCTGTTTGAGAAAACTCTTTCTGAGTTTGAGCTCTAAAAGGAACTTCTCTATGGAATCCTTAGAATATGAGAAGGCTGTGATATAGGGGAGAAACCCCTTGACATTCCTATATTGGGTTTAGGTCTAATTTCACTCAGTAGTTTTTAAATGTTACTCCTTGTAGACAGATGATGAGACGCCAAAGTACAGCTGAGTGAAAGCGGTTCCTTTGAAAACTAAAGGCTGTAAAAACAAGGCTGTGGATCATGTTGTTTCAGTTCTTTATAGATTTTTTAAACTGAATTTTGCATCTGTGTACATGAAGAATAAATTGTAGAATATCTAAGGAAATGGATGGGCTGCTTATCTTTTAGAACCTCCATAAATTATTTATTGTAAGTATGTTTGATAAGGATTGTACAGCTGAGAGTTCAAGGTTGCATTTTTTTCCCCAGCAAGAACCAAAAGTGCAGATAACATGCAGCCAATTAAGGACAAATCTGTATGGTTTGTCAATCAATCTGTCAGGATGTCCCTGAATTGTAGCACTTATCACTTGGTATTATAGACATCTGTGTCCCTGGCATAACTGCATCCTCTTCAAGGGCAGGAATTGCTTCTTTTCCATTTTTGCACTCTAGCATCCAGCATTATGTTTGAGACCTAGCATCTATATGAGAGACTTTGTTGAACGGAATCAATTGAAAGGCTTCCCATTATCATGCAGTACTACTTGACAAAGATCAGAACCCTGAGCAATCAAGGGCAGGAAACATAGGCTAGCTGAGCTTTGAAGGAAGTGAAAAGAAAAAGAGGCAGCAAAGATGGGAACATGGAGGACAGTCTGAGAAAACAAGCTCAGGGTTGAAGGGGGTGTTCCAGTGAAGGGGTGATGAGTGGGACCTCACACATGGAGCAGATAACATTGGTGCATCAGTTGATTTAAATGAGCAGAATGGAAAGTGTCTAAAAGAGAGATGTGGAAATGAGTAGAAACATCCCTTTCCTGTTGGGCCAGCTATTGTCTATGGTTAGTCCTTTTCCCATCCTTATTTCCTCTCCTCTGAATTGCAAGTTGCTGGAAACATGAGAAGTGCATTCCTTGCTCCCTTGGTTACTGGGCTTCAGTTAGCATTTGCCAATGAGGGTGAGCACTCATGGGAGACTGGAAAGTGGTAGAAAGGGAAAGCCATTCAGCTGGCTGTGACAGTGGCAGCAGCGGGCAGTACCGTGGGCTCCAACAGCATTGGTGGTGGCTCCAGCATCATCACTGGGAGCTTGGGCTCCTGGGTTCCTGCTCAGCAGCTATGGTCAGTACCTTCTGAGATGGCCTCCTCTGATCCTCACCTCTTGGTATTCATGGCCTTGTGAAATCCCCTTTGCTTGAGTAACTTGCTGCCAACCAATAGAATATGGCAATGTTGAGGGTTGCTACCTTTCTGACTAGGTTGCAAATGATTGTGACTTCTGTCTTGCTGGCAGGCTCTCTCTATTTGCCTTTTGGTTTGTGTGCTCTGAGGATGCAAACTGCCATGTTCGTGAGACCTGCATGGCGAGGAATTGAGGGCAGACTCTGTCCAACAGCCAGTGAGAAACTGAGGTCCAACAGCCTACACGGAGCTGAATCTTACCAATAACTACATGAACTTGAAAGTGTATCCTTCCCTTCAGATGAGTGTAGCCTGAGTGACACCTTAACTGAAGCCTATGAGAGGCCCTGAAGCAGAGGAAGGACCCAGCTAGCTCACACCTAGATTTCTGATGCATAGAAACTGTGAGATAGCATGTGTTATTTTAAGCCAGTTTTGAGATGATTTGTTATACAATAGCAATAGATAACAAATATGATGGCAGAGCTCTGTTCCAACAGCAGTAGCAAGCGTGTGCTTGCCGACTCTGGATCACTCCACATTCACCTCTTTGCTTCTACAGCTATGGGACAATAGCAGCAGCGTCCTACAGTTGCCAATTTCTAGGTAATGCCATTTTCCACTTGACCTGTGTTTTCAAAACCTTTGTCACCATTTTCCTATATTAAATTCCTTCATAATAACAGAAGAGTGGCTAACATATGCACACAACTATTTTTCTTGATAGGGAGATAAAGAGAGCATTGCTGTATATTAAATGTAGTTATGTCTTTTTAGATGTTTAAGAAAATGAAATGCACCTTTTTTCAAGTGAATAAATGTTTGCCTCTCTGTAGTTCTTGGTTTTTGGGAGAAGGTCAACTTCAAAAGATAGAGTCATTGGCACCTTCTTTCTGTAGTGTGCTTGACTGTATATCCCTGCCCACCCACAGGCAGCAAAGGCAATGCATGAGGGATTTTGAAGGACACACAGTAGCTGCTTCTGTTTTCATGTGGGAGTCCAAGGAAGTATAAATGCTGCATGCTCCCTGTAACTAGAATAAAATATTATGGTGTGTGTATAAGGGCAAACTCCTAACTCAGCAGGTGAACAACCATATCGACTTCATTCCCCCTGGAGACTGAAATTAGAAAGAAACCTACATATCAGGCCACAGCAGCCCTTGATGAAGCTCAAAAGAGAGGTGGCAAACTCACAGCTACACAGCAAAAACCAAGTCAGAGGCAGCAAAAGCTGTAGTTTGAGAACAAAGGGAAAGAAAAAGACTAGTCAAAGAGGCCATATCTACCCACCCACAGAAAACCCAGAGAAGAAAATAAGTTACATTTCTCCCACTGGAAGGCTTGGGGGAGGAGACATTCAGGAAAGCCACAGGGGCAGAAAATTAGATAGTTTATCTGAAAAAGGAAAAATGAACTAAAGTGTGCTTTTGATAGATGGCTGGAAGTGAGCACAAAGGCAAAACACCAACATACACTTGGCGTCTGAAGAATGTCTTTTATCCAAAGATCTTAGAGCAGTTTGAGTGTATTAATTTACTTGTGAGACAGTTAAATTATTATTCGTTCATTTTTATGTGGCATTTTATTCTAAAATTTGCTAAGGATTTTATAACTCAAGTACATTGGTTATTCCCCAAACAGCCCTGTAGATGCAGTGTGGCCATTACTGTATGACACATGTGGACACTGAGCCTCAGAGATGTCAGGAAACAGAGAGAATCAGAGGAGGCTGGAAGATCAGCGATGACTGTATGAACACTGAATAAGGAATGGGGAACTC
This sequence comes from Homo sapiens, assembly GCF_000001405.40. NCBI lineage: Eukaryota > Metazoa > Chordata > Mammalia > Primates > Hominidae > Homo > Homo sapiens. Next base: position 57,208,424 of record NC_000004.12, read on the forward strand.
TGTGGAGACAACTCAGTCTTTTCTATGGCTATTTCTTCATGGCTTCTGTGGTAGATAGAATGATGGTCCTCCAAAGATGTCCACATCCTAACTCGTGGAACCTGTGGATATGTTATCTAATATGGTGGAAAGGACTTTGCAGATATATAAGTTAAGAATATTGAGAGGGGAAAATTCTCCTGGGTTATCTGGGTGGGCCCAATGTAATCACAAAGATGTAAGGGAGAGAGGGAGACATGAGAGTCAGAGAAGGAGATGTGATGATGGGCAGGGATTGCAATGATGTGGGGCCATGAGCCAAGGAATGTGGGAAGGGCAATGGAACACGTTCTTCATCTAAAACTGGAAAGGGTAAGGTTACATCTTCTCCTCTAGAGTTTCTTGACAACCCATCTTAGACTTCTGACTTATAGCTGCAAGATCATAAGTTTGTGATGTTTTAATCCACTAAGTTTGTGGTAATTTGTTATAGAAGCCACAGAAAACTCATACAGCATCTTTGAGGAGTGGGGGGCTGCACTGTAAACCTAAAATTTTATTTTTTGAGTTATTTGGGTAACACAATTTTAGAGGATTTTTTTTAAGAACTGTTTGGATATGTATTAATAACAATTATGGGTTTAGTGGCTTGAAGGAAAAATACAGTGGCAGTAACAACAGCAATAGTAATGGGTTATAGTTATTAAGGTTGTGTGTGCCAAGTGCTGGGTAGGGGTGTGGATGTTCCTTCTCTCTCATTTTCTAAAACAATTATATGGGATAATTACCTTCATTTTACAGAGGAGGAAACTGAGTCTGAGAGAGCCATGCAATTAGTGGTGGAGCTGGCATTTGCACACAAGCATATCTGACTCTTGACTACGACCTGAAGTGGTTTTTCTATATACTTAATTCATTGATGGGAAAGGACAAGTCATGTGTGAAAGCAGGGACATGAGCAGGTGATGACAGAAAGTTGAGACAGGCCTCCGGTGGCACTGGGGATGTGTATTGACTCTGCCTCAGCCATGACAGAGGTGAGGGACACTGTCTCCTTTCCGTCTTTTCTCTTCTACCCATGCCAGCCAGCCACTTTTATAAAGTACCCACCATCGGTGGGCAGCACTTTTCCCCATTCTTTCTTGCCAAGTGTGACTCTTCTCTTGAAAGAAAGCACACAATTTCACACTGTATAATGAGTGTCTTTCCTGCCAGAAACAACAAGGATGGAGAGGCTGTGGGGCTACTTTAGCTGCCATAAGTTAGAAGGGGGTCAAGTGAGTGGGATCAGGAGGATGTAAGATGAGAAGACCAAAATTTTAATGAGATGCTGCTGGAATCAGCATAACCAAGTATGGTATCAGAGCTGAAATAACTTAAAATATTACAAGTGCCATTGTAAAATGCAATACTCCCTACTTCCTAGGGTGGCTGTGAGAATGGAGTTAATAAATGCAGAGTGCTTTGGATGGTGCTATAGAAGTGTAGCTGTTACTCCACTGCACCCATCCCGCAACTACTCCTGCTGCTACCAGCGCCCTGTTATTATCGCCACTGCCAGGATTACTACCACTATCACAATTACTCTTACTACTGCCATTGACTACCTTTGCTACCATCACATTATTTCAACTGCTACCATTGCTGCTGCTATTACTACTACTGTACCGTTGCTATGACAATTATTACCATTACTACTGTTACTGTCAATCTGTAGGCATAGAAAGTGCTTCTGTTGTAATAAATAGGCCAACAGACTTCTGTACCTTCAACAAGGGTGGCTAGAGCACATCCTCAGGTCATCCTGGGATTGCCTGGCAATAGTTCCCAGTCTGATTCTTTTCTTTGGGCTGTTGGCATTCTTTTGCTACTGCTCAGGTTTGGACAAAGTGGCTGTCATTGCCCCAAGCTCTCTGAGGTAGGAACTCTGCCTGCTTCACTAATTCTTCTCAGTGACAAATGCTCCTCAAATCTATTCCCCAGTGGCCATTTGAAGTGGACAAACAACTCCACAGCCATGAAATATCATGTTTTAAATAGAAGGCACTGTGTCAAATGCCACCAGCAACTCAGCCTTGGAGCTGCTGATCTCAGACTGATTCAGATTCTTGGAGATAATCATAAGAACTAACCTTTAACAAGTGCTTATTGTGTCTTATCAGGTGCTGTTCTAGGCACTTAACAAAGATTTAATTATTTGACTCTCCAAAAAAGTCTTCGAAATAGTTACTGCTATGAATTATGTTTTACAAATGAGAAAACTGAGACACAGAGAAGTTAAGACATTTGCTCAAGATAATACAGCAAATGGGAAAGCTGGGATTTGAACACATTCAGTCTAACTCCAGAGATGCTGCTGCTGGCCAATGTAAACCAACACATTGGCTTCACAGTACACAGCATTTTAGTCAGAGAAGATCAAGGCCTAGCAAAGACAGCTGCCCATAGTTGGTGCTCAATAAATGCTAGACTAGTGAAGGAATGAATCAACAATGAATGGAAGAATGAGAGTAACATGGTGTTTGTGTGAGTGAAGAAAGAAGGCAGTATGAGTATTCTAAACCAAACAGTCAACTCAGTTATTGTCAAGAACAGATTGAAAAGGAAGTCAAGGTAGTCAAGAAGGAATTGATAAGGAATTATGCATAGAGACCTGGTTTGCTGGAGGATCTAGGGAATTGTCTCTAAGGATTTTCCAGGGCCTGGGGAAGACAGTTCAGTGGAGGGAGGTGGGAGGACTTCTAGAACACTTGGCCTTTTCTTAGACCAGGGGTCCCTGAACCCCTGGGCCATGGACTGGTACTGGTCAGTGGCTTGTTAGGAACTGGGCAGGACAGCAGGAGGTGAATGGAAGGTGAGCGAGAGAAGCTACGTCCATGTTTACAGCCACTTGCCATCACTTGCATTACTGCCTGAGCGCCACCTCCTGTCAGATCAGCGGTAGCATTAGATTCTCATAGGAACATGAACCCTATTGTGAACTAGGTTGTGTGCTCCTCATGAGAATCTAATGCCTGATGATCTGAGGTGGGGCTGAGGTGATGATGCTAGCGCTGGGGAGTGGCTGCAAATACAGATAAACATTAGCAGAGAGGGTTGACTGCCCACAATAAATCAGTTGCTTGCAGACTCATATCAAAACCCTATCAATGTGTGGCAAATGACCAGCCGCATCTGGTGGCAGGCTTTATAGTGGCAAGTGAGTTGAAAAAAAGTGCACAATAAATGTAATGTGCTTGAGTCATCTCAAACCCACCATACCCCTTACCTCTTTCCTGTGGAAAAATTGTCTTCCATGAAACTGGCCCCTGGTGCCAAAAAGTTGGTGACTGCTGCCTTAGACCTTTCTGGTGTACCTCATGATATAGTTCCAGTCTCTACAACCAGTCAGCACCTTTCTCTGATGCAGAGTGATTTGTTTGCTTCTTTTAGTTATTAAAAATTGTGTGTCATAGGATTTTAGTGCTAGAAATCTCTCTAGAGGTCAAGCCCCCTCATTTCACTGATTAGGATACTGAGTCCCAAAGGGGTTACGGGTCTTGACAAGGCCACAACAATAGGGATTTGCTAGGCCCCAACATGCACCTTTAATTCTGATTCATTCATTTGTTCACCCCAATCTGGTGACAGTCTCTTGTGTTGTCTTGAATGTCTTGGTATTTCAGATAAAAAGCCTGGCTTAAGTTTTTGATCATAGCCATTCTAACAGGCATGTCATGAAAAAAGACAAGAGATGAATGTGGACGAGGTCGTAGAGAAAGGGAGCCCCTACACACTGTTGGTGGGGATGTAAAAGGTGCGGCCGCTATAGGAAACAGTATGGAGTTTCCTCAAAAAATTAAAAATAGAACTGCCGTATGATCCAGCAATTCCTCTGCTGGGTCTATACCTGAAGGAAATGACATCAGTATGTTGAAGAGGTATCCGCACTCCAGTGTTCACTGCAGCATGATTCACAATAGCCAAGATATGCGATCACCCTAAATGTCCATCAGTGGATGAATGGATAAAGAAAATGTGATATTGTACAAACTGGAATACTATTAAGCCTTAAAAAGAAGAAAGTTCTGTCATTTGCAACAACACGAATGAATCTGGAGGATATTACGCTACATGAAATAAGCCAGGCATAGAAAGACAAACACTGCATGATCTCACTCATATGTGACATCTCAAAAAATCGACCTCACAGAAGCAGGGAATAGAATGGTCATTGCCAGGGGCTGAGGGGCTGGGGTGGAAATAGGAAGATGTCAGTCAAAAAGTGCGAAGGTTCAGCAGCTAGAAAATGAATCATTTCTGGAGACTAGTGTACAACATGGTGACTACCGTTAATATGCATTGCATACTTGAAAATTGCTAAGGGAGTAGATCTTAAACATTCTCACTACAAAAAATAATAAGTATGTGAGGTGATGAATATGCTAATTAGCTTGATTGTGGTACAATGTATACATATATCAAAACATGGTGTTGTGTGCCTTGAATACATACAATTTTTATTTGTCAATTATACTTTAATGAGGTAGGGAAAGAAAAAAAAGAAGGGAGAGAAAGAGAGAAATCTAAAATTAAAAAAAAATGGAAAAAAGGTCGGCTTGGGCCAGGGCCATAGGCAAACTTTGTTTTTCATAACACTGGATATGACAATGATCTAATTAGCTAATTAATTTGCACTGTATTCTTTTGCTACAACGTCATATAACTTTCGTCTTTAAGATGGACAAACTAAGGTAACTTGCATTTTCCTTCATTTAATATTTAAAACCTCTTTATAAGAAAAAGCAGCCCCAAAGAATTGTTTGTACTCATATTAATATCACTTAATTAAAAACATTTTTCAGCATTGTAACAAATAGAACAACCTTAGCTGTAATATATGTTCTTCTTGCAGCAAAGTTTTGCCTCTTTACACCATCAATAAATGTGAGCATTATAAGATTATAATAAATTATTTAGATTATACTTACTTTTAATCATTATTTTCTCAGTAAATTCTAAAATTCAATGCAAAAGGAACTAAGATGACTTAGTTACATATGTTTCACACTGGACTCATTATAGCTTTCTGGGAGTGACTATGTTACTTTATTAAAAATTTCTTTTACCTTTAATAAGGGAGAAAGACAGAGACCATTATGTCATCTAGTTTCTCATTCTGTCCTGCTTAGCATATAACTTCTTCATTATTGTACTCTCCATAGTTCCTCCTGAATAGAAAGTATCAAATCTCCTCTTCACGTCTTCACTGTAATTATCATTCTTATCTGACATAAAACAGTGATTAAAGTAACCCATCTCTAGAACTAATTTGATATATAACAATAAAAACTTCTTGACAAATTTCAATGTCATCTGGGTGGTTTAGATATGTACACACTCTGTTATTGATTTTCCCTCCTTTGATAATACAGCACTACTTATTTTTAGGTTTTCTCTAACTCAAAAGGAAAAAAATGCTGTTTTTATTCTTACTCTCACTAAACGCTTTTATTTAAAGTGTAAGTGACCATTTGGTAGAAGTCACATAGATTGTGCAATATTTTAATCCAAGTGAGCAATCTGGTTCTAATACCTTTTGCTTGTGGGTGGGGACACCCATTTTTGCTACTTCAATGGCCTACAATTCAACCTGATCCCAAGACTTTTGCTATTCATCTCTCCTCCCGCATTTAGCTGTTCCGTTATTCCATTGTTATATTATTGTGGGATTTATATGAATTAGCACAGAAAATGGAACTCAAGTGTTCAGATTTAAGCCTCTTTCTTTCTTTGTAGAGCCCAAGGCAGAGAAAAATGTAGATCCAGGAATCTTTTTCTTTTCTTTGTGACATTACTAAGGAGATGCTATTTTTCCATTTTATAAGTGGAAATATTAAGGCAGAGCCAACTTCGGGGACTTGCTTCAGGTTATATAGTCAATCTGGGTTGTAGTCAAGAGGAACAAAACATAAAAATAAAAGTTGGTGAAATAAAGAAACTGATGGCCCCAAACAGTATTAGCTGAAATTGCTAGTATAAAAGAACTCAAGGAAAGTTTAAGTAAAATTGTGGTTGATTGCACTTTAATAGGAACTTAAGGACATTTAGGAGTTGTTTCTAAGCTTGTGAGGCCTTGATTATGAAGGAAGTTGCAACTATTTCCTACAAAATGCCTCTTGGTACTATTGTCAGACAGTTGGTCTAAGCCAGTGTGGCAATTCTTACTTTATTATGTTTCCCCAAGCCCCTTTTGGTGTTTTATCTAGTGGAGCATTCATCTGAGACAAACAGCTTATGTACTCTTTCTCGCCAAGCAGAAGCTAGAATGAATGAGAAAATCGCATAAGAAAATCTGTCCTCCTGATTTCCCACATGAAACTGGCTTGGAGAGTCACTGTTCCCTTGACAGGAGCCTTCTGCAGGCTCCACCAATACTTGTCAACCGCCTGGCTTGTTGTGGGGGTGGCGGCAGCTGCTACTTCTGCTTCTTCAAAATAAAAACCGCAAATAAGTATATTTAGAAAGTGTGTCCATCCTAGTTCATCTTCCCAGCTGTTTTCCTGGTGGAATTAGATTAGCAGTGTAAGTGAAATCTTTTCTGAACCTCATCGAAATCCAGACTTGCCTAGTAAATGGCTTCATTCATTATTTTCATTTACCTACATTCTAATTTAGTTTTTCTTATTTTTATGAACAGTTACTATATACCAAGTACTGTGCAAAAGGCTTTACAGACAATATCTCATTTAATCTCAAAACAGCCTTACAAAGTGGGTGTTACCACCCGTATATGGCAACACCAGGTTTAAGTGACTCACCTAGGTCACTCAGCAGGGTGTCATAATCTAGTCTGGCTGATTCCAGGGCCTATGTTCCAGGATACGCCATGGCCCCAGCTGAGGACTTTATTAAATAGTCTATGGTCTTGCAGAGTCAAACCTATTCTCTGGTTCTTAAAGATGGACCACTTGAAGGCAGGTCCTTGAAGAGCCATGGGCACTGACAGTTTTTGCTCACTAGGGATTGGTGGTAATGTCTCAGGTTTTCTGTGAGTTCAATTTTCATGAGCCCAGTTTCGCTTCAGTAAGTATTGATCTGGCCCTAGAACTCATGGTTTGTGTGTGTGTGCGTGTGTGTGAGTGTGTGTGCGTGTGTGTATGCACACCTGTGTTCTCTGGCTTGGAGAGTTAGCAATTACTGATGATCAGGGTTTCCTTAATCTCTCTTAGGAAGACTTCTTAGTCTTTATTTATTTGGAGGTCAAATTGTGTACAGTATTTCTCCCAGAGATTCCTTCTTAATTCAACAAAGGGAATGTTTTAGAAGAAAACAAAGGGAAAAACAATCAACACCAATCCCCAAACACCCATATACATGCACATGAAGAAAATGTGCAACATAGCTAGAGATGCATTATCAGAGCACAGATTAATTATTTGAAGCAAGGTAGACTATTAGTTTCTGTTAGCCTTGCTGGGACTTATTTCTGAGCTTCTAATTCTAGATATGAGCCCCATGATTACCTCCTTTGGCCCTGCTTAGGCCCTCTTCCATCTCTACAGTCACTCTGGTTCCTGGGCAAGTCTTCCTTAATGCGCAAGGCATTTCTCACTGTGGTTCCATGACTCCTGTCTGGAATACGGGCTATCTGGTCTACTTGCAGTCTGAGTGACGCTTAACTTCTTTACTCATTGGCATAAGGAGTGGCTGAGTTTGCTTTCTCTTGAGGTTCTGGAGTCCCAATAGTTGAAGAATTCATCCTCGGAGACTCTTCGCTCCAGTCCAGCTTCCTGCCATGCAGCAAAAGCCTGCATTTCTTCTAGTTTCAAGCCTTTGCATCACCTGTTAGATTTCTTACTATGTTCCTCCTTCAGCCTTAAAAGGTATCTCTTGTGCTCATTTGTAGGACTGGAGTTCTAAAAGAATTCTGCCCTGGTACCAATCATTCCACCTCCCTAGTTACTCTATGGGACTTACTCCAGTTGAAACCAGTAGAAAAATACCTCACACATACAGTGGCAATAGTAAACATACAAGAGAAAGAATATTCATTTTCTATATGCCTTTCTCCTATTTTATAAGATATAAAATAAGAACCTTGAATGACAATGAGCTTTTGGGGGAACATACTTTATTCCCACAGGATGTTCCCTGTTCTGGGCCTCTCACATTCATGGACATCTCATACATATGGGCATCAGGTACGATACTTTCAGTTGCAAGTAACAGAGATCAACTCTGACTCTGAAGCTGGTATAGTGGAGGCTGGGAGATCATGTCTAGAAAATGAACATGAACCAGAGAGTCAAGAAACACAAGAATCTGGCCACACCACTGCTGTGGTCATGCTGATGCCATGAATGCATTTAAACAAGACTTTGTCTTTGCTTCACCTTCTGCAAAGTCAGATGAGTGAGAACATCTGATAGGCAGGGCTTGATATGTGTCAGCCTTGCCTATCAGGTCATGAAGACAGGACGGATCACGACTCTTTGGCTTCCTCTGTGGGAACCTGTGGGAAGCCTGTATGCCCAGGGGGGTTTGTGTTCCTCAAAACCAGGCTGGATGTGGTGGCTCACATCTGTAATCCCAGCACTTTGGGAAGCTGAGGTGGAACTCCTGGCTCACTTGAGTCCAGGAGCTCAAGACCAGCCTGTGCAACATAGTGAGACCCTGTCTTAAAAAAAAAAAAAAATTAGTTAGGTGTATTAGTGCTTGCCTGTGGTCCCGGATACTTGGGAAAGTGGAAAGATTGCTTGAGCCTGGGAGTTTGAGGCCACAGTAAGCTGTGCTTGTGCCACTGCCCTTTAGCCTGGGCTACAGAGCTAGACCCTATTTCAAAACAAACAAACAAACAAACAAACAAACAAGAAAGGGGGCAGGTTGACTGCTAGACTGCCATAGAAAAATCCAATGGCCAGTTCAATGAATTTTCCTCAGTATTTAAAAAAAAAATCTCAATTAGTTTTTCTTAACACTATTCTCAATCTAGCCCTCCCTTTCGTTCTTTTCAAAATATATACCTTTTAGGTTAGCAGTTGCCTTAATACTGTTAACATTTTATACCGAGACCACAGAGTTGCTGCTAAAGTGTATAGTCAGAATTGAATTCAGAAGATTGATGTTCTCTTCAGGCTGCAGACCATCTGATTACTGGATCTCCTCTGGGCAATGAAGCTGCCTCCTTTTTCTCCTCTCTCGACCGTCAAGCTTGCACCACAGTAATAATATTTAATAAGAGCAGCAGTGAAACTATGTCATTGCTTCTCTGATGGTCAGAGTGGAACACAGCTCCAAATAAAACAGGAGTGATTGTCATACAGATAATACAGTTGTTTTAGTTCTTTCACCTTGAGAAAGGATGAGGTAGCTTGAATGCTGATTGATGCTTGTCTCTCATAGTCTACTGGAATATACATTAGGTATTTGGGTGAAACTGTGAGTTGCACTTGATCATGTATTAAACATTTTGCAAGCTATTTGCTGCTGTATATTCTGACTGGATCTTGAAAAACACCCTTGCTATTTCAGGATAAAAGAAATAAAGCTTTTGTGGTTTTGGCTGCTCTACCTAAGTCAGGAGACTCTTTTTCTGAGAATATTTAAACATTTTGCCACATTCATCTGTCTTTTTCTCACACTATCCCAGAATAACTGAAGATATGTAATACAGGGAAACCTTATTAAAAAAAAAACTTCTACCTAAAGAAATCTGAATTTATATAACAGAAAAATTGTGGAGAGATTATTTATATTAAAAAAGATTTTCTTTTTTTTTTCACAAAAGTGTTCACGTTAGGCTTTCTTTAAATAGCAAAGTCCCTTACTGGATTAAAATATGACTGAATTTCTCTTTCAGAAATGCATCTACTGTTTAAAACAAGCCATGTTTTATGTCATCCAATTTTATAACTGAAGAACTGAGAATAATTCAGAAAAAAGTCACAGAAACTTTGTGTGGATCTAGGAAGATAATTCAGGGCTAACGATCACTCCTATACTCTCCTAGAAAGAGAGTAGCTTCCATGGAAATGAACTGAGACCCTTCCTTCCTAGAACCTGGAAGATTCCTGCATTAAGTCACGTCATAGTCATAAGGTCATTCAACTATTGATGACATTTTCTAACTACGTGTGGATAAGCTTTTATGTTGATGGTTCAGATTTTCTGCTTTGGAAAAAAGGAATTTTAGTGTATTTGACTTCTAACAATAAAATATATGCAAAGAAAAGTCTGTCATTAGATTCCCTAGTTTGTAATTTAGGGGAAGATATTTCACTTCAACCTTTCTGGGCCTTAGTTTCTTCACTTATAAAATGAAGGTTTTGAACTAGATAATCTCTGAGTCCTTTTATAGCTCCCAAACTTGCTTCTTAGTTGTTTCTTTTATTTTTAAATAAGAGTAACACAAATCCTGTAATTCTGAGAGTCTAGATCACAGACTGATCTCATCTATGCTTTATCTTTTCATTTTATAAATGCTCTTGGTGTTTGTAAAGCTTATGTCCAGACTTGAAGCCAGTTAGAGGCCTAAAGAACAGTGCAAAAGAATGTTAGATATACCTGGATACTCTTCCTCTTCTTTTTAAAAAAATTTAATGAGGAACAAAATCTTAGATTGTTACACAGCAGAGGTGCAATAAAGAATAAAAATGCAAGGGAGGAAAAGTCACAAAGCCAATGAACAAAAATTCCCCTGTGGTGAGGGTCTTAAAGCAGGTGTAGTGGTTTATCATTTTACTGAATGAGCTCTGGGTCTGGTGGGTTAAAACAAGATCCTCTGGTTAAGTGGGACAATGAAACATAGATGGGGAAGCAATAGCCCTGCTAAAGACTGAATATTTATATCCCCTCAAGTTCATATGTTAAAATCTAATCTCCAATGTGGTGGTATTTGGAGGTAGGGCCTTTGGGAGTGATTAGGTCATGAGGATGGAGCCCTCATGAATGAGATTAGTGCCCTACCAACCAGGGAGCTCACCTAAACATCTGTGTCCAGAGCTTTTATTGGGGCTTCATTATATAGGCATGATTGATTGAAGTATTGGCCAAAATATTGAATACAATCTCCAGCCCTCCTCCTTATAGGTCAGGCTAATATCACATGGCTCAAAGCCTCAATTCTCTAATCACATGATTGGTCTTTCTGGCATGACCAGCCTCCATCCTGAGTAATCTCTTTGGCTTAAGCTATTATAGGCGTCAGAAGTCACCTCATTAGCATAAACCTTCAGGGCCCACCATGAATAACAAAGACACTCATGTCACTCTGGAAATTCTAAGGATTTAGAGGATTCCTTCTAGGAACCAGGGAATAGAACCAACCAAACTCTTTATTATGTAACATATTGCTTTTGGCTTTTGTCTGTTCTGTAGCTTTTGTAAGGAATATGACTAGCAAGTTGTTAAATCTCTCTCTTTCTCTGACGAGACTTCAAGACTGAATTGAAGTCATTAATTGGTTTAGAGTCAGAGTAGCAGAATGGTTAACAGTGTGGGTTTGGAGATCAGGCTGCTTGGGTTAATCTTGGTTTCACATCTTACTAGCTTGGTGGTCCTGGACAAGTTTCTTAACCTCTCTAAGCCTCAGTTTCCTCTTCAGTAAAATGATAGGTTATCATGATGAATTAAGCTAATGTCTGTAATGTGCTTAGCATGGTGCTGGGCACACAGAAGCAGTCAAGGTTTGCTACTAACGATTGCGTTAGGATTTTAGAAAAGCTGTTGACTATTTCTAAATGTTTACTTTCTAAAGGTGGCATGCCCTAAATATATTCAGGCCAGTGGTTGTATCAGATTTTTAGTTTTTAGGCACTGATTCTTTGTTAAAGGAAATCTTTCACAAAATCCGAATCTAGAAAGCCGATGAAATCTATATTAAGCTGAACTCCTCTAGTCAAAGAGGGTCAGGCACATCTAGCCACCTTTTAATCTCTGGGGAATTAAGATCTGTTTGAGGAAGTTAGTTTGAAAACTGGTCTAGACCACAACCAGTCACCTCACCTTCAACCTCCCCTCCACCAGCTCCCATAGCAGGGTTAACAGAGCAAATCTGTGTGTGTCAAAGTCAGGCTATAATTTTCTTATTTCAGTTTCTCCATGAGCAAAATGGGGAAGATAATGCCAGCTTTGTTGTGGCAGTGAATTAGATAATGTCTGTAAACTATTTTGAGTCTTTAGAGATCAGTTTTAGGGACAAAGACCTTTGCCATCTTTAATTTTTAGCTTACTTTAAAAATAAGATATCCTAAACACACCACTTAAAAATGGGTCAAACAGTCGTTTTGTCTATTCTTGGGATAAGGTGGAAGCAATGATTTAATCACCACAGAAGAAATGTGCTCTGATTAATTGGGAAGAAAGATTTTAAAATTAGAGTTATTCAGAAAGCCTGTCAGGAGACCAGGAAGAGAGGAAAGGATGTGTGTCAACACCTACAGAAAGCTGTCTGTGAAGCTGGGTTATAACCTGATACTTCTGGTCTTCCCTGTAACTAAATGTCCTTTGCTGAGGCCTGAGGCAGACCCTTACTCTGGGTTTCCTGTTCCTGTATGACTAGTTTCAGTCAGGCTTTACGTAGTCATTCTGCCCTGCAGAGCAATCACAGGAGGTAAGAAGGCATGGTCGTTAATAGCATGGGCTATGCTGTTGGACTTGAATTTGGTCTTGTTTCTATCACATTCTGTAATTTAGTTGAAAAATGGAAATAACACCTATCTCAAGGGTTTGTTGCAAAGACTACATGAGATTATACATGCACAGCGCTTAGTACAGTGTCTGATACATAGTAAATGTTCTTTTTTTTTTTTTTTTTTTTTTTTTTATTATACTCTAAGTTTTAGGGTACATGTGCACATTGTGCAGGTTAGTTACATATGTATACATGTGCCATGCTGGTGCGCTGCACCCACTAATGTGTCATCTAGCATTAGGTATATCTCCCAATGCTATCCCTCCCCCCTCCCCCGACCCCACCTCAGTCCCCAGAGTGTGATATTCCCCTTCCTGTGTCCATGTGATCTCATTGTTCAATTCCCACCTATGAGTGAGAATATGCGGTGTTTGGTTTTTTGTTCTTGCGATAGTTTACTGAGAATGATGGTTTCCAATTTCATCCATGTCCCTACAAAGGATATGAACTCATCATTTTTTATGGCTGCATAGTATTCCATGGTGTATATGTGAGTAAATGTTCTTTAGCAGCTGTCATTATCATTTTAGAGACAGAGTCTTGCTGGCATTATCTTCCCCATTTTGCTCATGGAGAAACTGAAATAAGAAAATTATAGTCTGACTTTGACAAGCACAGATTTGCTCTGTTAACCCTGCTATGGGAGCTGGTGGAGGGAAGGTTGGAGGTGAGGTGATTGGCTGTGGTCTAGACCAGTTTTCAAACTAACTTCCTCAAACAGATCTTAATAGGTGGCTAGATGTGCCTGACCTTCTTTGACTGCAATCCAGGCTGGAGTGCAGTGGCGTGATCATAACTCACTGCAGCATCCAACTCCTGGGCTCAAGGGATCCTCCCACTACTGCCTCCCAAGTAGCTGGGAGTACAGGCATGCACCACTATACCTGACTTATCTTTTAAAACACTTTTTTTTTTTTTTTTTTTTTTGTAGAGACAGGGTCTCACTTTATTTCCTAGGCTGGTCTTGAACTCTTGGCCGCAAGAAATCCTCCCACCTAGGCCTCCCAATGTGCTGGGATTGCAGGCATGAGCCACCGTGCCTAGCCCCATCAGCAGTTATTTAAAACATCATTGGTATTTATTATCATTATTAATTATGTTTGCTATCATGGATACTAAATATCTGCCCATCTAGATCTATTACCCTGATCTAAAATTCTAAGTTCTAACATTACCAAAAAGAACTTGAGAAGAAATGCCTTTCCATAGCCAGAAAACTTGAAGCTGAAGGGATTTTGATTTGCTCAAAGGTATTCTGTGAGTCCTTTTTATCTGTCTTCATGATCTGGACCCTATAGCTATAAGCTTTCATGTGGGGAATAGTGCTTCAAAATGAAGTGACCATTTACAATATGAGTCCCCAGTGCAATATCCCTCCTTGGGTAATATTAGGTACTATCTTGGCTCATTTCATCAATATCTTTTTTGACTAGTCTTTTACTGATTGCCCCAAGTTGTTAACTTCAGATGATACAATTAAAACACAAAGAAAACTGGTTGCAAAGAAAAACTGCAAAATTGTTTTAAATGTTTTTCTTTTTTTAATTTTAAGAGCTTTAGGGGTACAGGTGTTTTTTGGTTACATGGTTGAATTGTATAGTGGTGAAGTCTGGGATTTTAATGTACCTGACACCTGAGTGGTATACATGGTACCCAAAAGGTAGTTTTTCGTTCCTTACCTCCCTCCGAACGTCCTCCTTTATGAGTTTTCAAAGTCCATTATACCACTGTGTATGCCTTTGCATACTCATAGCTTAGCTCCACTTATGAGAACATGCAGCATTTGATTTTCCATTTGAGTACATCACTTAGGAAAATGGTCCCCAGTTCCATTCAAGTTGCTACAAAGGACATAGCATAAAAAACATCCTTTTTGGCGATTGAGTAGTATCACATGATGTGTATGTACACCGCATTTTCTTGATCTACTTGTTGGGCTCTTAAGTTGATTCCATATCTTTGCAATTGTGAATTGTATTATCATAAACACACATGTGCAGGCAACTTTTTGATATAACGGCTTTTGTTTTCTTTGGGTAGATACTCAGAAGTGGGATTGCTGGATCAAATGGTAGTTCCTTTAGTTCTTTAAAAAATCTCTATACTGCTTTCCATAGAGGTTGTACTAGTTTACATTCCCACCAACAGTGTATAAGCATTCCCTTTTTACTACATCTATCTGGGCCAACATCTATCATTTCTTGACTTTTTAATAATGGCCATTTTGGCTGGGGTAAGGTGGTATCTCATTGTGGTTTTAATTTACATTTCTCTGATGATTAGTGATGTTGAACATTTTTTTCATGTATTTTTGGCCATTTGTATATTTTCTTTTGAGAAATGTCTATTCATATCACTTGCCCACTTTTAAATTTAATCGTTTTTCTTTTTTTGCTGATTTATTTGAGTTCCTTGTAGATTTTGGATATCAGTCCTTTGTTTGATGTAAAGATTTTCCCCCAGCCCATAGATTTTGTCTGTTTACTCTGATGATTATTTCTTTTGCTGTTCAGAAGCTTTTTAGTGCAATTAAGTCCCATATATTTATTTATTTAACATTTTGCTTCATTTGCTTTTGGGGTCCTAGTCATAATTTTTTTTGCCTAAGCCAATGTCCAGAAGAGTTTTTCCCAGATTTTGGTCTAGAATTTTGATGGTTTCAGTTCTTAGATTTAAATCTTTAATCCAGTCCCCTCTCCCCTCTCCCCTCTCCCCTCTCCCCTCTCCCCACGGTCTCCCTCTCCCTCTCTTTCCACAGTCTCCCTCTGATGCCGAGCCAAAGCTGGACTGTACTGCTGCCATCTGGGCTCATTGCAACCTCCCTGCCTGATTCTCCTGCCTCAGCCTGCCGAGTGCCTGCGATTGCAGGCACGTGCCGCCACGCCTGACTGGTTTTCGTATTTTTTTGGTGGAGACGGGGTTTCGCTGTGTTGGCCAGGCTGGTCTCCAGCTCCTAACCGCTAGTGATCCGCCAGCCTCGGCCTCCCGAGGTGCCGGGATTGCAGACGGAGTCTCGTTCACTCAGTGCTCAATGGTGCCCAGGCTGGAGTGCAGTGGTGTGATCTCGGCTCGCTACAATCACCTCCCAGCCGCCTGCCTTGGCCTCCCAAAGAGCCGAGATTGCAGCCTCTGCCCGGCAGTCACCCCGTCTGGGAAGTGAGGAGCGTCTCTGCCCGGCCGCCCATCGTCTGGGATGTGGGGAGCGCCTCTGCCCCGCCGCCCCGTCTGGGATGTGAGGAGCGCCTCTGCCCGGCCGCGACCCCGTCTGGGAGGTGAGGAGCGTCTCTGCCCGGCCGCCCCGTCTGAGAAGTGAGGAGACCCTCTGCCTGGCATCCGCCCCGTCTGAGAAGTGAGGAGCCCCTCCGTCCGGCAGCCACCCCGTCTGGGAAGTGAGGAGCGTCTCCGCCCGGCAGCCACCCCGTCCGGGAGGGAGGTGGGGGTCAGCCCCCGCCAGGCCAGCTGCCCCGTCAGGGAGGGAAGTGGGGGGGGTCAGCCCCCCGCCCGGCCAGCTGCCCCGTCCGGGAGGTGAGGGGCGCCTCTGCCCAGCCGCCCCTACTGGGAAGTGAGGAGCCCCTCTGCCCGGCCATGACCCCGTCTGGGAGGTGTACCCAACAGCTCATTGAGAACGGGCCATGATGACAATGGCGGTTTTGTGGAATAGAAAGGCGGGAAAGGTGGGGAAAAGATTGAGAAATCGGATGGTTGCCGTGTCTGTGTAGAGAAGTAGACATGGGAGACTTTTCATTTTGTTCTGTACTAAGAAAAATTCTTCTGCCTTGGGATCCTGTTGATCTGTGACCTTACCCCCAACCCTGTGCTCTCTGAAACATGTGCTGTGTCCACTCAGGGTTAAATGGATTAAGGGCGGTGCAAGATGTGCTTTGTTAAACAGATGCTTGAAGGCAGCATGCTCGTTAAGAGTCATCACCACTCCCTAATCTCAAGTACCCAGGGACACAAACACTGCGGAAGGCCGCAGGGTCCTCTGCCTAGGAAAACCAGAGACCTTTGTTCACTTGTTTATCTGCTGACATTCCCTCCACTATTGTCCTGTGACCCTGCCAAATCTCCCTCTGCGAGAAACACCCAAGAATGATCAATAAAAAAATAAATTAAAAAAAAATCTTTAATCCATCTTGAGTTCATTTTTTTATATGGTGAGTGATAGGGATCCAGTTTCATTCTTCTAGATGTGGCTTGCCAATTTTTTAGCACTGATTATTGAGTAGGGTGTCCTTCCCCCAGTTTATGTTTGTGTATGCTTTGTCAAAGGGAGGCCGAGGCGGGTGGATCATGAGGTCAGGAGATCAAGACCATCCTGGCTAACAAGGTGAAACCCCGTCTCTACTAAAAATACAAAAAATTAGCCGGGCGCGGTGGCGGGCGCCTGTAGTCCCAGCTACTCGGGAGGCTGAGGCAGGAGAATGGCGTGAACCCGGGAAGCGGAGCTTGCAGTGAGCCGAGATTGTGCCACTGCAGTCCGCAGTCCGGCCTGGGCGACAGAGCGAGACTCCGTCTCAAAAAAAAAAAAAAAAAAAGGTCAGTTGGTTGTAAGTATTTGGCTTTATCTTGGGGTTCTTTTTTCTGTATCACTGGTCTATGTATACACTTTTATACCAGTACCTTACTGTTTTGGTTACTATTGCCTTGTAGTATAATTTGAAGTCAGGCAATGCGATGGCTCCAGATTTATTTTTCAAGCTTAGGATTGCTTTGGCTATTTGGGTTCTTTTTTGGTTTCATATTAATTTTAGGATGTTTTTTCTAAGTCTGTGAAAAATGATATTGGCATTTTAATAGGAACTACACTGAATCTACAGATTGTTTTGGGCAGTGTGGTAATTTTCACAATATTGATTCTTCCAATCTATCAGCAATGAGATGTATTTCCATTTGTTCGTATCAACTATGATTTCTTTCAGCAGTGTTTTGTAGTTCTTGTAAATATCTTTCAACTCCTTGCTTAAATATATTCCTAAGTATTATATAATTTTTTTGGTAGCAATTGTAAAAGGAATTGAGTCCTTGATTTGATTCTCAGCTTGCTCGTTGTTGGTGCATAGCAGTGCTACTGATTTGTGTACATTTATCTTGTAACCTGAGACTTTACTGAATTCATTGATCAAATCTAGGAGTCTTTTGGATGTGTCATTAGGGTTTTCTATGTGAATGATCATATATCAGTGAACAGCGATGGTTACACTTCCTCTTTTCCAGTTTGAATGCCATTTATTTCTGTCTCTTGCCTGATTGCTCCAGCCAGAACTTCCAGTAGTATGTTGAATAGAAGTGGTGAAAGCTGGCATCTTCGTCTTGTTCCAGTTCTTAGGGGGAATGCTTTCAACTTTTCCCCATTCAGTATGATATTGGCTATGGGTTTGTCATATATGGGTTTGTCTTATTTTGTGGTATGTTCTTTCTATGCCTAGCTTATTGAGGCTTTTTATCATAAAGGGATGTTCATTGTATTGAATTTTTTCTGCGTCTATTGAGATGATCATATGGTTTTTGTTTTTAATTCTGTTTATGTGATGAATCGCATTTATTGAATTGCGTATATTGAACCATCCCTCCATCCCTGGGATGAAACCCACTTAAGCCTGGTGAATTTTTTTTATATGTTGTTAGATTCATTTTGCTAGCATTTTGTTGAGGATTTTTGTATCTATGTTCATAAGGAATATTGGCCTGTGATTTCCTTTTTTTGTTATGTCCTTTCCTGGCTTTGATACTGGCTTTATAGGATGAGTAAGGATGATTCCTTCCTTCTGAATAGTTTGTAATAGTTTCAACTATTGAGAAGGAGTAATATTAATACCAGTTCTTCTTTGAATGTCTGGTAGAATTTGTGAATCCATTTGGTCCTGGGGCTTTTTATTTGTTGGCAGATTTTAAAAATTACCGATTCAATCTCAGTGCTTGTCATTGGTCTTTTCAGGATTTTTATTTCTTCCTGATTCAAGCTAGGGGGGTTGTATGTTTCCAGTAATTCATCCATTTCCTCTAGTTTTTCCACTTTATTTGTGTAGAACTTTTCATAGTAGTCTTGAACCATCTTTTGTATTTCCATGGCGTCAGATGTAATGCCCTATTTTCATTTCTAACTGAGCTTATTTGAATCTTCTCTCCTTGGTTAATCTAGCTAGTGATCTACCAATTCTGTTTACTTTTTCGAAGAACCACCTTTTTTTTTTTTTTTCTCTTTTAGTCAGAGTCTGGCTCTGTTGCCCAGGCTGGAATGCAGTGGCATGATCTCAGCTCATTGCAACCTCCGGTTCCCAGGTTCAAGCCATTCTCGTGCCTCAGCCTCCTGAGTAGCTGGGATTACCGATGTGTACCACCATGCCTGGCTAATTTTTGAATTTTTAGTATAGACAGGGTTTCACCATGTTGGCCAGGCTGGTTTCGAACTCCTAACCTCAAGTGATCCACCCACCTCAGCCTCCTAAAATGCTGGGATTATAGGCATGAGCCATCATGCCCTGCCCAACTTTTTGTTTCACTGGTTTTTTTTTTTTTTTTTTTTTTTTTTTTTTTTTGGTTTTCATTTCATTTTGTTCTGTTCTGATTTTTGTATTTCTTTTCTTCTGCTAGCTTTGGGTTTGGTTTGTTCTTGGAAAACTGCAAATTTTTTAAAGGAAGCAAGATTTCATGAAGGTGATTAAAGTGATATTGGGGAACTGTTGAATCAGTCATTAATTTAAGAAATACTTATTGGGTACCTACTTGGGTGTCCAAATTGGGTACCATTTTCTAGGTACTAAGTGTTAGAGATTAACGTTGACTATTCCAGCCTTCATGGACCTGACATGCCAAACTTCCATAAAACCACTGGCAAATGGATCTGGTGAAGTTGAACCAGTTAACAATCAGAAGAGATAATCAAAAATATGATGTGATAGATGCTTTCAGTGGATTTAAAACATTTCTGCAAATTCTTTGACATTCTTCCTACAAAAGGTGAAACGTAATCTTTCTCTCCTTGAAGATGGGTGGACTTTAGAAGTTTGCTTCCAAAGACGAGAGTTTAGCAGAAGTGATGCTGTATGACTTCACAAGCTAGGTCATAAAAGTGAAATGGCGTCTGCCTTCTCTTTCAGGGGCCCACCTGAAGCTGCCATGCTGGGAAGACCATGTGGTGAGATCAGAGAGAAATGGAGAAAGATGCTTAAGGAGTGCTTGTTGTTTTGTTCCCCAGCTGTTGGAGTCTTCCCAGGCCAGATGCCAGATGTATGAGTTAACAAGCCGACAGGTGACACCGCTCCCAGACTGACCCCATCAGCTGGGACGAGTGGAGAAAGGGTGAGCTATTCCCACTGTGCCCTGCTCAAACTGCCCATTTTTGAGCAAAATAGGTGTTATTCTAAGCCAGTAAGTTTTGGGGAAATTTGTCACAGAGTTATTTTCCAATAACTGGAAAAATGCCTCAAGTGAGCATGATAGGAATATCAAAGGATTAATAGAGATCCATGAGAAAACTGAAGAAACCTTTGCATATTTTTTGCAGAAATAACACTCTTTATAATGATTCTGTTTAAGTCACATGGGAAATGATGGATGTCAAATGGGGTAGTTATTCAATTCAGTTAAGAAGAGAAAGAAGGAAATGAAGGATCATTGTTGTATTT
Source organism: Homo sapiens (assembly GCF_000001405.40). Lineage (NCBI taxonomy): Eukaryota > Metazoa > Chordata > Mammalia > Primates > Hominidae > Homo > Homo sapiens. The sequence goes on from NC_000004.12 coordinate 57,228,704, forward strand.
AGGTGTTAGAGGGAGGTAGTGATCCTATCAGAGTGTGCTACTATCCAAAAAACATCTTCCAGATGGTTCCTAAAACAAAGACCCTGCAGTTGGAAGTGGTTAGAAAGGCCTTGCCTTATATGAGACTAACAACACAATTCATGGTTCATTAGAACCAGCTTTTACTTTGAACATCAAGATGCATGAATATCACACAGAGAATAAGGGGTCAACCATTTAAGCTTGGGAACTGAACTACTTGGAGTTCTTGTTTTGCATGCTCAGTCCCTTAGGATGGAACTGGCGTTTTCTTAGTGATTGTTTTCTTCACTAATGTAGTTAGGAAGAAGAGAGAATTTTTGCAGAATGTGGAATTTGGCAGAGGGAGAATATATTGGACTGGCTGCATTTCCTTGCCTCTGGGCATGGTTTACTCCTTAAAGGTTAGAGCCAAGGGTATTCTTTATCTTCCAACATTTTCATTTAGGGCAATCAAACACCACAGTCTGCAGTCTTCAGCTTTAGTCAATCTCAGACTTCAATACAGAGGATGGTATTTTATTATCTCCTTGGGTTGTTTTCGGAACTTTGAAAAAAGTTGCGCAAACGCTTCTACTGACTGGATGACTATAACAGGGTAGAACAAACCACTAGAGTCTAGTTTCACTTAGGAAAGCAATTTTCATTGTTCAGGACACCTGTAGTAAGGATACTGGTACAAGTAGGCTTTGGATTTCTTAGAAACCTCTTCTGTAAGTAGTCAGTACTCCCATTTTATTGAAGGCACAGAGAGGGGATTTGGCAAATAAAAAAAATTGTTCATCGTAGACACTATAATTTTGTAGGCACTATAATTTTGTTTTTAAAGCTTTTACTGGCCAGCACAAACCTGATTTACCCACAATGAGCTTTTTTCTCTTCATAAACAAATGTACATCTGAAATCCTTTAGGGATGAATGTAGGAAGATCTGTCTGCTATGCCTGACTGTAGACTCAAAGTCTCAGTCCCAGCCTTGGCTTTCTAGCTACCACATGACCATGCTTGAGCCACTAAACCCATTGAATCTCAGTGTCCACACCTGCAAATTGGGAGTAAGTCATAACTACCTGCCACTGGGATCAGAGGCTTGCATGAGGGGCTTGTGGATGGCCTCAGACAGGACCTGGCATAGAGTAGCTGCTCCATGAGTACTAACTGGCAACCTATGGACTCCTCTGAGCCTTACCTTTCTTATCAGCATGACAGGAGTGCTGTGAGGAGCAAGATATGTGTGACAGGGAAGATGCAATGCAAGAGACAAATATAAGGTGTGTAGCTATTCACTTCCATCTAGGGATTAAGAGAGATGTTGTGAACCCAAAATATCTGAGATAGGTCTCAGTCAATTTAGAACGTTTATTTTGCCAAGGTTAAGGACGCACCTGTGACACGACCTCAGGAAGTCCTGATGACATGTGCCCTAGGTGGTCAGGGTACAGCTTGCTTTTATACAGTTTAGAGAGACATGAGATATCAATGAATATGTGTAAGATGTACATTGGTTCCGTTTGGTAAGGTGAGACAACTTGAAGTGGGGGCTTCCATTAGAAGTAGATAAGAGACAAAAAATTGCATTCTTTTGAGTCCTTGATCAGCCTTCCACTAAATACACAATTTAGTCTGGTTCAGTGAATCTACATTTTTACATAAACAATAGAGCAGAGGAAGCAATCAGATATGAATTTGTCTCAGATGAGCCTCAGAGGGTTGACTTTGAGTTCTACCTGTCCTTTGTCTGCAAGGAATTTCCTTGTTGGCAAATTATCAGGGAGGTATGTAGTTTTTTATCTTTGTAGCTATGTTATTTAGAAATAAAATGGGAGGCAGATTTGCCTGATGCACTTCCCAGCCTGACTTTTCCCTTGGCTTAGTGATTTTGGGGCCCTGAGATCTATTTTCTTTTCACAATGTCAGTGGAGGCTATGAAGAGGGTGCCCTGAATAAGCAGTCTTCAAGATGATTTGCACAACAGCAGGAGGTGGGCAGCTGGAAAAGTCATCTGGCAATTAGGGGTTAAGGACTAATGTTCACACCACAAATGTGGGCCCTGCTCTTTATCTGTAAAGCAGAAGGGAACATCACTGTCATTTGTCAGAAGTGGGTGTATCATTCTTGGGCCTTTGGCAGGTTGGCATTTGTGATATTGTGATACAGTAAGAAACATGTTTTTGGTCTTCACCCCTGGTTTCTGGCACGGAGCTTCTGAAACCCTTGGAATTTCTTGGGAGATTGGGTGTGAGAGGAACATCCATTTATAATAAGCTCCTTTCAACCACACTCAAGTTTGTGCTAATGCAGTGACTCTGGGAGGAGTCACAAACCAGGGGAACCAACCATATGATTAGAGGGTTAGAATTTACAGCCCCACCCCCAAACAGGAGAGGGGACAGTGGCTGGAACTTGGTTTAATCACCTGTAACCAAAGATTTAGTTAAGCATGCCTACATAATGAAGTCTCCATAAAAGCCCCAATAATAGGGTTTGGAGAGCTTCTGGAATGGTGAGCACATGGAAGTGCTGGGAGGGTTTTGCATCCCCAGAGGGCACGGAGACTCTATACCCCTTCCCCATTCCTTACTCTACTAATCTCTTCTATTTGCTGCTCCTGAGTTGTATTCTTTATAATAAAGCAGTAAGAGTAAGGAATGTAAACTGTTTTCCTGAGTTCTATCGGCTTTCTAGCAAACTATCAAACCACAGGAGGGGGTTGTGGAAACCCCCAATTTATAGCAGATTGGCCAGAATTATGGGAGGCCTGGGCTGGGGATTAATATCTGAAGTAGGGGAAGTCTTGTGGGATTGAGTCCTTAACCTGTGAAATCTACACTAACCTTGGGTAGTTAGTGTCAGAATTAAATTGTAGGACACCAGTTGGTGTCTGCAGAGAACTAGAGAATTGCTTGGTGGAAAACAACACATGTGATGTCAGAAGTATTGTGTAAGTATAAAAAAAGTTTTCTTTTATTAGACCTCACCTCACCTGAGCACTGGCTGGAACTTTTGGGCTGTCATAGCAATTTACCTGAACTAGTTCAGTATCAAGCCTATTCGGTGTGCAATGAGACAGCGCAGGGGTTAAGGGTAGCAGTGAGGGTAGGATGCTTAGCAGGTGGACACTGCAAGTGACCTAGCATGGAAAAATGCCAGTCGCAAACTAGGTGCAAGTGGCAGGTCCTGTGTGCAACTAAAACAGCTTCTTCACTGGCAATATGGTTCTTGCAAACAGAGTCCCTCCTGCCTGGTACATACTTAAGTGATTAGTTGATGTGGGTGATTAATGTGGTGCAGTGGGGAGGAACAGCTAAGGAGAAGGAAGTTAAAGGTCAACCAGTTGGAGGAAAAAATAATTAAGTTATTAATATTAGGTGTGTTCTTAATCTTGGAGGCAATTTACTTGTTGCATCTAATGAAATAGATGTGAAACTTAGTCTCAGCCTTGGGTTCTCTCTGGCTCTCTCTCCAACCTTGTTTCTATTTCGTACCTTCTGTCTCTGATTTCCTTAGTCTGTGTTTCCCCTCCTTCTTTGCAAACTATGTCCCATTTCTCCCCTGCCTTTCTCTTTCTTCTGTTTCTCAGTCCCTCTTTGTTTTTTCTTCTCCACCTTTGTGTATCTCTCTCTTTCTCAGAGGAAGGAGATTTTCTTTCTCGCTCCTCTTTATTAGATTACAAAAATAAGTGAATAAAAGCAATCTACTTCAATGATCTAAATAAGAACCACTGGAATACGGACACCACCACCTTCTCACACTGGCAAAGAGTATTTCAAGATGTCTGAAACACCCTTGTACGCATTGGTCTTCATCAGTCTTCTGGAAACTAACCTTCAAAAAATGTAGGGCGGGAATTATTATTCTCATGTTTGTTTGTTTGTTTGTTTGTTTATTTATTATTTTGAGATGGAGTCTCGCTCTGTCACCCAGGCTGGAGTGCAGTGGTGCGATCTCAGCTCACTGCAACCTCTGTCTTCCGGGTTTAAGCAATTCTCCTGCCTCAGCCTCCCTAGTGTCTGGGATTACAAGCATGCGCCACCACACCCGGCTAATTTTGTAGTTTTAGTAGAGACAGAGTTTCTCCATGTTGGCCAGGCTGGCCTTGAACTTCTGACCTCAAATGATCTGCCCACCTCAGTCTCCCAAGTGCTGGGATTACAGGAGTGAGCCACCATGCTGGCCTATGCTTATGTTTTACATAGGTTAAGTCTCAGAGGTTAGAAACTTGCCCAAGGTCAACCATGGGCTGGGGGCAGAGTCTGGGCCACTCTTCAGAGGCTGAAGCATATGCTTCAACCAGGGGGATGCTCCCTCAAGTACAGAGATGAATTCCAATCAGGACCCAGATTTTCTAACCTAGGCCCATCTGGTCTTGTCTGGAATATAGGATATGTGACAAGGTTTAGGGTCAGGACTAAGGATACTCTGTACTCCACCTTCCAACCAGTTTTAGGTCAAGTTGACTGAAAAGAACACCAAAGGAAAAAGAGGGGTGAAGTAGGAGAAAGAAGAAAAACAATCCCAAAATGGCAAAAGGAAACTTGCATCTTAAGGGGCTATGAGAAAAGTGTGTTTAATTTCACAGAAGCTGGAATCAAATTTCCTTGTTTCAAATCCCAGCTCAGACAACTAACTAAATAATTCTGCTATCTTGGGCAAGTTACTTAACCTCTCCCATCCTCCATTCCCTCATCGGCAAAATAAGGAGAATTATGATCCTTACATAAGAGGGTTGCTTGTGTGTATAAAATGAGATAATCCATATCAAAATGTCCAGTACAGTAAACAAGTTTTCAATGAATGATGATGAAAACAAGTCCCCATTTGTTTCGTTTTTAACATTAGCTGGTACTGCTGCTACCACTCCAGACTGAGTCACTGCCTGGAATCATCAGATATGTACTGAGTGCTTTACATTAGCTGGGAGCCAAGTTCTGCAAAAACAAAAGTAAACAAAACATATTTTCTGATCGAAGACAGTACTGCCTATTGGGTGAGACATGCCATTTTGTTCCGTGGGAATTTCAATACAGTGTGACTGATGTGTGTTGAGATAATATGGGAAGCCAGGAGGGGGCATCCAGTCAGGGCCCCCCCAGATCTGGATGCTAGTGTTCCTCTTTTGATTTGCAGATGGAGGCAGTCTCTGCACAGGACTTCATCTTACCAGATTTAGCAGGCAGGGATCACTGAGGAAAATAGGATGGTCTCAAGAGTATGGCCACCACGTGGGTCAAAAGCCTTGTCTGTGGGACAGATATCACCACTGGAGCACACAGGCCTCTATGCCCAGCCAACACTCCTGGCATTTTGAACATTAATACAAAAAGAGACAAATCCTTTCCAGCCATTCTGTTTGATGTTTTGTGACTGCCTCTCCCCGCCCCATGCTGCAGATGGAGATGTTTTAGCAGCGGGGAGAGCAGGCAGGACTTACTGCTCAGAAGGGTCCCCCATCAGCACAGTTGTCTGCAGGGGCAAGCATATTCATATTAGCGTTTTGTGGATAGCTACAAAAGGTATTCTCAACAAGGTCAGTGTCGCCCAGCTTTATCTCCTTATGCGCCTCTTCTCACAATAGCGTGTACAGAAAAGAAACAGCAGGGTATAGAAAAAAATAAAGCAATGGCCTGCTCTCCAAAGGCAGGGGGGATGCTGGAGTGGAACTGCAGTTCCAGTTCCTCATGGGCGGTATCAATAGTCCTGACGGCTACTACATGCCCACAGGCGGCAGAGGGCTTCGTGGTTTGGGATGGGAATGACAGGTGTGCGGGATGAACGTGGCCTTGTCTCTGCATCTTGTTGTGGTCTGAAATACACCATTGTGCTTCCCTTCACATTTCCTCTTTCTTGGGCACAAGAACATTTCTCCCGGATTAGACTAACAGTTTTAAGAGAAATTCTTGGCGTTGAAACACAATGATGCTGTGAATACTCCTCTGTGATAAGATGAGGCTTTAAGGAAACTCATTGCTGTTGCTGATTTCGTTTTCATCATTACTGATCACAACATTGTCCACAATAGACCAACACATCATTCTTAGGCAGGAGAGCAGAGTGGTTAAAAACACAGACTCTGGGCCCAGAAGCCTGGATCCAAAAGCTCTGGCTCTACTATTTACTGTGACTCTGGGCCAGGCCCTTCAATTCTCTTTTTCAGTTTCCTCATCTGTAAAATGGGGATAATATACAACCAAGGGTCACTGGCCAAATTGTTAACCTTTGTGCTTCAGGGTTTTTTTATTTTTTATTTTTTAGACAGGGTTTCATTCTGTCACCCAGGCTGGAGTGCAGTGGTGTGATCTCGGTTCACTGCAACCTCTGCCTCTCAGGCTCAAGTGACCCTCCTGCCTCAGCCTCCCAAGTAGCTGGAACAGGCATGTGCCACCATGTTTGGCTAGTTTTTCTATTTTTAGTAGAGATGGGGTTTCAACATGTTGGCCAAGATGGTCTTGAACTCTTGGCCTGAAGTGATCCACCTTCCTCCACCTCCCAAAGTGCTGGGATTACAGGTGTGAGCCACCGTGCCCAGCCTTGTGCTTTGGTTTTCATACGTATAAAATGGGGACAAGTAATGGTAACTCCTTCAAAGCATTGTGGTGAGGACTGAGATAACGCATGAATAACAAATCACTTAGCCTCTGATATGGTTTGGTTGTGTCCCCACCCAAATCTCATCTTGAATTGTAGCTCCCATAATTTCCACATGTTGTGGGAGGGACCCAGTGGGAGGTAACTGAATCATGGGGGTGGATCTTTCCTCTGCTGTACTCATGACAGTGAATAAGTCTCATGGGATCTGATGGTTTTATAAAGGCTAGTTCCCCTACACATGCTCTCTTGTCTGCCACCATGTAAGACGTAATTTTGCTGCTCCTTTGCCTTCCACCATGATTTTGAGGCCTCCCCAGACATGTGGAAATGTAAGTCCATTCAACCTCCTTTTCTTTATAAGTTATCCAGTCTCAGGTATGTCTTTATTAGCAGCATGAGAACAGACTAATACAACCTCTCTGTGCCTCAGTTCCCTCAAATGTAAATTGGGAATAATCATGCAACCCACCCTGTAGGGCTGTTGTAGGGATTTAAATGAGCACTAAACACAGTTAAAGTGCCCAGGACAGTGTGGTGAACATAGCAAGCACACAATGCACTTCAGCCATTATTTTAATGAGATCACTACCACTCTATCACATTATTTGACTACTACTATTACCATTGATTCAATGTGTATTGTCTTAAAAATGCTTCCATAGTGACCCACATATTCCAACTTGTCTCACTCTGAGTTTCCTCAGGAGCCAGCAGTTTTGCATGCTCCCTCCCCCAGTTTTGGCCTGTTTATCCACTCTGATTTTTTTATTGACTCAAATACTGCCTCCCTGGGTACCATCCACATGCACCAAGTTAATGGTGTGCTATTTGCTGAGTGAGGCTTTTCCCCATCTTGTTTCAGTCCATGAGTGGTCTCTGGAGCTCCCTCCTGACATAAAGAGCTCAGGTGTAATGTTATTAGAGCTCCCAGTGGACTCCTGGTATACCTCGGTTTTGCGAATATAACTGCTTTCAAGCAATTTCAGAATGTTATTAGCCTGAGGCTTTCACTCAGGCAGGGAGAGTCAGCATTAATTAATTAATGTTCCCAATCTTTGGCTTTCTGGAATCTTTGCTTGTATGTTTTACCTTCCAGGGTTTATGTGTCAGAATATATAAACTCTGACTCATATAACTCCCCAACCTGCTCAAATCCTTTCTGGAAATGGCAGAATACAAAATGTGAATAGTAATAGCTTAAATCTTCTCGCATCATTTATTTATTCATTCACTCTTTGAAGCATTTATTGAGTGCCTACTGCATGGCAGGCATGTTGGAGGGAAGTAGAGGTAGCAATGAGAAAGCCATGGGGAAGAGAAAGATGTCCCAGGCATGCTCAGACCCATCTTTACGGAATAAAAAAAGATAAATAAATGAATAAGAATCATAAATAACTTTTAATGAGCTCTTACTAATAGTATTGGCTATACCTGCTTTATCTTATCCGGTCCTCAGAGAACAGCTATCATTATGCCCATTTTCCAGAGGTGGAAGCTGTGGCTTAGCCAGATCAAGCAACGTGCCCAAGATCACACTGCTAGAAAGTGGCAGAACCATGATGGGAATCCAGGTGTGTTTTGTTCACAGCTCATGATCCTAAACACTACACTTTGCTGCCTCTGTAGTGGTCAGTCACGCAGGGGGGAACCTGAAGTCAGTTTGAGGAAATTGAGATGTTTTAAGGGAAAATAACCCCTGTGAATATTAGTCCTCTGGAACTTTCAGCCTGGTGTGGCATGGACAGAATGACTTTGGCTGCCCAGAGAAAGCCATCAGGCCGCGAGAACTCAGGTTGCCAGCACCACCCTGACAAGACCCAAGAGGATGTGGGGAGTGTACCACAGCTCTGCAGCAATCCTTGCACTAGCCCTGAGGAATCTGAGGCACAGAGGCTAAGTGACTTGCCCAGGGTCACAGAGCTAAAAGTGGCACTATGAATAAAAATGTGTCTCCCTCTCCCCCGCAAATTTATGTGTTGAAGACCTAACCCTAGTACCTTGGAATGTGACCTTATTAGAAAGCAGGGTTGTTGAAGATGTAATTAGTTAAGACGAGGTCACTTCAGCAGGCCTGGATCCAGTATGACTATTGTCCTTAGGAAAAGAGGAAATCTAGACACAGGCACACACATGTTCGGAAAACACTGTGTGAAGATGAAGGCAGAGATCGTTGTGGTGCATCTACAAGCCGAGGGCACCGATGACTGCCAGCAAACCCCAGCAGCTAGGAGAGAGGCATGGAGCAGATTCTCCCTCACAGCTCTCAGAAGGAACCCACCCTGCCCACACCTTGATCTCAGACTTCTAGGCTCCAGAACCCTGAGACAATACATGCTGTTGTTGAACCCACCCAGTCTATGGAACTTTGTTATGGCAGTTCTAGAAAGCTCATACAAGTGGTAATTGTTACTAGTTGGTTAATAGTTCTAATCTGGGGTGCAATAAATGTGGTATAGGGAGGGGTAGAGGGATGATGGGAGCTGGCGGGCACTGTCAGGACGTCATGCTTGGTCTTGCTTCCTAATTGCTACCTCCTCCCACTTCTGCCTCTGCACCTCACCACCAAGCGCTAATGAATAAGTATGGTTTCCATGCCGGAGACAGGCAGTGTCCTGAGCTCTTTGCATGCATTACTCTGCTTAACCCCCACACAGCCTGAACTAGAAGGTAACGTTGGTATCTCTGACTTGCAGACAAGGTGACTGTGGATTCGGAGAGGTTGAGTAACTTGCCGAAGGGCAGAGCAGAGAAGTGATGGGCTAAGATGCAAGCCCAGGCTGCCTAGCTTCTGTGTTGCCGCTTCCTCCATTGCAGCAGTCAGACCGACTCACATCGCTAGAACAGACATTTTAGAGTGATCTTCAAGATGATTTGAAGGGGAGACCTGACCACAGGGCTAGAAAGAGTTCCTCAAGGAGAAACACTATGAGCAGCAGAATATTTTGTGTCATTGGAACACAAAGCCCTGAATGTATTATTTGAATATTATCTTCTATTTTGGATATGTAAAGGTGTTCCTCTTTTCTGTCTTTATAAGGTTGTGTGGAGAGGAGCAGACATTTTCCTCCTACCCCAAAGGTGTCCTGTGAACACTTTTGGTATCGAGTTAGGGTAATTGTGAGAACACAGTTCTGCAGAATTGCACTTGTTCCCCATCCCTGCCCTCCACCCCCATCAATGCTGCAAAGAATTTGGTTCCACGGCTTTGTCAATTTTTTCAGCCAGAAAAATGTTCCACCATGTGTCTTTTGTTCTTTTTCTGAGGCGGCTGCAGAGTTATAATTTACTGGCATGTAGAGAAAGTGGATTTATTTTTCATTGCAATTCCATTTTCCCCCTCCTTTGGGATTCTTGGGAAAACCTGATTAAAATGTCAGCCAGAAGAATGGCTGGTGATCCTTTAAAAGGACTGATTAAATCAGGATGACCCAAAGCACTAACAGAAGAAAACCCTATGGGGATCTGAGTATGTAACTTTCTAGTTATTGGAGTATAGAAAAAAAAAGGTAGGAAAGAAAGAAATAAGAAGCTTTGATAGAGGAGAAGGGTGATATTAAAATTATTATAATTAACAACGGTAATAATGAACTCCACTTGAGTAATTTCTGTTCTAGGCTCTGTACTAAACTTTTGTTTTATTATATCCAAAAATTGAGACTCTTCAAGGTAGGTAGGATTGTTCCACTTTCCATATGAGGTTAAAGAAGGTACCCTTGGTCATATAGCCAGGGCCTGTCCCCTGGGGCCTGAAGCTTGTGCTTGTTAAAGGTCTTTAACAAGAAGAGACTGTCAGATCCATCCCCCGGAGGGGGCTGCACCATGCTTGGAGACTTGATTCCTTCTGCTTGGGATTTGAGCACCAACTCCTTCTGTCCTTTTCTGGGACTGGGCCTTTTTGCTCTGCTCCTATACCTGCTTCCAAAATTTCTTGCTAATTGTTTCCTGCTTAAAACTTTTCCTTTAGAGAAAAGGTACTCACAAATGTATGCATAGAAGTCCACCCAGCTCTCTGTAGCAAAGGGAGAAATTGTTGACTTAGTTGCAGCATTTTAATTTTGTGTTTTCTAAGAATTGGGTTCTAAGTATTGAACAATCCAGTGGGACCAAAATATTTGGCCTGTTTAATTCCCAGGAAGTTATATGTGGCCCCCCTGCAGCTGTGGTTACATCATAGAAAGGAAGCCAATAGGAAAGGCAGAGCAAGTGGGCCAGCCGACTTTGGCCGGGCTCATGTAGAGACTGATCTTGCGAGCTTTCCAGTTTCTTTCTTCTGTCATTCAAGGCCCAGTCCAAGTTAAACCACACAAATCTTGTCTTCTCTAGTGCCAAACATACTCATTGATTCTTTTTCCTTTTTTTTTTTTTCCCCGAGACGGAGTTTTGCTCTTGTCGCCCAGGCTGGAGTGCAAGGTTGCAATCTTGGCTAACTGCAACCTCTGCCTCCAGGACTCAAGCGATTCTCTTGCCTCAGCCTCCCACATAGCTGGGATTACAGGTGCCCACCACCACGCCCAGCTAATTTTGTATTTTTGGTAGAGATGGGGTTTCACCATGTTGACCAGGCTGGTCTCGAACTCCTGACCTCAGGTGATCCACCCATCTCTGCCTCCCAAAGTGCTGGGATTACAGGCGTGAGCCACCACACCCAGCCCATGCTCATTGTTTTTATGGCATGAAGCACCATGTGCTGTGCTTTTTCATACTATGCATTCTTTGTATTATGTTATTCTTTAATTATTTTCTTTTATAAAAATAATCCTGTCTGCCCAATAGACTGTGAGCTCTACTTGAGTACAAATGTGTCTCCCTTTACAGTGCCTGCCTTCCCCCAGCCCACCACCAACCCCCATCTTTACCTCAGCACTGACTTCAGTGCTAGGCATGGAGAGAGTTGCCCAGGATCTACTGTTGAATAACTGTTGAAAGTTTTTCTTTTAGTGTGCTCAGTTTCTATAATAAAGCAAATGTTCTGTAGAATAAAGAACTGCTCCATCATAGGGGAGAGAATGGGTGTGGGGAGCACAAAAGAGAAAATGTCAGGAAGAGGAAAAATGACTCTATAGACCATCATGCAGCCCAGTGTTGGGGAATTCCGTTAAAAGATTCCCCTGATGTATCCCTGCATTGGCAGGGGATGGGCTAAACAGATAGTAATTATTGGTGCTTGTTTGTCTCAGTTATGGTACACTTGCAGGCTTCTCTTCAGAAATAAACTACAAATTGGCAACAGGAGGAGAATATAATGCCTGAGAAATCTCAAACTCAGAGCCTCTTCTTTGTTTAGAAAGGACTGTGAAAGTAGCAGGAGATACCTGCACCTCACTGCCTTTAATGGAATAAAAATGTAATTGGATGTTCCCATGGGTCCCCTGTCTCTGTGCTGAGGAAAGTTGTAAACAGGGAGGGAACACCTCCTCTGCTGTCAATAGCATGTAGGTTGCCTTCAGAATTGTGACTTCAGAGAACACAGGACCACTCCTCTTGCCCATCATCCACTTACCTATAGGATCCCTGAATTGTTCACACAATTAAAGAATCCCACTTTCTAGCAGAGAAAAGGGGAGGGCAGAAAATATCTAAATCATACTTTAGCCCACATTTTACAGGATGTAAAGCATGGGTCTCTCTCTCTTGGGTCCTGCAATTTTCTTATCACTGTAAAAAAATACGTATAAAATCAAAGTGTTTTCTTCTCTGGAGGATGGTGATATCACTAATTTGTACAGACCCTAGACGACACATCCTTTTGGTCTTTCCAAAGGAAGAGAACTTTCTTATTACACTTCAAATCAAGAAGCTCTTTAGGAGAAATCGCAACTATCAGTCATTCACATCCTCTTTATAATCCTCTCATGTTTTTGTTTTATAATCTACCCAAAAGGGAAGAACTGAACTAATTTTAAGCAGACTTTTTAATGCAAAAATATACACAAGGGAGCAAAGGGCAAGAATTTAAATTACGTGAGATGATGACTTTTTTTTTTCAGATCATACAGTTATTTGATAACACTAGCTTGTCCTGATAGTTCTCATTTGCAATTAGATGTATGCTGCCTTTTTGTATTCAAGAGAAAATGTTTCCAGATAGATTCGTGGGGCTTAAAAGACTCACATTAGAGATGAAAAACCAAACAATCCCTGTCCCCCTCAAACCAAAAGCTACTGGTGCTCAATTCACTAGGCAGAGAAGAATGGAGAAACTATGACCCTGGTTTCTTAAGCATTTGCTGACCTCCCCTAGGTTCAGTTTAAAGAGTCTTAGCCTCTTTGTGGTGATTCTCAGAACTATGATATTTCAGGGTTGGGAGGCACTTGGGTTAATATCTAGTCCAATCAAATACCTAGGGCTTGAATTTTTTCTTTTGTATCTTTACCAAAAGATCACAGCTTTGAATACATCTTGAATGCTTTCAGTCTTGAATACATCCAGAGGTGGGGAGCTCACTACCTTATGAGATATCTCATTTCATTTATGGTCAACTCTGTAGGAAATTTTTTACGTTGAACAAAAATCAATTCAAATGCTTTTACTGAGTGCATACTATGCTTCAGGTATTAAGTTCTGAGGATCTAACAAGTGAGCAAAATAGAAAGCAATCTCTGTGCTTTTGGAGTTTGCTTCCTACAGAAGAGAGACAGAATAAAGGCAAGTAAAATGAAGAGCACGACTGGGACAAGTAAGAAAGAAAGAGAATGCCAGGGGCGGACACTTGCAGTCTTAACTAGTGTGGTTAGGAAAGGCCTCATGGACAACTGACTTTCAAGTGGAGTCCTGAAAGAGCCATGTGAGTATCAAGGGGAAGAGCATTCCAGCAGCAGAAACAGTAAGCGCAAAGGGCCTGAGGCAGGTTTATGGAGCAGTGAAGAGGCCAGTGTGATTGGAATGGGGAAGGCAAAGGGGAGGATGGTGAGATATGAGGTTAGAAAGGGAATGGGAGGCAGACCATGGGAGCCAGACCCATGGGGCCTTGGGAGTCTTTGTAAGGATACCGTATTTTACTCTAAACATGATAAGGAGTCATTGGAGGGTCCTAGTACGATTTGACTTAAGTTATAGAAAATTTGCTCTGCAAATAGACTGTATGGGAAAGTAAGTGGGCTTAGGGAGAGCAGTTAGAGACTGCTGCGGAAGTTCGGGCCAGAGACAATGGCATCTTGGTGTGCAAAGTGTGTGGGCTCAGGATGTATTTTGAATAGTGCTCTTTGAGTTTCACCTGCGGATCCTAGCATTATCTCCTGGGGCTTAACACATGTGGTCCTCATGCATATATTCGGACCAAGGTAAAAATAAGGCAAATGCCACTTATTTCTTCCTTTTGACTCTTCCCAGCCCTCTTACTTCTTCCTCATAAGCAACCATCCTAAAGCATATGATGTGTATTTTTCTATTTGTATGAGTTCTTGTAAAACATGTACTTTTTTGTCACAGATTTTTTTTTTTTTTGAGATGGAGTCTCCCTCTGTTGCTCAGGCTGGAGTGCAGTGGTGCGATCTCAGCTCACTGCAAGCTCCGCCTCCCGGGTTCAAATGATTGTCCTACCTCAATCTCCCAAGTAGCTGGGGCTACAGGCACGTGTCACCATGCTTGGCTAATTTTTGTATTTTTAGTAAAGACAGGGTTTCACCATGTTGGCCAGGCTGGTTTCAAACTCTTGACCTCAGGTGATCCACCTGCCACAGCCTCCCAAAGTGCTGGGATTACAGGCCTGAAGCACCACGCCCGGCCTGTCATAGATTTAAAAAATTTTTAAAACTTAAATACCTGACTTTGTGCTATAGATCACCTTCTGTTTCTTTCTGTATTTTAAAAATCAATCTGCATTGCTGAATGTACTGAGTCTGCTGCTTCTGGCTGAAGCGACTTCTTCAAATGAGACAGCTGAGCTGTGAAAAACTCTGTTAGCACCTGTTTCCCTGGAGCCTTCTTCTTTCCAGTCCAAGCCTGTTCACTTCTTCCACTGTTCCCACATAACATGGCTTTGAGCCTTCTCTTGGCCTGGCCACTCTCTTTTGAGCCTTCCACGGCCTATTTTGGCTCATAGTCTTGGGCTTCTGAGAACAGAATCTATGCCTGAAAACCACTTGCCATTTTTCAGGCCTGTAAACAAGGTTCAGTAGCTGAGAAATGGGTGTGGGGACTTGGACTAAGAAAATAGAAGCTACAGGACAAAGAGAGCCCCTAGACTCCACATGTACCCAGAGCAGACTTTGCTTCAATTTTTTTGGGCAGTATAGAGTAGTGGTTAAGAATTTTGGCTCTTAGATTAGATAAATTTAGGCTTGTCTACTCATTCTCCTTCCTACTACACTCTGTGTTACTTTGGGTAAATCACTCAACTTCTCTGAGCTGCATTTTCTTCTTCTGTAAAATTGTGATAATCAGAAATAATTTTGTGAGGCTGTTATTAGATGCAATACTGTATGCAAACTTCTTGGCGCAGAGCCTGATACAGGGTGGGCCCTTGGTAAATATTGGCTGTAATTTTTAAATATAAATTCATACAAACCCAGATTGTCATGAAAATGAAATATGGAGCATTCATTTGCATCACAAAAGATATTAAAAGATTCTCTTTAATAACAATTTCTCTAGTGTATTTCTATAATTTAAATGACCCAAACTGGGTTTTGATGCTGCTTTTCAACAGTATAGATTGTATAGAGCTTGATTTACCTGTATTATGACAGTGAGGGAGATGCCCCACATGACCGTGAGAGATATTTTGAGATTTCCTGTCTATACACAGACATAGTGGTATTATATGTGTTCCCTCTGCCCCCAACCCTTGTCTCTGCCCTGTCTCCTCTCTCAGACTTTTCACAATGGTAATCCCAGCAGTGGGTTATACTTTTTAAGAAATCTTGAGGCTAACACTATATTCCAAGAAGTGGTGCATTCTGTTTTTTCCAGTAAAAACCTACAGTAAATGAAAATATAGAAGTAGAGGACTTGAAGAGACCAGAAGAGTTTGGTGTCATTGAATCCACAGGATTGGAAGGGAACTCAGTGGTCATCAAATCCTCCCTTCTCTTTCTGTAGATGAGGACACTAAGGCTTATGGTGGTGGAGAGACTTGGCTAAGGTCGCCCAGCTTATAAACAGCACAGCAGGAATGCAGACTTCCTGTCCAGCATTCTTTCTTCAACTCATGGTTCCTGGTAAGAATTGGATTTTCATCACCCATTTTTATTCAAGGAATGGAATTTGCACTTTCCCTTGGCATTCTATCCTAGTAAGAAAGTTTTTACTTCAACTTATCCCAATTCCCCCCCTTTTTTTTTTAGAAAGAGTCTCACTCTGTCACAAGGCTGGATTGCAGTTGCATGATCTCGGCTCACTGCAACCTCCACCTCCTGGGTTCAAGTGATTCTCCTGCCTCAGCCTCCCAGGTAGCTGGGACTACAGGTGCCTGCCACCACGCCCAGCTAATTTTTGTATTTTTGTAGAGACGGGGTTTCACCATGCTGGCCAGGATGGTCTCGATCTCTTGATCTTGTGATCTGCCTGCCTCAGCCTCCCAAAGTGCTGGAATTACAGGTGTGAGCCACCGCGCATGGCCCCAATTCCCTCTTTGAACAATTTAAATACCCAAACTCAGCCTGCCATAGAACTATCATAGATCTATGTCATTCTGGATATGGCCCAGAGAAAGGGAACACAGTGCAGGCTACACGCACACAGTCTGTTTTTACCTCCTTTTGCCCCCAACTTGAACTTCTTAAAGGCTGCTCCTCACTTCACTCCTTCCCCTCTATTTAATGTCTCTGCCACTAGAATGTGAGCACCAGGAGAGCCAGGTCTTCATCTGTTTTATTCTCTGGTGTATAAACAGAGCCTGGCATAAAACAAGAGCTAAGTGGATGCTTGCTGAAGGACTAATACACTTATTGAGTGCCTGCAATGTTCCAGGCACTCTTCTTGGCACACTGGGCACACATCCTCCCTTAGTACTAGGAATACGAAGAGGAGAGAAAAAAATATCTGTCTCTGATAGAGAAGCAAGGTTTAAGTTCACCCTGCCTCTCTCTGGCAGACTCAGAGGAAATCTTTTGACCAAAAAACAAGTAGCTTCTCTCCCTAACCCTCACATCATAATAGCATGTCATCATGCCTCACCATGCTACCACAGGCCACACACATGTGGATGTGTGTACATATACACATACACACAAGAGTCAGTTTTAAGTGACTGAAGTAGCAACTAAATTTCCATCTGTTTCCCTAATGTATATTTCTTACAGCCTTGCATGGTACAGGTACCTAAAATTCACACTATCAGAATGATTCTCTGGGTTAAGGAACATCTATAATAGTCCCATTTTGTTTGTTTATTACAAATAATTTCAACTTTTATTTTAGTTTCAGGAGGTGCATGTGCAGGTTTTTTACATGGGAATATTGTGTGATGCTGGGTTTTGGGGTATGATTGATCCTGTCACTCAGGTAATGAGCATAGTACCCAATAGTTACAACCCTTGCTCCCACTTTCTCTCCCTTCTAGTAGTCCCCAGTGCCTATTTTTGCCATCTTGATGTCCACGAGTACCCAATGTTTAGCCCTCACTTAGTGAGAACATATGGTATTTGGTTTTCTGTTCCTGCATTAATTTGCTTAGGACAATGGCCTCTAGCTGCATCCATCTTGCTGCAAAGTACATGATTTTGTTCTTTTTTATGGCTGCATAGTATTCCACGGTGTTTATAAACCCTATTTTCTTTATCCAATCCACTTCCAGTGGGCACTTTGATTCCATGTCTTTGCTATTGTGAATAGTGCTGTGATAAACATACAAGTGCATGTCTTTTTTTTGTAGAACAATTTATTTTCCTCTGTAGACCCACTTTAAATTATAAAGATTTTATCCAGAGACTCCAAAGGTTCTTTATTAGCAACACTGATATGTTCACATGAATTAATTTTTCGGGTCAATGATAGAAATGGACAGAACAGAGGGCATCCAAGAGCTTCCTTAAGAGGAAGTCAAACTGTCACCGTTTGCTGATGATATGAGTGTATACCTAGAAAACCCTGAAGACTCATCCAAAAAGCTCTTAGAACTGGTAAATGAATTCAGCAAAGTTTCAGGATACAAAATTAGTACAGACAAATCAGTAGCTCTGCTATACACCGATAGTGACCAAGCTGAGAATCAAATCAAGAATTTAACCCCTTTTACAATAGCTGCGAAACAAAACAAAACAAAAAACAACTTAGGAATATACCTAACCAAGGACGTGAAAGACCTCTGCAAGGAAAACTGCAAAACAATGCTAAAAGAAATCATAGATGACACTAACAAATGGAAACACATTCCATGCTCATGGCTGGGTAGAATCAATATTGTGAAAATGACATACTCCCAAAAACAATGCACAAATTCAATGCAATTCCCATAAAAATAACTTCACCATTCTTTACAGAACTAAAAAAAAATCCTAAAATTCATATGGAACC